>NC_000011.10:118081515-118384545 GCF_000001405.40 Homo sapiens | reverse complement strand
TTTGCTTTTGAGTGTGTTAAGGCTACTAACAAAATCTGCCCTGGAGTTTCTAAAGGCCTAGAGTTATCGCCAAGTGTTTGCTCATTTCCTTACTGATGAAGTAAGGGGGAGACAGAGATAAAGGATACCTTACTCTGCAAGAGACAAGTACCAAGCTGTAAAATAAAAGTTAAGGGAAACAAATGTTTCCATATCCAAACATGAGTACTTCTCAGGCTTTAAATGAGGGCTCAGGGCTGGCCATTATGGCAGTGAAAGCCATGTGCAGGACGGGACACTAAGCAATTCCCACATTCTTCACAGACAATATCCCAAACTGTGTAGCCAACAGGTTCTTGATTACTCTGAAAAATCAGGTCAGGAGCTAAAAATCTGAGGCTTATACTGCTTTTGAAATACCAAAGGTATTACTAGAGCTCCACAGGCTGGGTCATAATAAAGGAAGAGTGTAGGATTTGGAGTCAAAAGACCTACGTTTTCATTCTGGCTCTGCTTAATCTAAGTCTCTTAATCTTCTTCAGCTTCCACTTCCTCAGAAATAAAACAGAAATTGTACTCCATTACAACACTTTGGTTGTATGGTCACATAACGAGATAACTGCAATGATTTATTATACAATTTCTTATGTATTATAAAGATTTACATGCATTATTTCACTTAATCATCACTTTGACCCATTTTATAGATGAGGAAACTAAGGTTGATAGGTGAGCGAATTAAAAAAAACCAGAATCCAAATATGGAAAGGCGGCCAGTAAAATGTTAAATGCCTCTTTAAATGTTAGTTGTATTTATCATTGGATGGTAGATATCCCTTTAAAAAATGGTCTTCAACAACTTCTTAACATATCTTATTTACTGATTGAGACAGGGTACTGTTTAAACAAACACAGGGGCTCAGGGTTAGATAGAGAGGGAATGTTGCCTGCTGGTTTTTTTTTTTTTTTTTTTTTTTTGAGAGGGATTTCTTGCTCTGTCATCCAGGCTGGAGTGGTGCGATCTCAGCTCACTGCCACCTCTGCCTCCCGAATTCAAGCAATTCTCGTGCCTCTGCCTCCTAAGTAGCTGGGATTACAGGCACCTGCCACCATGCCTGGGTAATTTTTGTATTTTTGTAGAGAATGGGTTTCACCATGTTGGCCAGGCTGGTCTCAAACTCAGGAGCTCAAGTGATCTGCCTACTTTGGCCTCCCAAAACGCTGGGATTACAAGCATGAGCCACTGTGCCTGTCCGCCTGCTGGTATTTTTAATCGAACCATTAGACTGTTGGAGAGTTAGATAGTCTGGTTAAGATAAAAGAATCTCTCAACCAATACACTGCCTCTTTATGCACTATTCTGTAATTTTAAGGCAGAGAAATATAAAGACCCAAATAGTCTAATTTGAGTCTGATTTGATGATGCAACATAATAAGGGTGTTGAATATGTAGATTTCTTTAGGTGACACAGACCTGATTCTACCACTTGGTAGTTTGTTATGACATGGACAAACTGATCTTTTGGGCAGTCATGTCTTCATATGTAAAACAAGAATAATTAAAAAATAAAAAATAAATAAAACAGGGATAATAGAGTGAAACTTTTCCAATGGTGACAATGGGATAATGTTAAAAAAAAAAAAAAAGCACTTATCATCAAGCCTGGCATATAGTAGGTATTCAATAAGTAATGGCTTGACATTTCTTTGATATCCAAATACGGATCAAACTATGAAACTCCACTGGTATCAGCTTCCCAGTTCTGGGCTCAGCTTCATGACTGCTTTACCTGTAAATTCGATGTCCACAAAAACCTTGATTAGAGCCTCTGCAAGTTGGGGTGCATACTGAAAGTTGCAGAACACACGTTTCCGGTGGAACACACTGGATACCAAGGGATTTGGGGTCTGATCCAGGTGGGGCATCACTGCTTCCAACACCTCTGCTAGTTTGGCCCTCAGGTGGGGATTCTTCATTCTGCAAAATGGGCAAAAAGCAAGATGAGCAGATAAGCTTAACTCCAAATTTATGACTCTGTTCTCTCCACATAAGAATCAAAATCCACCCTAAACCATATTACAGGAAAAAAAAGGATCCACTTCTGCAGTTTTAAGTTTGTCAGTTTCTTGGTGCGGCTGGGCGGGGGGTGGGGTGGTGATGCAGGGTACATCATTTAACTCTTGAGTTGACAGCTTACCAAATATGACGGTGAGCACTTAAGTTTCTATTGAATGCTTAGCCATTGTTTACTTCTCTGTAATAATGCATTATTTACTGCTTCCTATTCTCTGACAGTTTCATGTGGAATAAACTTGCCTTTTCAAGCTTTCTGAGGGTAAAGACTAGAATATAATTATGCTACATTACCCATGACGCATACAGTGTATGCATAATACTTGTTGACTTATGACTTCTCATTAGGTATGCTCAGCTCAGTGAAGAAATGGCTTCTCTCTACTTATCACTGATACGGCTCAGGGAATTGTGGGTCATTCTCTTCATTGTGCAGCAAATCTTCACTTTTGTACACAGAGTTTCCACTTCCTTTAGCCTATGCATCAAAAAAATCAGGGAAGCAATTCTACAAGTCACAGTATCTTCCTTTGGAAAAGAGGACTAGAAGCTATGAGTGAGAAAACTTGAAATGAGAAATAACATTGACTTAAGTTTACTGCTCATCCAACTCAGAATAGCAAGAATAAGCTTTATTATCATATAATTATTAGAAGATCATTAGCACCTGGCTGCCACTGTTAAGTTTCTGGCATTAGGTTAACTACTTTAACCAGGGACTGGCAGTGGACTTCCCATAAGATACTTATATGCAGGATTAAATTCTCTGTGGACAAAGTCCTTTGTTTATTATACCTCTCAACAGTGGGATTTCTGGCTACCCATATGGATGGTCAGGTGATTCCTTAATGTTACCATAACTTCTGAAGGCAACCCCTTATGATTCAGGCTTGTTTATTTCTTGGTTTAGAAGTCTTCTGAATGTTTTACAGCCTAAACAGTGACAGAACCAAGCTTTCAGCACTTCACCTTTCTATGCTTCCAGTGAAAATGGTGATAAAGTGAAGGACATGCTCCAGGGAATCTGCTGATGTCTCCAAAATGTCATCGGCAAAGCGGCGGAGAAAAATGAGAAAATCACCCAGGTTATCTGCAAAAAATTCTGAAAAAGAAAATATTCACTGGAATTAGCCAAACATCTGTATATCTGTACTAATAAACAACATTTAAATTCCTTTCACCCTACTTAATGAAGGTTAAAAAAAACCCTAAATGTTTTGTTGGTACTAGAGATGGTCGTTAAGTCAATAAATGTAAAATCTCCTTTAAATGTAAGTCAATTTAAATTTTTATTCAAGTAAATATATGAACAGTAATGACACAAAATGTTAACACACCAGTATACTAATATATACATTTTTACTCTCAAGGTTAACTGTGGTTTAAACCCTTCAGATGTGTGAGGACTCTCTAATAAAGATTAATATGTTAGGTGACTGTGGTAGCCAGACTCCAGGATGGTCCTCCAATGATCATTGCCTTTTGGTATTCATGACCTTATGCAGTCCCCTCCCACATTCACTCTTTCAGAGTAGAAGATAAACTCTGAGGCATACAGCAGATGTGATAGTATGTCATTTCCAAGATTAGGGTATAAAAGCTTACAGTCTCCATTTTGGTCACTTGCTCTGGGGGAAGCCAGCTGCCATATCATGAGTAGTATTTAGAAGACACATACATGGCCTAGAAAAGAAGCTGCTGGCCAATAGCACAAGCAACTGAGGCCTGTCAACAACCACATGACTGGGCTTGTAAGTGGATCCTCCAGCCCTAGCAGAGTCCTCAGATTCCTAAGGCCCTGATTGACAGCTTGGCTATATAACTTCCTGAGGAACTCTGAGTCAGAACAATGCAGGTGAGTGAGCTGTTTGCAGTTGTTGTTGTTATTTTATTAATTAATTAATTTATTTTCTGAGACAGGGTCCTGCTGTCACCCAGGCTGGAGTACAGTAGTGCAATTATGGCTCACTGTGGCCTCAACTTCCTGGGCTCAAGCGATTCTCTCACTTCAGCCTCCTGAGTAGCTGGAACTACAAGTGTGCACCACCATGCCTGGCTAATTTTTTATTTTTTGTAGAGATAGGGTCTCTCTATGTTGCCCAGGCCAATCTTGAACTCCTGGGCTCAAGTAATCATCCTGTTTCGGCCTCCCAAAGTGCTGGGATTACAGGCGTGCACCATCATACCCAGTCTGTAGTTTTAAGCTGCTATGTTTTGGGGTAATCTGTTACTCAGCATGATATGGCCAATACAATGGTTAAGAACACATAACCTGATTAGATTGACAACAC
Organism: Homo sapiens; assembly: GCF_000001405.40. NCBI lineage: Eukaryota > Metazoa > Chordata > Mammalia > Primates > Hominidae > Homo > Homo sapiens. Next base: position 118,380,201 of record NC_000011.10, on the reverse strand, counting down.
CTGCCCACCCCTCAATGACTCACTGACACACACACACACACACACACACACACACACACACACACACGCACACACACACACACACTCTTTCCCTTCTGAGTTAACCAGCAGGAGCTAATTTTTTTTCTACAAAAAGGACAGGGAAAGTTAGATGAATGTGTAAGTTGAACAAATATTAATGATAGAAACTAACAGCTCTGAAAACTCTGATTACACTTAATCCTTTGAAGATGATTTTCTGATATGCATAGCAGGGGGACACAAGGTTGAGGGAACAAACTGTTAGTCCCCTAATACTTTGACCAGTAGATATTATCTAAGTTTGAGTTGTTTCTCCAAAAACAACTGAATGATAACGAAGAAAGGGTATTTTGAGGATTAAACTTCCAAAGTGACCCACTTAAACTCAGAAGGCTATAAACAGGACATTCCCAAGGGAGAGCCTGCTTACCTGGCACATAAGCCAAAGAGCTGTAGCCATCTGGCAAAGGAAAGGTTAGCTCTATTGGCTGTGAGCCCTCATTGCCTATGGCCAGTTGAACCAGTAGAACAGCCATGGACACCTGCAAGTTTAGGCAGTTTTGTAGCATTTGTGGCTCTGTCATGGCAGTCTTGGTAGAAAGATAGATGGTCATCAGTCGTTCAAACTGCTCACGAAGATTGTCAGCAGCAGGGCTAGAACTTTGCTGAGCATCCCGCCAGGCAACCTGCAGCCGATGCAGATTTTGGTTGATTTTTACCATCTGATCATGCAACCTGCCCCCAAGAAAGCAGAAGAGACTGGGTCAGGGAAAACAGAAAGTCACAAAAAAACAAATCCTCAATTATTTATCTAGCCTTCTCTTTAAGGATAGTAGGGAGTTGCAGTTGCAATGACACAGAAGGCACTCACAAAAGTTTTTGACAGGACACAGGCAGGGTGCACAGCAATGGGAAAATGCTGCCAAGTATTCAACATAATTGAAGCTAATTGCAAATAGCAGCCTTCAGTTGAAATGCACTATCCAAAGAAAGGCAGCTTGGTTGAGTAGGGTGTAGAATGGGTTGTTATTACATAAAATAATTATTAGGCAAAGTACAAGAAGGCCAGCAGGATAGTTTTACATCACACAAGGGCAATGATCATACTTTGATGCAATGATCATACTTTGATGGGGTTATATGGATAGTCTTTCTTTGGTTAGTAGAAAACTAAGCTGGTGAAAAGGGACTCTAGATTAGTAATGACCACATATAAACTAGTAGCCACCTGAGATGCAATCTAAGAGCAGCTTCCAGCTCTCTGTTGTTCAATATTAAATTAAATTATTCTTCAGAAAAGGTCAGCCTAATATTCTCTACTGAAAGGAAGACACATAATTCAAAGTTATGGATAATAGTCCAAAATCATTTCCTTTGGCCCTGTAGATAATGTCTTGAGCTAGCTAATATTGGGAAACTAGATGATATTCATTTTTTGTTTGAATCTAGGCAGCTGAGCAGCTTAAGCACATGCTGAACTTTTATCTACTGTCTTATTTAAAATGTCTATGATGGAGATTTCTCTCTAAAGACATAATTTCCTTCTTCCGGCAATGTGTTGACTGAGTAGTTTTGAAAAATGCTCTGCATCAATTCAGGTATCTTGAGAAGGCATTAAAAATTGCTATTCTTAGTGTCCCTTTCTATGACTGAGTTGCTGTTTTCTTCCTCTACTTATACCTGTCATAATCAGCTAAATCAGAGGAAAACAAATTACAGAATAATGAATAGCCAGAACCAGAACTGTTTTTGGAAGTCATACATTCTAGTTCTAAAATCTTAACATTTCTAGAATCTTCTTTATCTAATGTCTTTTGTGGTCCTATTGATCTCATTAGCTCCCTTATAAACATTTCCTTAATATTTGCCACTTTTGTCTCTATCTGTAGAGTAGAACTTGGTCTTTTTCTTTTTTTTAATTAATTTTTTTTTTTGAGACAGATTCTCGCCCTGTCGCCTAGGCTGGAGTGCAGTGACACCATCTCGGCTCACTGCAACCTCCGCCTCCCAGGTTCAAGCGATTCTCCTTCTTCAACCTCCCGAGTAGCTGGGACTACAGGCGCGTACCACCAAGCTGGGCTAATTTTTTGTATTTTTAGTAGAGACGGGGTTTCACCATGTTAGCTAGGACGGTCTTGATCTCCTGACCTTGTGATCTGCCTGCCTCAGCCTCCCAAAGTGCTGGGATTATAGGCATGAGCCACTGCGCCCGGCTGAACTTCATCTTTTATCACCAGGAGTAGTAATGAAATTTTTTTTTTTTTTTTTGAGACAGGGTTTCACTATGTTGCCCAGGCTGGAGTGCAGTGGCGCAATCTCGGCTCACTGCAGTCTCAACATCCCAGGCTCAAGAGATCCTCCCACCTCAGCCTCGTGAGTAGCTGACACTACAGGCACACGCCACCATGCCCAGCTAATTTTTGTATATTTTGTAGAGACGGGGTTTTGCCATGTTGCCCAGGCTGGTCTCAAACTCCTGGGCTCAAGTGATCTGCCTGCCTCGGCCTCCCAAAGTGCAAAGGATTACAGGCATGAGCCACCACACCCGGCCAGTAATGAAAATTTAAGAGCAGAAAGTGCAATATAAAATGAAAACAATTCCACTTTCCCAGATCACAATAGGAAGACAGTGATTTAATTTTTAAAGTTTAACAGGTCAAAAGTTAAAAAACAGGCCAGGCACAGTGGCTCATGCCTGTAATCCCAGCACTTTGGGAGGCCAAGGTGGTGGATCACCTGAGGTCAGGAGTTCGAGACCAGCCTGGCCAACACAGCGAAACCCCATCTCTACTAAAAAAATACAAAATCAGCTGGGCATGGTGGTGCATGCCTGTAATCCCAGCTACTTGGGAGGATGAGGCAGAAGAATTGCTTGAACCCAGGAGGCGGAGGTTGCAGTGAGCAGAGAATGTGCCACTGTACTCCAGCCAAGGTGACAAGAGCGAAAATCCATTTCAACAACAACGACAACGATAAAAGTTAAAAACAAATTTAAGGAATCTGGACAAAGCTGATTCATGAAACACAAGTAAATTCATACAATGCCCCTTTTCTATTAGATTCTAATGTGAACCTTTAGAATAAGCTCAGATTATATCTGTAAGACTCTTCCTCTCTTTTTTTTTTAAGAAACAGGTTATCACTCTGTCACCCAGGATGGAGTACAGTTGCACAATCATAGCTCACTGTGGCCTCCAACTCTTCGGCTAGAGCAATCCTCCTGCCTCAGCCTCTGAAGCAGCTAAGACCACAAGCATATGCCACCATGCCTGGCTAATTTTTTTTTTTTGGTAGAGATGGGGGTCTCACTTTCTTGCCCAGGTTGGTGGTCTTAAACTTCTGGCCTCAAGCAATCCTTCTGCCTTGGCCTCCCAAAATCCTGAGATTAAAGATGTGAGCTACTGTGCCTGGCCAAAGACTCAATTTCTACCTTCTAGTTATCAACACAACTAAACTGTTTTTTCCTAATGACATCAGAGGAGTTACCTGTGAAATCCCAAGTACAAGGTGTACTCTGTCAGAGCAAGGTTCTCTGTTACAAGGTTGTAGTTCTGTGGAAACTTCGGCTCCTGCACAGCTGGGATCAAACAGGTTTCTTTGTCCAAACCTCAAAGAAGTTAAAAAAAAAAAAGAGGGTAAATGTCTTGGTCTCCAGTCTCCTCTTACACTCATTCAATTTCCATACTGTTAGCAGTGATATCTTCTTAAAAACATATCTTGTCATATTAGTTCTTTGTCTGAATATATCTTTTGGTTTCTCACCGTCTACAGAAATACAGTTAAATCTTTTTCATGAAATCACCAAAAATTAAAAGGAATACTACTATAGATTGTTTCAAGTGATAGGCAATAGATCATTTGTATTTATTTTGTGCTTTTCTGAATTTGATTATTTGCTTTTGAGCAGTTATCATGTTTACAATTAGAATTATAAAACTGGAATGAAATATACCAAAATTAAGAGTGATTTCACTTTGAATGGTAGGACTGTGAGTCATTTATTTTCTCTTCATTTCTCTGTACTGTTTTCTCCAATCCAGCCCCACCTATCTTCCTCCCTTGATCCATTTCCTCCCCAACTCAACCCCATCTACCCCTTGCCCTAGCCACATTGAGCCTCTCACCATTCCTTAGTCAAGATTTTCCATAGCTTTGTACCTTTACACTTGCTTTTCTCTCTGTATAAAGGGACCCTCTTGCTTCTTTGCCTGGTAAAACCTAACTTGTCTCTCAAGACTCAGCTATGAAGACCTCCAACTTCTGCAGAATTGATTATTTACTCCCTCCTCTGTGCTCCCATAGCTTAGCCCTATACCATATTATAATTATCAGTTAATATATCTGCCTTCTGGAGCCTGAGTTCAAAAAGGATGAGGACTCTGCTTTATTCATTTTTATAAACTATGAATGAATGAATATGCAAGGCTGCCAAATCCAGAGAGAAGGTCTCACTAAAGTACAACATTTAAAAGCTACCAGGTGTTTTTTTTTTTCTCTCAAACATCTGTCTTTTAAAAATTCTGGCTGGGCGTGGTGGCTCACGCCTGTAATCCCAGCACTTTGAGAGGCTGAGGCGGATGGATCATGAGGTCAAGAGATCGAGACTATCCTGGCCAACATGGTGAAACTCCGTCTCTATTAAAAATACACAAAATTAGCTGGGCGTGGTGGCGCGTGCCTGTAGTCCCAGCTACTCGGGAGGCTGAGGCAGGAGAATCGCTGGAACACGGGAGGCAGAGATTGCGGTGAGCCAAGATAGCGTCACTGCACTACAGCCTGAGTGACAGAGTAAGACTCCATCTCAAAAAAAAAGAAAAAAAAATCGAAATAGCTCGTTTCTGCCTCATCTTTTTTTGAGAAAGGAACTCTGTGAAAAAGGATAAGGGAGTGAATGCTTTACACGTTACACACACACACACACACAGTTTTGAGAAGCCTGGTTCTCTCCTACCTCTCATGTGTACATTTTTAATTTTTCGTTCTTCATCATTCAACTCCTTGAGGGCACAGTATGTGGGATTAAAGGTGAGGAGCCGAGAGGATCTGGGTTTGCAAAATGGCTGGCATAGCTTCAGGAGAGCAGCACCCAGATTCAGAAAGAAAGCATCTGAGGCATACATTTGGAAAAAGATTTCTGGCATCTGATTGGCCCAAATCTTGGTGCGGCCTGCATTTGCATGCAAACAGTTTCCAAGCCAGGACAAGATACAGTGTTTGGTTTCTGGAGAGAGCTGGAGTAAGTTCTTCAGCATCTGGTAGATCTTTTCGTGGAACTGAGCCATGAACTGTTCAACCAGAAAACACAACCACAGAACGTTTCACAATCCTAATAGTTTTTATTCCCAAACCTTAGCAACTGGCAGTTTCCAAAAATATGCTAATCCTAATCTTTCCCCTCACTCTCTGTGCCTCATCCCCTAATTTGATTTTAAAATATATTTCTGGGCACTTATAAGAGATTTTCTGATCAGCTGCCCAACTGCAGATGGCATTACACGGTATTAGAGCACAGGTCTGTAAATTTTTTCTGCAAAGGGCTAGACAATAAGGATTTCTGGCATTACTTGCCATACAGTGTCTGTAGCAATTATTCAACTCTATCACTGTAGTATGAATTCAAACCAGAAACAATACATATACTAATGCGCATGGCTATGTTCAATAAACCTTTATTTACAAAAACAGGTGGCAGGCCAGATTTGGCCACTGCTAGTTTGCCATGCCTTGCCTTAGAGAGTTGTAATGATTAATGATTAGGGGACTTAAACTATCCCCAATTCAATCATTCAATGCCTCATGTTGGCCAGACCTCTACTATAATTTATGTGAAGAAGCCCAAAGAGAGGGCATAGGTGGAGACACGAAAAGGAAGAAAAACTGGGTTTATAAGCTAGAGTTCAGTCAAAAGATTTTCAGAGCTAAAGTTATAGCTCAGTGAGAAAAATGAGGGTTGGGGAGAAGTAGCTGTAGCAGTGCTACAGCAAAGGGTAATGAGTAGCAGCAGCTCATTCTTACCCCACACGTGCTGTTCTTAGCATATGCTACAAAGAGGGGATTTTTTTTTTTTGAGACAGAGTCTTCTTCTGTCATCCAGGCCGGAGCGTGATGATGCAATCATGGCTTACTGAAGTCTTGACCTCCCAGGCTCAAGTGATCCTCCCACCTCAGCCTCCCGAGTAGGTGGGACTACAGATGCTTGCCACCATGCCCACCTAAGTTTTGTATTTTTTTGTAGACATGGGGGTCTCACTGTGTTGCCTAGGCTGGTTTCAAATTGAACTCCTGGGCTCAAGCGATCCTCCCACCTTGGCCTCCCAAAGTGCCGGGATTACAGGCTTGAGCTACCATGCCCAGTTTTAATTTATTTATGTGATGTAAAAGCCAACTAGATCAATTTGCTTTCCCAGAGAGGCTTGAGCAGCCTTATCTGTATCTGCTTTCTGAGAAAACTCTTTTAAGATCAGGGGGCTGGGATACCCTGGTAAACAGTTCCACCTGATGGATGTTGGCCTCCTGTACTTTGATCTCCTGGGGGCTGGAACGAGATGGATTCAAAAAGTAGCCATGATTTTCTACAACACCCGGAGTCTTTAATAAGCAGGAGATACTCAGAATTACTCCCAGCAAGGTCTTCTGGTACATTTGCCCATTGGTAGGGTCCTTGGGCTGAATGTATTCTACAAAAACCTGTAAGAGAAGACAAGTTCTGCTTATTCATCTTCATGGTGAGATAAGGTGATGGGGTGGGAGGGCCTCAAAACAGTTAAGTTGATACAACAACCAAGCTATCTTTTTCTTATTTTATAGGTAGTATTATAGTGTCTTCAGGATAGGGAAGCATCATGTATTACACATCTAGCTCAACTGAATACATATCATCTTTCAGACCTACCTTTGCCATATCTTTTTGCCTAGTGAAATAGAGAAGAATATCCAGATATGCATACAAAAGGATCTGACAGAGCTCTAGATCTTTTATTCGGCCCAATAAAATATCAAACACTGGAATCATGACTTCTGGAAATGTTCTAACTTCCTCATCCAATATCAAGGCTTCAATGACCTCTTCCAGAAACTCAGTTACATCTTCAAAATCTAACAGAAGACAAATGAGAGAGAAAGGAGGGCACAAGAATTTTTATATGCCTTTACACACTAGCTCTTTACTTTCAATAATTCTTTTTTTTTTTTTTTTAGAGCTGGGGGTCTTGTTTTTTTGCTCAGCCTGGAGTGTAGTGGCTATTCACAGGTGTGATTATAGCACACTACAGCCTCAAACTCCTGGGCTCAAGGGATCCTTCTGCCTCAGCCTCCAGAGTAGATGGGACTACAGGGGTGTGCTACCATGCCCAGCTTTATTCTATTGGTACTCAACCTCAAAGATCAAGATGTGAGCCCTCCTCCTTAATTTATACCAGAACCATAATGGCTCTGAGACTTTCTAATGCAATTAGTGAAATTTTAAATCTGAAAATCAAAATGTAGAAGCTTACAGATCTTGTTCATGTACTCACGGGCTCCCTGGATGGCTTCTAACATCAAATCTACCAGTTGCTCATGGATGTTTTGGTCAACATAGATCTCTGGGGTGAGAAGAACTGTTCGGGTATTGGACACAGTGAGGTTTCTGCACTGCACTGCAAAGGGTAGCAGGTTCTCTGGAACTTTGGTAATCTGCAAACAGCATGAAGAAAAGAGGGAATAGTCTAACTCTGTAATCTGGAACGAAAGTAGACATAGTGAATACAATAGAAGAGACATACTGGTCTCCTGTGGATGCTTGAAAATTAATTAGAGATTCCTTCCTTGGCTTAAGGAATCATCTATCTGCCTATTTAAAATTCCAAACCTGGAAATATCCGGCTTAGCCTACTCTAATATTTACATCTCAGTGGAAATGAATTCATGAGCCCTTTTCTGATTTTTGAGACAGAGTCTCGCTCTGTCACCCAGGCTGGAGTGCAGTGGTGTGATCTCAGCTCACTGCAACCTCCACCTCCCAGGTTCAAGTGATTCTCCTGCCTCAGCCTCCTGAGTAGCTGGGATTATAAATGTGTGCCACCATGCCCGGCTAATTTTTGTATTTTCAGTAAAGGTTTTGCCATGTTGGCCAGGCTGGTCTCGAACTCCTGGCCTCATGTGATCCGCCTGCATCGGCCTCCCAAAGTGCTGGGATTACAGGAGTGAGCCACTGTGCCCAGCCTCATGAGATTTTTTTAAGGATGTGATTTCTAAAGAGGTTTTAGAGAGAATAGGAGGCATTGGTTAACTGGGGAGAAGGGTGGACCCCAAGATACGGAAAGGAGACTAAAGCTTTAGTGCATCTGATATCCAGTGTTCTAAACATACTATGACATATATAAATTGATATAAAAGCTTTAGTGTCCCTGATATTCACTTCTAGACATACTATGACATATATAAATTGAAATAAAGACTGATCCAACTCTGGCCCACATGCTGAAGTCATACCCAAGAGGACAATACAGTATTCAATGGGGATTATTCCTTTACCTCTTCCTTGGCTCTCTGGAAGCAGGAGTAAAGGTAACAAAAAATGTGCCTCTCTCCTGCATCTCGATCAGCAGAGAGATTTAGCGTTGTAGAAGAAGTCATGTTAATTAAGTGGTTGCCTGGATCTTGAAGTAATAAGCGAGCGAAGAGGGCCTATAAAGAAAACCAAACAAAAATACTAAACTATTGCAAAATTAATCTGAGAACATTAAGATGTAAAAGGTAATTCTGACACAGGTTATTAGCAAGAATCACAGATTTGAATGTAGAGTGAAGGAGAAAAAAAGGGCCCTGTATATTTTTACTTTAGAAAATTTTAGAAAATTATGGCATATATAAAGTTATCCTAAATCAAGCCTCAAGTGTCTAGTATAGCCCCAGCATAGAGTAGGCATTAAAAGACTATTTGTTGAATGGTGCTGAGATCAGTGATTAAACTTAGATGTGAAATCTACTATTCTGTGTGATTGCTGATCTCATTCAGACTTATATAAAGATACTCCAAATGTGAAGTTAAACTGCAAGCTGTCAACTGTCTTTCCTACCAAACTTTTATTCTTTTAATGTTACTCAGGCACCTGCAAGGTACAACGCACTGTTTTGATTTTTAAAGTGCTGTGGTTTATATGTTTGTCTCCAACAAAATTCATGTTGAAATTTGATCTCCATGTGGCACTGTTGGAGGTGGGGCTAGTGGGAGGTGTCTGGGTATGGAGGCGGATCCCTCCTGAATTGCTTGGTGCTTTTCTCAAGGTGCTGAATGAGTTCTTGCTCTCACAAGACTGGATTAATTCTCATAGGAATGGACAAATTCCCTCCAGAGCGGGTTCTTATTAAGCCAGGACACCTCTCAGGTTTTCTCCTCCTTGCATGCGTCCTCATGGTATGTGTCCTTTGGTGACTTCCTCCACCACATTGTGAGGCAGCACAAAAGCCCTCACCAGAGGCCAAGGACATACCCTGAATCTTCTCAGCCTGCAGAACTGTGAGCTAAATAAACTTTTCTTTATAAATTACTGCTTGGGTGTTCTTTTTTTTTTTTTTAGATGGGTCTTTCTTGCTCTGTCGCCCAGGCTGGAGTGCAGTCGTGTGACTATGGCTCACTGCAGCCTCTGCCTCCCAGGCTCAAGCAATCCTCCCACCTCAGCCTCCTGAGTAGCTAGGACTTCAGGTACATGCCATCACACCCAGTTAATTCTTTGTATTTTTTGTAGAAACATGGTCTTGTTATGTTGCCAGGGCTGGTAACTCCTGGCCTGGAGATCCTCCCAACTTGGCCTCCCAAAGTGCTGGGATTACAGATGTGAGCCACTGTGCCTAGTCACAGGTATTCTTTTATAGCAACACAAAACAGACTAAGATAGAAAGGATATAAAGAAGAAAAAGCGATGGGCCTTGCCCTTAAGAACTTAAGTCTAATAGGGGAGATAAGACAGGTACATAAGAAAGCCGCAACATGAGACAGAAAGTGACAATTCCCACAAGAGATTCAGAGGCTGATTATTCTAGGTACCCAGAGGAGGGAGTAACAACTTTTATTTGGCAAGGCTTTGTAATTTTTTCTTTTTTTTTTTTGAGACGGAGTCTTGCTCTGTTGTCCAGGCTGGAGTGCAGTGGTATGATCTCGGCTCATTGCAACCTCCGCCTCCTGGGTTTAAACCATTCTCCTGCCTCAGCCTCCCAAGTAGTTGGGACTACAGGCGCCCACCACCATGCCCAGCTAATTTTTTGTATTTTTAGTAGAGACGGCGTTTCACCATGTTAGCCAGATGGTCTTGATCTCCTGACCTCGTGATCCACCTGCCTCAGCCTCCCAAAGTGCTGGGATTACAGGCGTGAGTCAATGTGCCTGGCCAAGGCTTTGTAATTAAGAAGGCATTTTAACTGGTTCTTAGAGGATGGGTAGATTTGGGCATGTGGCCATGGTAGATGAAAAGATTCCAAAAGAGGAACACCACAATGTTAGAGATGCACATCCAGGTTACTTGGCCTTCTACTGGTAAAAAAAAAAAAAAAAAAAGAGAGAGGGATGGACATATGGACACAAGCATAAGTTGGAGAACAGTGAGCAGAATTCAGCCGCATAGCTAATTTTTGCTAAGGGCACACATTAGGAACGTAAGAATATTACCTGCTCAACATTGCTCATATCAAGCCAGTCTTGATCTTCTAGCTCTACTGCCATTTCTTCCAAATACACACAACGGCTAGGGATGCCATTCCCGCTTTTCAAGCTGGGATCACCTGGGAAATGGTTTTAATATGATAGGTTAAGGATAATGCTTCTGTTTTATACAGACAACTGATCTTGACAGCATCACTCTTGAACTGCAAATCTGACTCAAGTAATACCAGAATGATCCTGATACACAAAGCAACATCTAAAGATTCAAATCTTTTTTTTTCCCCCTCTAGTCACAGAGAATGGGATTTGTTATAAACCTAGCATCATGACATTTAAAGAGTAAATCCCAGACATTAGTACCAACCTTGGGGTTTAAACACAGACAGGGCACAGAGGGCAAACACTCTCTGATGCCTCTGAAGGCTTCCATCTGAATATTTAGGTTACCTCTGAGAAGAAAATGGGTTTGGCTACCCTTCCCATTTCCTTTTTAAGGTAGTAAAGGCAAGTAGCTATATAGTGCAGTCAGTATTGAAATGGGAACAAAAGTTAGATCTGCATCTAAATACTGTTTTTAGGTCATACCAAAAGGTTCACTGAAATATAAACCCTGAGTTCCAGGGAGTGCAGTGAGTAGGTTTGTATCTAACCATTAGCTGTAACCAGTTTCAAAGAGCAAGCCCCTAGCCCAAGCTCAAATAGGAAGGGTAGAATAATGCTATAAGTTTGTAACTCACTGTTGTCCAGAGTAATAAGGAAGATCCTTTGGATCATGTGATTGATGTTGAGTTGCTCACATATTTCCTGCTGTGATCGGAATGAGCGGCTAATCTCAGCCACAGAGTAATCGAATTCATCCAGGCTCTCTGACACGCTATTATCCGAGTCATCTGGGCTAGCTGGGAGTTCATCTGCCAGAAAATGTATACTGTTAAATGTTACACCCCTTTAAGAGAGAACCAAGCATGCTACCAAAAATAATAAATGTAACCAAGAAGATGATAATTTCAGATGTAAAACAAGCTAATCATCTAATTAGTGAACATCTCAAGTCAGGGAAGTTAAATATAGGGTTTTGAAATTCCTGGCTATAAATCCTACCACATTTTACAAAGCAAAAGTTTTATTTCTATCCATAATTATACTCCACACTGCCAGAAATAGCAAAGTTATCTTCTCTACAGAATCCTAGTGAACAAAGAATTACCTAATAGATCAAAATGCCTTTAATTATTTTAAATGTATGGCTTTTCTCCCTGATTTTAAGAGATAACATTTGTTTTAATAGTTCTTAACTGTACAGAAAAATATAGTATAGAAAGTCTCCTGAACCAATTCCCTAAAGACACTTAACAGTGTTCAAGAATTTTTTTCTTTTCTGGTGCTAATATTCATTACTATCTTTTTAATTTTTTTAAAAAATGGGATACTATACATAGCTCTTTTCAGCTTGCCTTTTAATCAGCACCAACACCTTTCCCTGTTAGGCCATTTAGAGGCCTACCTCACTATTTTTAATAGCTGTATTGTATCACATCTTTTGCATGCCCTGTGGTTTATGTAGCTACTTTTCAACTGATGAACAATAGGGTTGTTTCTAATATTTCATGATTTTAAATACTGCACTGAATACAATACAACTTAACTCTTTTTGTTTACTTGTATGAGTATTTCTATAGGATAAATTCACAGTAGCAGAACTGCTGGATCAAAGAGCTTGAACATTTAAAAAGTTAACATTTACTGCCTGGCACGGTGGCTCACACCTGTAATCCCAGCACTTTGGGAGGCTGAGGCAGGCGGATCACGAGGTCAGGAGATTGAGACCATCCTGGCTAACATGGTGAAACCCCATCCCTACTAATACAAAAAATTAGCCAGGCGTGGTGGCACACACCTGTAGTCCCAGCTACTCGGGAGGCTGAGGCAGGAGAATTGCTTAAACCCGGGAGGCAGAGGTTGCACTGCACTCCAGCCTCGGTGACAGAGCAAGACTTCGTCTCAAAAAAAAAAAAAAAAAAAAGTTAACATTTACTACCAAGTTACCCTCAAAGAGACTGTCTGATTTACATGCAAACCCAACAGTATATGAGAGAGTGCCTGTTTGAATCTTCACAAATTTCATAGGTAAAAAAACAATTTAATGGTTGTTTTAATTGGCACTTCTCTAATGATTGATGAGAATAAATTTTTTAATCATTTGGTTATAAGTTGCATGTCACATCTTTTGTACCTTTTTATTCTTTCTTGTTATTTTTTTCTTATTGATGAAATTCCTTCGATTTTTTTTTTTTTAAACTTCTGTCCTCAAAATCTGCTCCCATCCTTTGATTTTTTTTTTTGAGATGGACTCTCACTCTGTCGCCCAGGCTGGAGTGCAGTGGTGTGATCTCGGCTCACCGCAACCTCTACCTCCCAGGTTCAAGTGATTCTCCTGCCTCAGCCAAGTAGCTGGGACTACAGGCGCCCACCACCACGCCCGGCTAATTTTTGTATTTTTAGTAGAGATGGGGTTTCACCATGTTGGCCAGGCTGGTCTCAAACTCCTGACCTCAGGTGATCCGCCCACCTTGGCCTCCCAGAGTGCTGGGATTATAGGCGCCTGTCATCATGCCCGACTAATTTTTGTGTTTTTAGTAGAGACGGGGTTTTGTCATGTTGGCCAGGCTGGTCTCGAACTCCTGACCTCCGGTGATCTGCCCACCTAGGCCTCCCAAGGAGCTGGGATTACAGGCGCGAGCCACTGCGCCCAGCCCCATCATTCATGTTGAATGACTACATAAAAGTAGTGTTATTCACTATATGCCACATATGAGTCTATATGTACTTTTCTCTATTGACAGAATGGCTAGTCTGAAAGTCCAGGTAAAACTCTCAAAGTAAGAGTTGTTTCAGTGTGGTGAGTATAAGCTCAACATAGGAAGCCAAAGGTTTTGGCAAAGTACTAATTGCTAGTGGAAACAGGTTGGACCTGGTGGCATGATAAACTCAGTGTAAACAAACTAGGATGATGAGGTGCCAAAATAGTAACAGAAGGGCATGTGCCTGCAATGCTCCCAACTCTAGCCAGATTTATGTCTGTTTATAGCCAGAAGGACAAGCGTTCTGTTGCTCAGCTGCTATACTGTTGAGTTTTTCTCTGACCTCCAATGGTGACAGAAGCTAAGAATCTGTTTAGCAAAATTTCCCTCAACCACATACTCATAAATCATACTTTCTCATTCCTTATTTTTCCTATTTTTCACTCTGCTTTTTCCCCTACAATCTTCTAAACCAGAGTTTCCCATTCTGGCCCCGTATCATAGAAATCTGGGAGAGATTTCAGAGACTGAAAATACCATGTTAAAAAAAATCAACATTGATTTTGTTTTTCCCTTGCATCAATCACTTATCTGTCTTGCCTTTACCTCTTTTTTCTTCAGCCCTTTCTAACTGAAAGGCCAAAAGTCAGCTATGCACCTGAGTGTTTTTTTTTTTTTTAAATAAACAAAATAAAGGGAAAATGCAAACACTTCTCCTTCTCTCAAAAGAAAAACACTATTATTCTTTTCGGAGAGAGGAGAAGGGGAGCAATTTCTGGTTTGAAAGATTGTGAATATCTTCAGAAGACTAACATATTTGAGAAAAATCCTAATTCTTCTAGTGTATATGTCTCCTTATAGGAGGAAGCTGGACTTGATCTTAAATTCGGTGCCTGAAAGAAAACCATTTTTTCTGATTACTGAGATGTTATTCTGATGTTTTTCATAGTAAGGCTAAGGATCAGATTTTTTAAAAAAGTCTGTCCTAACAGGACTAAGCTACAAATGATGCCACTCATCGGAACAGAAGAAGCACTTTGCTTGGGAGGGCCTTTGAAGTGCTGAGCTTAAGAACAAGTCTCATTTGCCTACAGGTCAAAAAGCTTTTATAGTTCTTCCTTTTACATCTGCTTTCTATAGCTGCACATGACTTGCTTTCTACACCTACACTTACCACCTCTGTGTCCCATGTTAAAAACATTTATTTAAATAGCTTTTACTAGGTGATTTTTTTTTTCTTTTAAAGAAAACAGCCTGACAGCTTTGGGATCACGACTGGCATCTGTTACTATGGAACCACCTGTTACCTGGTCTCTTTTTGTACAGTGGAGAGGACAGCGGAGGGGAGGGACTCACAACAAAACCAACAATAAAAGCAAACAAACAAAAAACCCCAATTTCTGCTCTCAACAAACAAACAAAAACCAACTTTTGTTCCAAACTTAAATTCCAATTGCAATTAAGGACTCAAAGAATACTTAATTTGGGAAGACCCCATTCTAGGTCATCTTATTTGCTGCTATTGGCTCCTCCACTTACCAGATTGTTGCTTCAGCTGCTCTTTTTGGATTGCCGCAAACTGTTTGGCATCAGCCAGGGAGCCAAAAAGAGCAGCAAAGGGGTTACTTGAGATGTTGTTGTTATTCTCCTGGTCTGTCATTTCACTTTAAGGTATCCTCCATCCAGACCTAGTGGGAGAGGCTGTTCAAAGGACAGGTATTAGACACAAGAGGGCAGATGACACAATAGCTGTAATATACCTGTGGTTGTTTCTTTTCCCATTTCTCAAATACAATACATTTTAAAATACTTTGGGTTAAGATTTTCCAATTCCTGTCCCCAAACTCAAGACATTTTTGGCAAAATGGTTACAAACCTACCAGCTGGACTCGGTGGCTTGATTTGTGGATAGCTGAAACTAAAAAGGCTAAAACGTTCAGCTGGAATGCATTAATCTGTTGATATACTTTTATTTGCAATACCTTTAAGAAAACAGGTTAAGTAGAAAGAATTATTGAAGTCAAAGAGAGAACTCACCTACTAATTGTAATAACAATGTGGCACTGAAAAATAATAAGACAAGAATTATGGATTTCCCAAGAATTAAGCTGGCAGTCTAGTTCTCATTCACTGGGGTGAGGACAAGGGACTTCTATGACTTAGGGCTGGGGATGGATATTTCTCAGCTACATATAAATTAAGTAAAAGCCCATATCTTAGATTTGGACTCTGGCAAATCAGGACTGGAAGCAGTTCAGCTGTATGTTGTGGGTTTTTAACATAGATTAAGCAATCTATTTATTTCTAGGCTTAAAAATACTGATATTTCTTCCACTAAAAATTAAATGGTCTTTGCTTCATGCTATATCTAACCTTCACTGTTTACCTGATTTCTTAAAATAATACTGAAGAAACACGAATTCCAACGGTCAGGTCTACTGTGTAATATGAAATATAGATACCTCAAAGGTGTTTAGTAGAGCTGGCTGAGCCTGCATTCACACTCTTCTGATTACATTTCCTCATTCAAGACCAAGTGAACTCAGTGGCACAACAGAATAAACAGGGCTCCCTGAAAGGCTTTCTCCCCTTTCTGAAATTTTAAGGCCATGACATAGAAATATTAAATACAACACTGAAAAGGGTGGGAAGAGACAAAGGGTATGAATGTTTTGTTCATAAGGATCTTGAACTGCTATAAGGACAGAGACCTTAGAAATAGCGGGAGTAGGGGTATAAAGGAAGAAAAAAAGAACATTTGGTCTACCTTTGGTTTATTGAGGCAAGACTCCTCACAGGATCATATCAACAAAAGCTAATGTGGGCCAGGTGCAGTGGCTCATGCCTGCAATCCCAGCACCCTGGGAGGCTGAGGCAGGTGGATCACCTGAGGTCAGGAGTTCAAGACCAGCCTGGCCAACATGGTGAAACCCCATCTCTACTAAAACACGAAAATTAGCCAGGCATGGCGGCAGGTGCCTGTAATCCCAGCTACTTGGGAGGCAGGAGGCTGAGGCAGGAGAATTGCTTGGACTCGGGAGGCAGAGGTTGCAGAGAGCTGAGATTGTGCCACTGCACTTCAACCTGGGTGACAGAGCGAGACTTCGTCTCAAAAAAAAAAAAAAAAAAAAAAAGCTAATGTGGTCGAAAAAGTTACCCTTATTTACCAGAGAAAGAGATTATTTATAACATTTCTTGACAATTCTGAGGCATCTTCAGCACTTGCTTCATGCTCCTCTGCCATTTTTTCCACACAAGAGCTAACGGCTAATTAGCTGTAATGACTTAGGCAGTCTAGTCTCCTCTCAGTGCAGCTCAAAGCTTTACTGCTTCAAGGAATTGAACTGTTATTTGGATTTTTAGTAGAGACGGGGTATCACCATGTTGGCCAGGCTGGTCTCGAACTCCTGACCTCAAGTGATCCTCCCACCGCGGCCTCCCAAAGTGCTGGAATTATAGGCATGAGTCACTGCGCCTGGCCTTCTGTATTTTATTTTTTGCTATGTATATTTCAGTAAGCTTAATAATGCAAAAAAAGGGAAAGATACCATATTTAGTATTGAAATTAATGAGAGGGATTTTCCCCATGTAATTACCGCACAAGTTTAATTATTACCTGTAGTTAATGTAAAAACACCAAGAATTGTCTTATTGTTAGCTGACCACCATTCTACTTCCATCCTAAAATACCACAAATTCCAGAGGAATGCAAAAAGTATATTGAGCTCTTGTTATTTCTCTCTCTAAAACATCACATTCATTTTTTTCCTTTGGGTATCCACTCCACTCAATCCAGAAGAGGCTGACCAGTTCAGAAGGGGTTGACCTCACCCACTAGCCCCAGGAATGAACATACAAGTCTGGCCAGGCTAAAAAGAATACAGCATTTTCCAGCCAAAGCAACTGATCCAGGAGTGGGCACAAGACACTATGGAGGCCTAACAGAGTCAATGAATACCAGCTTCAGGACTTCAGCTGAATCTACGGAAAAGTGAGTTTTCTCCTGATTGAGTTGATAAGCCAGTAAGATAGAGTTGCCATCTTTACACCATTTAGAAAAGGCCTAGCCTAAAACCAAGCCAACATACACTAGAAAACAGAATTGAGAGATGGAAAGATAAGTCTGGACTTTTCAGTTATAAAAACCAATAAAATTTCCCTAAATGCCTAAACCAGTTTGATGTTTTTTAAAACACAACTGAAAAGTGTCCAGATTATTACAAAGGACATGCATCACCTGCAACACGTAAGCAGAAAGGAAGCTGAAAGCCAGGAATATAGGACATATGACAGAGAAGCTCTTAAGACTATCAAGAAGGCCGGGCACAGTGGTTCATGCTTATGATCCCAGCACTTTGAGAGGCCAAGGCGGGCAGATCATGAGGTCAGGAGTTCAAGACCAGCCTGACCAACATGGAGAAACCCCATCTCTACTTAAAACACACAAAAAATTAGCCAGGCATGGTGGCGTGCACCTGGAATCTCAGCTACTCAGGAGGCTGAGGCAGGAGAATTGCTTGAACCTGGGAGGCGGAGGTTGCAGTGAGACAAGATCGTTGCCACTGCACTCCAGCCTGGGCAACAGAGGGAAACTGTCTCAAACAAACAAACAAACAAAAAGACTATCAAGAGAAACAAAAAGAATTTATCACCATAAACTGCATTACTTCCTTCTTTCTCAATACTATACTGTTGCACTGTATAAAGAAACTAGCTTTCTACATTTTACCTCTATTTTTACTAGGATTTTAAACTTTCTGCATTGTATTTCTAAGCAGATCTTCTACATTGCTAGGCTGTAAGCTCTTCTGATTACATGTTCATATCTGATTATTCTTTCTTCTGTGTCTGGCATTATACATCACAATCACAAAATCCTAAATAAGTAGTTATTGAATGGCTTCAATCTTACATGTAGTTCTTTCTGAACTCCTTGTAATCAACAGCATCACCCATGACCCTACTTCAAGGTAAGGGCTTTACTACTTGTCTTAGGTTGCAGTGGAAGGTCAAGCTACCAGGCTAGACACTGGTTCTTTGGTATCTTGGCATGTGTAGAATGGTGGATGGAAATAAGTCTCTGTTGTCATCTCTACTATCTGTAAAAAACAAAAAGGTTCTCACCTATCTTTCACTAAGCTCATCTTTTTCACACGTATGTCAAATCTGTGCACAAACTTTTTTTCATTAAAAAAGGGCTAAAACTGTGTAGTCACTTATAGAAAAATTTTACAGGAAAAAGGAGGACTGATCACTTGATGAGAACCTTTGTGGAGATGCCAGTTTAGATTTGTTCAATGGACTTACCAAAGTAAGAGTACCCAGATAATCACCCACTCTAAAGGTCCGATAAAATGAAACCTAAATATTTTGTTTAATATTCAATAATGTCATTCGGGATTTATAATCTCCTATTTTCAGCGCCGGGCGCAGTAGGTCATGCCTGTAATCCCAGCACTTTGGGAGGCCAAGGCAGACAGATCACTTGAAGTCAGGAGTTTGAGACCAGCCTGGCCAATGTGGTGAAACCCCGTCTCCACTAAAAGCGATTACAGGCGCATACCACCACACCTTAGCCAGGCTGTAATCCCACTACTTGGGAGGCTGAGGCAGGAGAATCACTTTTAAACTGGGAGATGGAGGTTGCCGTGAGCTGAGATCGTGCCACTGCACTCCAGAGCAGAGCCTGGGTGACAGAGCCAGACTCTGTCTCAAAAAAAAAAAAAAAAAAATACACACACACACACACACACATATATACATACATATATGTATGTATTTTTTTTCCTATTTTCAACTGCCATACAGAGATACAACACTATCCTGTTGTCAGACACTTTGGGATGGTACAGCTACCAACCTTAGAAGCTTTTGGATTTGATTCTTTTAAAATATATCCTCCTTGAAAACAAGTTTCACTCTGATACACTTGCTGCAAAGATCTATATCTATAATAGCTGTCCTACAAAATTCTGTCACTTCCTCCTAATACAAGCTTTTGTTTATGAATAGTACCACTAATCCTTTAAGACCACTGTCAGCTCTCATGAACACACAAGTGTGTTAACATCAGACTTGGTATTGTTTTTCAACAGAAATATCTGGAACACTTTGTAAAACTGGGATCGTCAAAATCAAGCTCTATCAAATCATACTCCCATAAGGTCTGTGTCCTGGCAAATAATACATATATCAATATAAAATAGAAATTAAAATATCAATTTAAAATAGAAATTAAGAAACAATTTTCGTTGTCGTATGTTTCACCTAACACTATCAGGCCATGCTAATGTGGCAACAAATTCCATCAACACATCTATCTGCAGCCTAGAAGGATCTCAAGTCAAAAAGCAGACAGCAGTCCTTCTTGGATCCCATTTTATCGCAGGTGGGCTTCCACGTGAGACCAAAACAGTAAATGACAGCGAGACTAAACACATGCTTGCTGTCAGGGCATAAAACTGATCCTAAAAGGAAGGCTCATCAAATATAAGGTCATGAGGCATGGTCACTCAATTTTAGAAGTGTCTTCTAAACCCAAGGAAACATGAAGCAGAGTGCCCCAAGAGTTATCTGTGGTGAACTCATCACCTGCCTTAAGAATTATCAACACCCTGACGTATGCATTGAACTGGTTTGCTTACGACTCACGATTAATCTTATCTTCTTGGCATCTGCCTATTTGTTATCTACTCTTTATATTTTATCCTTCCATGCTCCATAAGGGATTCGCGGGAAGGAGGGAGATCCACCCGCCCGGGGCACGTTCTAGAGAAAGTTAAGTCAAAAGATAATGCAATGATAGCGCTCCGGCCTCTTCCAGGAGGGGCTTGGCAAAGATGGGGACAGAAATGTACAAAGAGACATCAGAAGCTGGGGCACTGTAAGGGGTTCCAAATCAGACAGGGTCGAAGTTCAAGAAGGAGAAGGTCCCTGGTTAGCAAAGCATAGGAGAAGGAATTTGGAGAAGATAAGAGTGAACAGGCTTGAAGTGGCATTGGACCAGCAGAAAATATCACAACGCAAAGTCAACGACCCCGTCCCCTGAAGCTATTGCCTGTCTTACCAGAGCCTGAAGTGCCAGCAGCGACGACACGACAGAATCTCAGCGGCCGAAGGGTTCCCACTTCCGACTCAGCACAGCAACCGGAAGTTACGTCATCAACAAGCGCCGGGGCATGTGGAAGTTCATCTCCGCGCCGGAAGCACGGTGTGCAGGCTCACCGGGGGGAACGGCGCGCAAATAGTCCTACAGCGCATGCGCTAGCTTGTTAGGGGCGGGCTGGAGGCGGGCAGGAAGTGGCAAGAAGTGGCCTTGGCATCGGATTGTGGGGGCTGGAGTTGGCCCACCTGGCAGTGCGCTTTGGAGTATAGAATATGAGGCTGGGTTTTGGAAATCAGCGTACCGAGGGCAGATAAAACTCTGTGATCCCTGGCTCTGCTCGCAACCTCTGTTGGGGGTCTGCTCTCTTATTTTCCCACCAGTCCTAGACCTTTTTGAAGCAGCTTCTGTTACTCTCTATTATTCAAAGGGATAACACTAACAGCAATAACAACTACAAGTTTGTTATTGTTGTGCTGTCTTTGGAGCAATCTTTGGAGTGTGCTATCTTTGATTGGATTTCAGTTTTCTTATCTGTAAAGTGGAGACAGTATACATCCTACAAGGTTGTTTTGAGATACACATAGATGGCCAGGCACAGTGGCTCACGCCTTGTAGTCCCAGCACTTTGGGAGGCTGAGACGGGCGGGTCACGAGGGCAAGAGATCGGGATACACATAAATAATAGAAGCAGCATAATTTTCAAGAGTTAAAAGCGCTGTGCAAGTGAAAATTCACAGATTGAGAGAAAATAGTTGCAACTCATATATCTGATAAAGGATTCATCTCTAGAATATGTAAAGAACTACAAGAACGAAAAACCCCCAAACAGTTCAGTTCAAAAAAGGGCAAAGGACTTGAATAGACATTTCTCCAAAGAAGATACATTCCAAGAGAATGACTATCCACTTGGTATCTGTGGGGGATTTGTTTCAGGACCCCCTTGGGTACCAAAATCCAAGGATGCTCAAGTTCCTTACATAAAATGATGCAGTATTTGCATATAACCTATGCACATCCTCCTGTGTCATCCTAGAGATGACTAAGTCATCTCTAGATCACTTATAATACCTAATACAACATAAATCTAAATAGTGTTGTATTGTTTAGGGAATAATGACAAAAAGTCTGTACATGTTCAATACAGATGAAATTTGTTTTGGAATATTTCCAATTCATGGTTGGTTGAAGCCACAGATGCAGAGCCCACAGATATGGAAGGCCAACTGTACAAATGGTGGATAAGCATATGAAAGAGTGCTCAACACCACTAGTCTTTAGGGAAATGAAAAAAAAAATCATGAGATACCACTTAATACCTACTAGGATGGCTACTATAAAAAAAAAGGAAAGTAATTGTTGGCAGATGTGGAGAAATTGAAACCGTATGCGTTGCTGATGGCAATGTTAAATAGTCCAGACTTTTTGGAAAAACAGTTTGATGATTCCTCAAAAAGTTAAACATAGTATAACCACATGATCAAGCAATTCCGCTTTGATATAGATGTTCAAAATAACTGAAAGCAGGAACTCAGATACTTGTATACATATATTTACAGTAGCACTATTCATAATAACCAAAAGGTAGAAATAACCCAGAATGTTCATTAACAGATGAATGCATAAACAAAATATGGTATATAGCTACAGATGACTTATTCAGCCTTGAAAAAGAATGAAGTTCTGATACACGCTGAAACATTGATGAACCTTGAAAACGTTATGCTAACTGAAACGAGCCAGACAGAAAGGACTAAATAGTGTATGATTCAGTTTATATGTGGTACACAGAATAGGCACATTCCTTGAGAGAGAAAGTATAATAGAGGTCACCAGGGATTGGAGGGAGAGGCGAATGGGAGTTATTGTCTAATGGGTACCAAGTTTCTGTTTAGGAGGATGAAAAATTTCTGAAATGGGTAGTGATGATGGCTACACATTGTGGATATATTTAATGCCATTGAATGGTACACTTAAAAATAGTTAAAATGGGGTTGGGTGCAGTGGCTCATGCCTGTAATTCCAGCACTATGGGAAGCCGAGGTGGACAGATCACTTGAAGTCAGGAGTTCAAGACCAGCCTGGTCAACATGGTGAAACCCTGTCTCTACTAAGAATACAAAAATTAGCTGATCATGTGGATGTGCGCCTGTAATCTCAGCTACTTGGGAGGCTGAGGCAGGAGAATCGCTTGAACTTGGGAGGCAGAGGTTGCAGTGAGCCGAGATCGTGCCACTGCGCTAGAGTGCCTGGATGACAGAGTGAGACTCTGTCTCAAAAAAAAAAAAAAAAAAGGTTAAAATGGTAAATTTTAGGTTACATATCTTTTACCACACACACACAAAAAGCCCTGGGCAATCTTTGTGTGCCTACCACTGTTCTAGTTCCTAAGGATACCATAGTGAAAAAACGTAAGTGTTTTCCTTCTTGGAGCTTATAATCTGGCGAGTGGGGTTGTAACAGCATTTAAAATTAATGGACGCAAAATGAATCATTCAATAATATTTCTGGAATAGCTGGGTAACTATCTGTATTTAAAGTTGGTTACTACATTAGATCTGATGCTAAAATCAATTCGAGATGGGTCAAAGATATAAATGCATAAAATAAAACCATAAAAATGCTAGAGGAATTCATGGGGGAACTTTTAAAAAAGGATAATTTTAAAATGGAGAAAGACTTTCTAAATATGAAACGTAACCTAGAGACCATAGGAGACCAGTGAATTATACTACATGCAAATAATTGTAAAGTGTGCGTGAAAAACTAACCAATGTGTTTTTTAAAGCAAAGTTAAAAAACACATAAAGTTGGAAAAAGACTTGCAACTAATATCACAAAAGACCTAGTTTCCCAAATATGTAAGGGGTTAGTGTAAGTCAATAAGAAAAAGACCAAAGATGTGAACTTATGTATCATGAGAAGGAAAAACAAATGGTTTACTCCAGTTTTTTTTTTTTTTTTTTTTTTTTGAGACGGAGTTTCACTCTTGTTGTCCAGGCTAGAGTGCAATGGTGCAATCTTAGCTCACTGCAGCCTCCACCTCCCAGGTTCAAGCAATTCTCCTGCCTCAGCCTCCTGAGTAGCTGGGTTTACAGGCACCCACCACCACACCCAGCTAATTTTTTGTATTTTTAGTAGAGACAGGGTTTTGCCATGTTGGCTGGGCTGGTCTCAAACTACTGGCCTCAGGTGATCCACCTGCCTTGGCCTCCCGAAGTGTTGGGATTACAGGTATGAGCCACCACACCTAGCCTCCAATTTTTAATAAGAAAAATGTAAACTAAAATTATAGTGAGAAGCCATTCAGTTTGGCATGATTCAAAAGTTTAATAATACACTGTTGGAACATGTATGGAGTAACAGGCACTTTTGTTTGTTGTTATTGGTAGTGTATATTGGTACAACCTGGCTGGGCACAGTGGCTCACACCTGTAATCCCAGCACTTTGGGAGGATGAGATGGGAGGATCACTTGACCCCAAGAGTTTGAGACTGGCCTGGGCAACATAGTGAGACCCTCTCTCTATAAAAAAAATTAAGCAATTAGCTGGATATTGTGGCACACGCCTGAAATCTCAGCTACTCAGGAGGCTGAGGTGGGAGGATTGCTTGAGCCTGGGCAGTCGAGGCTGCAGTGAGCCAATGTTGTGCCACTGCACTCCAGCCTTAGCAACAGAGCAAGACCCTGTCATATATACGTATATGTGTGTATGCGTATACACACACATATATGTGTGTATGCGTATACACACACATATATGTGTGTATACGTATATACACACTTGTGTATATACGTATATACACACGTGTGTATATATGTATATGTGTATCTACGTATATACACGTATACGTATATGTGTATATGTGTATATGTGTAGATACACATATATGTATGTGTATATGTGTATATGTGTATATATACATATATGTATATGTGTATATATACATATATGTATATGTGTATATATACATATATGTATATGTGTATATATACATATGTGTATATATACATATATGTATATGTGTATATATACATATGTGTATATATGTGTATATGTGTATATATACATATGTGTATATGTGTATATATACATATGTGTATATATACATGTGTATATGTGTATATATACATGTGTATATGTGTATATATACATATACATATATGTATATATACATATACGTATATGTGTATATATACACATATACGTATATGTGTATATATACATATATGTATATGTGTATATATGTATATATGTGTATATATGCATATATGTATATGTGTATATATGTGTATATATGCATATATGTATATGTGTATATATGTATATATGTGTATATATGCATATATGTATATATGCATATATGCATACATGTATATGTATATATATGTATATGTGTATATACACTTGTGTGTGTGTACGTGTTTACAACTGCTATTTGGCAATAGTTAATAAAATTACAAATGCAAATACAAGTGCCCAACAATTCAATTTATTTGTGTTTGTTACAAATAGTCTTATGTATGTTCAAAATCACATTTATTGTTAGAGCTAAAACCATAAAGCTGTAAAAAGTATAAAAAGAAGACAGGAGAAAATCTTTGTAACTGTGGGTTTGGTAAAGATTTATTAGACATGATACCAAAAGCACAATATATAGAAGAAAAAATCAATAAAATGTACTTCAAAATTCAAACCTTTTGCACTTCAAAAGACACCATTAAGAAAAACAAACCACAGATTGGTAGAAAATATTTCCAAATCATATATCTGATAAAGGACTTATATCAAAAACATATGCAACCCAATAGTAAGAAGACAAACAAATAAGTCAACTTAAAAATGGGCAAAAGATTTGATACACATTTCACTAAAAATATATGAATGGTTAATAAACACAAGACAGGACACTCAGCATGGTTAGTATCTAGGGAAATGCAAATTAAGGCCATAATAAAATACCATATTAAATCCATAGAATGGCTATATTAAAATACAGTTACGGGCCTGGCGCGGTGGCTCACACCTGTAATCCCAGCACTTTGGGAGGTCAAGGCGGGTGGATCGCCTGAGGTCAGGAATTGGAGACCAGCCTGGCCAACATGGTGAAACCCTGTCTCTACTAAGTACACAAATACTAGATACACAAATACTAAATACACAAAAAATGAGCTGGGCGTGGTGGCATGTGCCTGTAGTCTCAGCTACTCGGGAGGCCAAGGCAAGAGAATCGCTTGAACCCAGGAGGTGGAGGTTGCAGTGAGCTGAGATCGCGCCACTGCACTCCAGCCTGGGCCACAGAGCAAGATTCCACTTCAAAAAAAAAAAAAAAAGAAAAAAAAGAAAAGAAAAGAAAAAAAAGAAAATGTCCTAAAGCTGGATTATGGTAATGGCTGTACAATTAGTTAAATTTACTAAAAATTTCTGAGAACAGGTGAAATCACTTAAGATGGGTGGATTTTATGGCATGTACATTATGCTTCAATGCAATTATTTTTAAAAATGATATTTATACAATGTTAGTCATTGCAGAATTGTTGTAAGAGCAAAAGATTGGAACCAACTACCAACTTAAATATCCACTGATAGATAACAGGTTAAATAAATCATAGTCTATTTGTACAATATGGTTGCATTAAAAAGGATATAATGGTATCTTCATATAATGGTATGCAATAATCTCACAAGATGTATAGTTTGATATCATTTGTCTAAAAGATAGGGGAAGGGAGGATAATATGTACTTGAGAATGTGCTCATATATGCCTAGAATACCTCCAGAGAGATATATAAGAAACTGGTTTTAAGACCAGGCATGGTGGCTCACACCTGTAATCCCAGCACTTTGGGAGGCTGAGGCGGGCGGATCACTTGAGGTCAGGAGTTCGAGACCAGCTTGGCCAACAGAGCAAAACCCTGTCTCTACTAAAAATACAAAAATTAGCCAGGTGTGGTAGTGTGTGCCTGTAATCCCAGCTGCCCGGGAGGCTGAGGCAGGAGAATCGCTTGAACCCAGGAGGCAGAGGTTGCAGTGAGCCGAGATGGTGCCACTGCATTTCAGCCTGGGTGACAGAGCCAGACTGTCTCAAAAAAAAAAAAAAAAAAAAAAAAAAGAGAAACTAATTTGTCTCTGAAGAGGGCAACAGGGTCACTGGGTAGCAGGGGATGGCGGTGGAGGGAGAGCTTTCACTGAATATTTGAGCCATGTGAATTATAACCTATACAAAAACGAAATAAAAATTACAACACAAAAAATTATATTCAAATCCAGGGGGTTATTTGATCTTTTCATTTTTCTTTTACAATTTTCCCCAATAGGTGGCGCTTCTGAAACACAGTATTTGTTTTTATTTTTATTTTATTTGAGAAACCCCCAAATTTGCTCTGATGGCCTTTCTTCTCCATTTGTCATCTCTGGGAACCTTGAGTCTAGATTTAGGGCTGAAAGTCTCTCTGCTAGGAGCTTTCCAAAATGCATTGCTTTGATTCTGGGAACTGAATAGGAGGAGAACACCTGGACTGAAAAAAGAAAAATTGCAATTTGTTCAAAAAAAACAAATAATGCTTTCAACCCTGTCTTCCTGATAGAAACTTCAGATAGATTAATTAAATCATAACTTCTGACTGATTGATTTATTGATTGGAAGGTTAATATGGGTTAGTGGTTCTTAACTAAGGGTGATTTTGCCCTGGAGGTGATGTTTGGACACATTTGGTAATGTCTGGACACATTTTTGATTGTCACACTGGACAATCTACCAGCATCTGGTGGAGAGAGGCCAGGGATGCTTCCATAACTCCTACAATGCACAGGCTAGCCCCTCATCACAAATAATTAATTAGCCCAAAATGTTAATAGTGTAGATAATGAGAAATTCAAATGTAGGTTAAGATTAATATTCAGCATCTCTATGGCTTGAGGCCCTGCTCTGACAGGATTTACAGATACATAAAATTCATATTTACCTAGGCCAAGACAATCAGTATGGCCCCAGAATTTTTAGAAAAGAGTACCCCAAACCACGTCCCAATCCCTGATCCCCAGAGTCTGATGCTTATAGCCGCTTAGGGAAGGGAGCTAGACTTAGAAGCAATTGCGAGGGCAGTTGATGCAAGGGTCCTTTATTAGAATTGGCATTGAAGAACCCACCTACTCTGAGTCCTGAGTTCAATTCCTCCTCAACTGGTTTCCTTGAAGGTGGCTGTACTGGTCATCTTCTCGATCCTTGAGGGGCTGGAAAGGACAGCACAGTCATAAGTCATTTTTTCCATCCTCTATTAATTAATTTGATGCATGTTTATTGAATGTTTTTTATATGTGAGAATTTGGAGTGGGTACTTCATGGTCCTGAGGATGGAAAGAGGACAAGGAGATGGAGGCTCTGTCTTTTTTCTTTTTCTCTCTCTCTCTTTTTTTTTTTTGAGACGGAGTCTTTCTCTGTTGCCCAGGCTGGAGTGCAGTGGCACAATCGCAGCTCACTGCAACCTCGACCTCCTGGGTTCAAGTGGTCCTCCTGCCTCAGCCTCCTGAGTAGCTGGGACTACAGGCGCGCGCCTCCACGCCTGGTTAATTTTTTTTGTATTTTTAGTAGAGACAGAGTTTCATCATGTTGGCCAGGCTTGTCTCGAATTCCTGACCTCAGGTGATTCACCTGTTTTGGCTTCCCAAAGTGCTGGGATTACAGGCATGAGCCATGGCCTGTCTATAGTGAGTGCCCAGCCTGTCGAGAGTTTCTTCGTGTGTCCCTCTCAGTGTGTTCTTCAACTTGTGCTCACTAGATCCTGACCTCAGTCTCTGTCAATCCTTCTCTTTAGTTCATTTATTCTACCCAAACTGATCTCATCATCTGGTATGCTGTTAGCAGTTTCTTACCTGTATAGGATCTTCCAAATAACATGCCCCTCAATCCCAAAGATTTACCCCCACTAATTACAGCAATGTCTCTTTTATTCTTCATCCCCTTACCTGGTAGAGCTGGTCATTGGGCAACAGAGTCTGCTTGTCTGAAGCTGCACAAAAAAGAAACAGAATCCACACAAGGTAGAATGCATAATAAATTGGGTTATATTCACAAAATGGAATACTAAATAACAATAAGAGTTTTATATATACACAAGAGTATGGATAAAGCACATAAACATGTTGTTGAGTGAAAGAAGCTACTCACAAGAATACTTAGTATATGAGTCCATTTACATAAAGGACAAAAACAAGCAAAGTTAATCCTTGTTGTTAGAAGTCAGGACAATGCTCACTCTTGAGGATGGGTAGTGGCTGGAAGTGACCACAAGAGGGGCTTCAATGGCATTGGTAATATTGTCTTTCTTAAATTATGTGCTGGCTGCATGGGTGTATTTGCTCTGTGAATTTTTTTTTTGAGCTGTATGCTTGTGATTCACTTTTCTGTATGTAAGGGTTTACTTAAAATAGTTTTTTTTTTTTTTTTTTTTGAGACGGAGTCTTGCTCTGTCGCCCAGGCTGGAGTGCAGTGGCACGATCTCGGCTCACGCAAGCTCCGCCTCCCGGGTTCATGCCATTCTCCTGCCTCAGCCTCCAGAGTAGCTGGGACTACAGGCACCCGCCACCACGCCCGGCTAATTTTTTGTATTTTTAGTAAAGACGGGGTTTCACCGTGCTAGCCAGGATGGTCTCGATCTCCTGACCTCGTGATCTGCCCGCCTCGGCCTCCCAAAGTGTTGTGATTACAGGCGTGAGCCACTGCGCCTGTTTTTGTTTTTTTTTTTTTTCACAGAGGGAGCTGTATCTTGAGACAGGTGAACATGCTGTGATAACACCAAGTATCCTTTCTCCTGTCTCAGAGAAATACAGCCTCACCCAACTATGCACACTAGCAAGAAGCACCAACTCAGTCTCTTCCATTGGGTACATAATGGTAGGAGGAAAGCTGAGGGTCTCAGGTGGTCCCATCTCTCATCTAAGAGCATTCTTTTACCTCTCGACTGGCGAACTCCATCCTGTCCAGCAATGAAGTAGACCCCAACAGCAAGGACGAAAATGCTGACGATTTCAGCAAAGAGAAAGCCAGATATGGTGGCTGCATTTAGTTCAATGCAGTTCTGACACACTGTAGGGAAAAGGAGAGACAAACCTTCAGGTTGCGAAAGTTGTTTTTCCTGGTTCGTTTTCTCCTGCCTGTCTGCAATAATGCCGCTGTGGAGGGCAGCAGGCTTTTCCTCTGTGGGTGGCAGGGCAAGGGAAGATCCTTGCGCCAAAACTCAATGCATCTTGATGCTCTTAAGTCCCCCAGGATTCCTGGGGAAGCCCATGTAGTCTAACTACCAGGAAGTATCTGGAACAGAAGGAAGACTAGATACTCTTCATGCTCCACTGCGCTCCAGTTCTCACTGCTGCTCACCTTATGATCACCTCTGTCTCCCCAACCCCTTCATTCAACTCAGTGCTGAATTGCTTGAATCCATGGAGCCCACCCAAAGGTAAACAAAATTTTACAGGACTGGCTGTAGTTTTTCAATAGGGTGAGGGAAGTATCTTACAGTATTTTAAAAGAGGCAAGCTGAAATTAAGAGAACAGGCGATAATATTACTGTTGAGGATCTATTTCCACTTTCACCCCAGATAAAAAGCTCACCAGAACAGCAAATACTGATTAATTTCACAACAAACAGACCAAAGGGGATTACATACTTCTGTAATACACTTGGAGTGGTTTTGACTTGTTCTGTGATCCTTTACACTGATACATCCCTCGAGGGTCCTTGGCATTACTTCCCAGATTCCATTTTTTTTTATCTTCAGTTAGGAAGCCGATCATCTTCCCATCTTTAAACCATGTGATATTTTTGGCTTCTGCATCACAAGTCAGAAGTACCGAACCATCTTCTTGATAGTCATACACCTTAACCAAGTGGTTTCCTGAAATGAGAAAAGCCGTGGTTCTATTAAGGATCTTGCCTCTGAAATTCTCCCTGCTTCTGCATACCAGGAGATCATTAGAGTAGTGTTTCTCAAACTTTGATGTGCACATGAATCACATGGGGATCTTGTTAAAATTTCAGGTGCTATTTAGTAGTTCTGGGGAGGGGAGATTCTGCATTACTAACATGCTCTCGGGTGACGCCAATATCTGCGTCAGGGGGTGAAGAATAAAAGAGACATTGCTGTAATTAGTAGGGGTAAAACTTTGGGATTTTGGGGCATGTTATTTGGAAGATACTATACAGGTAAGAAACTGCTAACAGCATACCAGATGATGAGATCACTTTGGGTAGAATAGATGAACTAAAGAGAAGGATTGACAGAGACTAACGTCAGGATCCCAGGTGACGCCAATACCTACTGGTTCATGGGTCACAGTTTGAGATGTGTCCCTAGCTACTAGGGTCCTGCTTCTCCTGTAAGAGACCAGTTAAATGCTTAGCTACAGGCAAGCTGCCCGGAACAGGTTATGTCAGGTCACTGATTTGGTTGACAATAGAGACATCACCTCTCTATCCCCGTCATTTCATTCATTCTAAACTGTTCGCTCCTGTAGGACTACTGTTGTAGGAAGCCAAATTTCCGTCAATATTCTGAGTCTGAGTATAGAAAGAAGCCATTTCTCCTACCTTTGATTGACTGGGCCAAAGTACCTGTAAAGACAGAAGAGAGATAGAGTATTAGCTGGGCATGGAGTTGTTCAGATGCCCTGAAGTATTTCCATGGTTATTTGAGGCCAAGATGAAGAAAGATCCAAATCCATGAAAATGGTAGTATCTATACTTAGTTTTCCGGATTGTAGACTAAATCACTCAATTGAATTCAAGGTGATAATAAACAATTTGTCTCATCTTTGTCCTGGTATCCTGGGAGGGTGTTTCTAACCGTTGGAATTTCATGAGTGACAGGAGTGGCTTTGTTATCTGTGGTGGATCCTTAGACCATACCTGAGTTTATGCATGGCAATGACTCAGGATGGTGCTGGTCAAGACCAACCATATGGTAAGAGGATTGCAGCTTTGAAACTAGTGGTATCAGCCCCAGGAAGGGATCCTAGAGATTGAGATCAGTCAAGCGGCCAATGATTCAATCAATCATGCCTATGTAAAGATACCTCAATAAAAACTTGGTGGAGCTTCCTGGTTGGTGAACCCATCAATGTGCTGGCAGAGTGTGGGAGAGTGCTGGGGGCGATGTGTTCTAATTCCACGGGGAGAGGGCACGGAGGCTCTGTGTTCGGGACCCTCCTAGACCTTGCCCTTTTCATTTAGCTGGTTCTGATTTTATTTTATTTTTTAATAAAACTGAAATAGGAAGTACAGCACTTTCTTAAATTCTGTGAGTTATTCTAGCAAATTATCAATGAGGAGGGTCATGGGAATCCTTAAGATTGCAGGCAGTTTGTCAGAAATGTGAGTGGTCTGGGGTACCCTGAACTTGTAGCTGGCATTTAAAGTGAGGGCAATCTGGTTGGGAACCATGCTCTTAACCTGTAGGGTCTGACACTAATTTGGGGGGTTAGCATCAGAATTGTATTGTAGTATATGTAAGTAAGGATATTGCCTATCCAGTCCAGAACACTCTGCTTCTTGAGCAGCTAATGCCCTGGCAAGGAGTGGGTGTGCACTATCCAAAACCTTTAGGCTGAGTTCCTTATAAAATATTCAGCCTTGGTGATCCTTTTATTATAAAAACCCTGGATGTCCCAGGGAAGTTAGCTTTTCAATTAGTCCTCAAATCTGTCTCATAACTCAGAGTTGACTGGCAGCAGTGGCTCACACCTGTAATCCCAGCACTTTGGGATGCTGAGGTGGGCAGATTGCCTGAGCCCAGGAGTTAGACACCAGCCTGGACAACATGGCGAAACCCTGTCTCTACAGACAATACAAAAAAATTAGCCGGGCATGGTGGTATGCACCTGTAGTCCCAGCTACTCAGGAGGTGGGAGGAATGGTTGAGCCTGGGAGGTGGAGGTTGCAGTGAGCCAAGATTGCACCACTGCACTCCAGCCTAGGTGTTAAAGCTGTCTCAAAAAAATAAAAACAAACAAACAGACAAACAAAACCTTAGGGTAGTAGAGTTGCATGGTAGACATATTACAGAGATCTGGCACTTGAATTCAATTCAATTAGATTTAATCCAAACATTTAACGAGGACTATTATGACCTAAAATAATTAGATATTATGAAAGAAAAGAGTGCTGATATGAAGAATCAACTGCTGCTTCCAAAGTTTATGAATGAAGTGAAAAAATTAAAACATATATGCAATTAATTTAATAGAATGTATACATTATCTTTTAGTGCTTATATGACTGCATATGAAAAAAGGGTAGAAGCTATTAATTTTGTCCAAGGGTGAGGATCAGGGAAAGCTTAATAGAGGAAACGACATTTGTCTGGGCCTTGAAGAGTAAGCAAGAATATACCAGATAGAGAAAGTCATTCTGAGTAGAAAGAATAGCTGAATAAGATGCAGCTTTGGAAAAGGACAAGAGAGGTAGTGTGGCTAGAGGTGGAGTGTGTGTGATAGGGAGAGGCGGTCATGAGTCAAAGTATAATGGAAATACAAGAAGTGAACTGTCTTAGAACCTCATGCAGGGCGGGATTATTTTTGAACAGTATCCAGTGCAGTGTCTGGAACATGGTAGGAACTTTATTTGTTGAATGAATGTGCAAATGAATAAATGAGCAAATGGGAGAAAAGGCAAGACAAACAGTTAAAGAGGTTTCTAACTAGTTTTTCTCCTGACCACCTGGTCAGAAGACCGAGAGAAGACAGAGACCCCTCATTCTAAATTGGATTCAGGGAAGGAGATTGCACTGATCATTGACATAGTTTTTTTTTTTTTTTTTGAGACATCTTTTTTTTTTTTTCTTGCTCTGTCACTCAGGCTGAAGTGCAGTGGTGTGATCATGGCTCACTGCAGCCTCAAGCTCCTGGGCTCAAGCAATCCTCCCACTTCAGCCTCCCAAGTAGCTGGCATAAGTGCATGCCAACATGCCTGGCTAATTTTCGTAGTTTTTGTAGACACAGGGTATCCCTATTTTGCCCAGGTTGGTCTTGAACTCCTGGGCTCAAATGATCCTCCCTCCCTAGCCTCCCAAAGTGTTGGGATTATAGCCATGAGCCACTGTGCCTGGCTGATTGACATCTTTTAATGTTGCATATCTGAGTGAGGTTTCCTTTTAGGACTTAAGAGTTCATATAGCCACATTTCTTTTTTTTTTGTTTTGTTTTTTGAGACGGAGTCTCACTCTGTCGCCCAGGCTGGAGTGCAGTGGCACCGTGTTGGCTCACTGCAACCTCCATCTCCTGGGTTCAAGCAATTCTCCTGCCTCAGCCTCCTGAGTAGCTGGGATTACAGGCACCCACCACCACACCCCACTAATTTTTAAAATATTTTTAGTAGAGATAGAGTTTCACCATGTTGACCAGGATGGTCTCGAACTCCTGACCTCAGGTGATCCACCTGCCTCGACCTCCCAAAGTGCTGGGATTACAGGCATGAGCCACCATGCCCGTCCCTGCCACATTTCTGGATTGGCTGGCATGAGAACTCCCAGACAGTGGAGGAGTTGTTCAAGTACACATAGCTCATTGGTGTCCAAGCTGGATCCAGAGCTCAGGTTTTCTACTGCTGAACTCAAATGCTCTTTCCATGATATGCAGCCACCTCACCCAGGCTTGAGAGTTGCTCCTCAACCTGTGTTGTCTTTACCTGACTTTTCCTTGCATTTCTCTCAGAAATAATTCTATTCTAAACTCTCACTGTCCTCTTCAAGTCTCCCAACCGGTCATCACCCAGCTCAGTTTCAGCAGGTGGCATTGCCTCCCACCTGGATTTTTTAGAACACGGAAGTTGTTATTGTCCTTTCTCCTTTAGCTTCCTTTCCCTTTATAAACCTATTTGTGGCCAGTGCCGTTTGCACTTCCTTTCTCCTGGTCTTAGAGGGTAACGTTGCCTTCCTCTCTGTGCTCTTGACCCCACTCTTGACTCTGTCCTTCCACCATCAACTCCAGGACCTTGCTCTACTCATCATCTTCTCCTTTAGCCTAGAAATGTGCTCAAGTTTCTCTCACCCTCAAAAACATTTATTCTTAGACTCTACTTCCTCCTCTACCTACCACCCAGTCTTTTCTCCCTCCTCATCCAAATGTCTTTAAAGAATAGTCTACACTTGCTGACCTCATCACCTGACCTTCACCTTCTACCAATTTTCACTTGGCTTCCACTCACAATACCCTGCTGAAACTGTGCTAAATCACCCATGATGCATATTCTGCCACATCCCGCAGACTTAAACTTTTAAATATATTCTTATATTAGTGGGCTCTCTTTAACATTTTATACTCTTGGTAATTCTCTTCTTCTAGAAGCTCTCTACTCTCTTGGTTTCCAAGGTAGTGCATACATTTGATTATTTCAGCTCTTTGATTCTCCTTTTATCTCTTTCCTGGAATGTTTTTTTTTCTCTAACTGCCCCTTAAAATTGGTGCCCTCACTGTTCCATCTTCAGCTCCCTCTTCCTCACATAGTACTTGTGTGACTTCAGCAAATTCCATGGTTTTAACTTTCCCAGGATGTCCAGACTCCAGGCATCAACCCAGTTCATCCACTTCCTATTGGATAGTCCAATGGAGTATTCATGCAGGCACCCATACTATACTGTACACTCAGTCTGGCACCATGAAAACTAATCTCTCCAATGAGACTATGAGTTCTGTAGAGCATAAGTGTTTTATTCATTTTTATTTCCTCATGGCATATCACATATTAGGGTCTCACCCATCTTTGTTGACCAATTGGCCAACTGCCCAACTGAGTGAATGGACATTTCCTAGGTCGACTGCTAGCCCCCAGCTCTGAAGTAGGGAACATATACTTTTTCCTTTTAGTTTCTTGGCCTATGCCCTTTTGGGCTGCATTCAAATCTAAGATGGCGGTAACAGGGTCCTCTCTTCAGCCATTTAAGTACTCTGTTTGCATTTTTCAGAGACAAGGATTCCTTCTCCTCCATGGGACACTGTTTCTCTCTAGCAGAGAACAGTTAAGAGCCTCCATTTTGCCCTTCTTTGAACTCTAAGGTGACAGCAGAGGTAGGCTGAAGGTTAGGGATACCAATATTCCTGTCTCACTAGTGATGGGCTCTTCCCTTGAGCCCTTCCCCAGGCTTCCAGACCCCTAGTAGGCCCTTACCTTGAAGAAGAATGATAGCCAGGATGAGGACAGCCAGGCCCTTCCCCTGTTCCATGTCAGTCTCTGTCCTCCGGCAAAAGCGTGGAGCAGCCCTTAGCAGCCAGCCAGCCAGCCAGCCTGTGCAGCAGCTAGACTGGCTCCACCCATCACTGTTGGGGCTGGGGCCTTTGAGAGAAGGCAAGAACCCAGAGCCTCCACCCTCTGCTGCAAGTGTGAGCAGCAGGGGCCTCAGCAGGGCTGCAGGTGCAGATGCCTTTTGTTTTTCCGTTAAGGAGGGTGAAGGTGGTGGGGAAGAAGAGGGAGAGAGTGCTGGATTCCCACTCAGAGACTCATCTTGCACAGGGAACCGCAATGGATGCTGGGTGGGAGATGGTCCTGGGACCGTTTCTTCATGAGGGAGATAAATGTCCCTGTCATTAGTTGTTAGGATCGTAGCCAGTTGTTACTTGTTGCTAGTTGTTGTTGCTGTAGGTAATGAATTTAGGAGGGACTCTCAGATGCTTGGGGCTGGACCTCCAAATGGAAAGCCACCTCAGTCCAGGCCTTCATTCAGGAATTTTTTTCACTTTTTTTTTCTTTTTCTTTTTTGAGACAGAGTCTCACTTTGTTGCCCAGGCTGGAGTGCAGTGGCGCTATCTCAGCTCACTGCAACCTCCACCTCCGGGGTTCAAGCGATTCTCCTGCCTCAGCCTCCTGAGTAGCTGAGATTACAGGTGCGTGCCAGCAAGCCCGGCTAATTTTTGTATTTTTAGTAGAGACGGGGTTTCACCTTGTTGGTCAGGCTGGTCTCGAACTCCTGACCTTGTGATCCACCTGCCTCAGCCTCCCAAAGTGTTGGGATTACAGGCGTGAGACACGGCACCTGGTTTCACTATTCTTTTGAGATCATGAAAGAGGCGCCTGGAAGGCAATAGGTGGAACAATTCCGAGGACAGGCCAGCACATTTTCAGGGGCCAGAGCCCGGACTGAATGTCCAGGATCTCAGGCCCCTATCTCCCTCAGCCAGTCAGTCAGTGAGCCAACAAAAATGTGCAGAGCTCCCGTTATGTGCCAGGCACAAGATACAGCAGTGAGCAAGACAGGCATGACTCTGTCCCCAGGTAAGTGACAGTCTAACTGCAGCAGCGTGAAGAGTTTCAGATCCTCGTAGGCCACAGGGGAAAAAGGTCCATTTGTCTCACCGGGAGGCTCAATATTGCCTGTCAGTCAATTATATTATTATTAATAACTACCCCTTAATGAGCACATATGATGCGTGAGGCACCATGCAAATATCTTGTTTGAATCCTAATAATGGTACTAATGGAATAAGACTCTGAAAAATTTTATGGCTGGCCCAGGCCCCACAGGTAGGCAGTATTGGACCCAGGATTCAAATCTCTGGCTGG
Source organism: Homo sapiens (assembly GCF_000001405.40). Lineage (NCBI taxonomy): Eukaryota > Metazoa > Chordata > Mammalia > Primates > Hominidae > Homo > Homo sapiens. The sequence goes on along the minus strand of NC_000011.10, from coordinate 118,343,089 downwards.
GGTCTCTAAAGCCCAACCTCCCACTGACAAGAAGCTGCTAGATCTGGTGTCCCTGGCTGCCTAGTGAAGGGTCCTGAGAAAGATCAGCCTCCATGAGAAATCTAGCTGCTACGGCTTGCGCTATGGGGCCGACGGCTTCTCTCAAGGGGCTTCGAGATGTGGCAGTGTTTAGGTTGTGTGTAAATGTGGTTGCATTGTCAATAGGGACGCTAAAGTTCAGGCCACCTTTTCCATATTCTCTGCCAGCTCCCTGCTCAGAGATAGAGCAATTTACACCGCTTCCTTCCTACCCTACCCCTAGCCCACCCCCACTCTGAAAATTTCCCACCATCAACGGCAGAAAGCAGAGAAGCAGACATCTTCTAGTTCCTCCCCCACTCTCCTCTTTCCGGTACCTGTGAGTCAGCTAGGGGAGGGCAGCTCTCACCCAGGCTGATAGTTCGGTGACCTGGCTTTATCTACTGGATGAGTTCCGCTGGGAGATGGAACATAGCACGTTTCTCTCTGGCCTGGTACTGGCTACCCTTCTCTCGCAAGGTAAGGCTACTCCAGGTGGGTGGGGGAAGGGACCTGAGAGGGACATTACTGATGGGAGTGAGGCCCACTTGAAAGTGTTTCTTGCCAGGCACGGTGGCTCACACCAGTAATCCCAGAGCTTTGGGAGGCCGAAGTGGGAGGATCCTTTGAGGCCAGGAGTTTGAGACCAGTCTGAGCAACATGATGAGACTCTATCTTTACAAAAAACAAAAGAATTAGCCAGGCATGGTGGTGCACAACTGTAGTCCCAGCTATTTGAGAGGCTGAGGCAGGAGGGTCACTTGAGCCCGGGATTTCAAGGCTTCAGTGAGCTGTGATCATGCCACTGCCCTCCAACCTAGGCAACCTGTGAGACCTTATCTCAAAAAAAAAAAAAAGTGCTTCTCGGTGCTAGCTTCAGTTCACCAGGCACCCCAGGGGTGTCAGGAGGGCAGGGGCAGGATGTAGCATAGAGTCTGGGAAACAGGCTCTTGGCTTTGACTGACTCCAGCCATGGGTGCATGTGGGCCTAGAATGTCTCTCAGAAGGCCTTAGGCCAGAGATCTGCAGAAAATAGCTCAGTACGTATGTACCTGAATCTGGGACTGGCCATGGGAGCACAGCTTCCTGCACTACTCCTTTTAGGCCTGATGGCCTCTGGAATCAGGACTCTTGTTTGTTTGGCCATGATTATGTCATCCCTGGAGGCATGTCCTAGCACTTATGTGAATGCTTTAAGAGAAGTTAACTTTAGGTTGAGCAGGACGGAGGGAAGATTTGAGGGGTTGTTACATGGTAGGATTTTAACTCATCTCAGTTTGCCAATTTCAGTTTTAAAATGGAAAGTCCCATGTCCGAGGAACCCCTTCAACACTAAGCAAACTGGGTCCAATGGTCACCTAATAGTTGGCTGCACTAGGGCACTCAGGATTTCCACTGGAGACAGATCCCTGAAGAGGACGCGACTGTAGGACGTGAAGCATTTGATGTGCATGTGTCTCCCTGAGGATACATGCATATACTTCCAACCTGCTTCAGAAGTGTGAGCAACAGCTGTTTCAGGGTTTTCTAGAAGATGCTCTTGTATCCAAATTTGGGACTTAGTGTGAAGCCCAGGATGAATGAATGTAGCCTCCACTTTTCCCTGTGTTTGGAGGCATAGACTGTAGTGCCTCTGTGGCCTGTGGAGATGTGCTCAGGCTGTCAGAGGAACTCACTGCATCTGGAATGTTGCTGCACTCACCTCCAGCCCTAAAAGTCTCCCACAAGACTTGACTTGTGAGGAGCTCTAGGGATGGATTCAATAAAATTTTTTTCCTGTTCTCCTCCTTCTAACCAAGGGTGGAAAACTGTACATGGGATTTGCCCTGGTCCCGTTCTGGACCACTTGGCTGATAATTCAGGGGCTGGTAAACCAGCTGGTCTCCACCCACAGCCATCCCTGGCCCTGGGAAAGGCTTCAGTGTTGAGAGCCCCGCTTTCTTGGTTGTCAATGGAGCAGGGGCAATGAGGAAGGATGAGGATAAGAAGCTGAAGTGGGAGTGTTGTAGATGGCTGGGAAGTGGAATTAGATGTTTCCTTGAAGAAAAAATGCAGACATTTCCAATCGAGGAATGTTCTTCTGTCTTTCCACATCTTCCAGGTGCTTCAGTGGTCCGTGCTCCCCCTACTCCTCATCAGTGGTCTGGATTCATTTCCAGGAAGGTGCTTGGGTCAATCCTGCTCTGAGGGGTCCTCTTTTGCACCAAGGCCCCAAGACCTGTCCTCTGCTTGAATGGCATCCTCATGTCCCCCTTGACCCCTGCAGTTGGTGGGGAACTTTCTGAAGGCTTTTTCTTGTGACTTCTGTCTCTCTTGATGGAAGCCATAAACTGTCCTGGACCAGGAAAATGGTCTCTGTTAAGTATGAGCTTCCGCAGAACAAAGGGCTTGGTGCAGATCAAAGAGCTGTCTCCAACTGTGATATTTTTTCCCCTTTAGTGAGCCCCTTCAAGATACCTATAGAGGAACTTGAGGACAGAGTGTTTGTGAATTGCAATACCAGCATCACATGGGTAGAGGGAACGGTGGGAACACTGCTCTCAGACATTACAAGACTGGACCTGGGAAAACGCATCCTGGACCCACGAGGAATATATAGGTGTAATGGGACAGATATATACAAGGACAAAGAATCTACCGTGCAAGTTCATTATCGAAGTACGTGCTTCCTGAACCCTTTGGGTTGGAATGGATAGGGCTTCTGGATGTGAGAACTTTCTGGCTAGAGAGGGATATGGTGAACCCATCTGTTCTCTAAACAAAGTGAGGTCACTATTGTAATGGTACAAGCCAGATTTGGGGACCTTCAAAGTGGAAGAGAGAGCTTAACTCAGCAAGACAGAGCAGTAGGGGTCATGTTACTGCAGCCTTGGTTGGGTGAGAGGTTTGGCCCACCACCTTGTTCAAGGTCCCAAAAGCTGAGATTACTTCTTGGCTCTTCCCAGGGATTCCTTAGGATGCAGGGTGGAGGAAGGTGTGGCAAGCCCATCACCAGGCCTTTCTCCCAGGGTCTTATTGAAGTTTGGGTTTTGGCATAAGAGATCTAAGGGTTGCCCTAGGAGGCAGAGGATGGTTCCCTGATCTTAAAGGCTCTCAACCTCTCCTCTCTCCTCCCTTCCCCCACAGTGTGCCAGAGCTGTGTGGAGCTGGATCCAGCCACCGTGGCTGGCATCATTGTCACTGATGTCATTGCCACTCTGCTCCTTGCTTTGGGAGTCTTCTGCTTTGCTGGACATGAGACTGGAAGGCTGTCTGGGGGTTAGTGGAAGAGCAGAGCATGAGAGTGTGTTTGTGTGTGTGTGTGTGTGTGTGTGTGTGTGTGTACCAGTGAGCTTATGCACCAGCTAAGGAATGGGGCTGGTGGTAGGTTTAGTCTCAGCTGGGAGTTACTCTTGCAATCTCCTAAAGACTCCTAGAACTTTGACTGTTGAAAGAACTTGTGTGTTCATATCACTCATGCAGACTTCTGAGGGTGTGGGAGGGTGGATCTCACAGTCCCATCTGCTAGGCCATTGATGTCTCTCTCTGGTTCTTCTAGCTGCCGACACACAAGCTCTGTTGAGGAATGACCAGGTCTATCAGGTGAGCGTTGAGGGGAAGGAGGCAGGAATGAAGGGAGGGTAAGTGGGGATAGAGAGGCTCACACTGAATGCTGTTTGCACGTGGGAAGGGTCCTACTGGGGAGTTCATTGCTGGGTGTGACTGGAGAGGTCAGGCAGGAGCTCTCATCGTCAGGGCCTGCTGGGGCCCTTCCTTGAAGAGTTCTAACCCTGCCTCCTGACCGTTTTCTCTTCTCCTCTCTTAGCCCCTCCGAGATCGAGATGATGCTCAGTACAGCCACCTTGGAGGAAACTGGGCTCGGAACAAGTGAACCTGAGACTGGTGGCTTCTAGAAGCAGCCATTACCAACTGTACCTTCCCTTCTTGCTCAGCCAATAAATATATCCTCTTTCACTCAGCAGGTGCCTGGGCTTCTTAAGGCTCCTGGGCAAGGCGTGGGAGTTGTCCTGACTTGCTTGGGATCTCGCCCTCCTACCTACCTGTTTCTTCCTTCATCTCCTTCCTTCCTCTGCCTCACACAGACAGTGTGTTGGGCAGTCTCTCGCCACATCCTGGCTGTCTGGTGTTTCTAGCCCACAGGGCTCCCTGGGTGAAGGGTCTGCGCCACCACGTTCCCACAGCTACTTGTTGACTCCAGTCCCTATCACAACCCTTTTAGGGTTTTGGCTGCCTCATCCAGCCGAGGGCAGGCTGCTGTGTTCAGGAGCCCAGCCGCACAGAAGTTTCCATGATGTCATGAATGGGAGTGGCAGAGACAACAAGGGGCCCTGGGACTAGTTTCTCACCAAGACTCAGAGGGTGTGTGTAACAAAGTCCCACTGCTGCTAAGGGGATGGCCTCAACTCTACGGCCCTGCTGACCAGGTGCCACTAGCTGTAAGGAGGTCTCACCTAAGCCCCTTTCGTATCCCTTTCCCCTGTATCAAAGGCACCATTTTAGCTTCCTTTCGCCAGGACCTGTCTCTGGCTTGCTCCTGCCTTCTGCATGATAAATGGGGATCAGAAACCCTTCACCAATTAAAGCACATTATCCCGCTCCATCTACCTGGAAAGCAGGAGTTTGAGACAGGGATTTTTTTTTTTTTTGAGATGGAGTCTTGCTCTGTTGCTCAGGCTGGAGTGCTGTGGCATGATCTTGGCTTACTGCAACCTCTGTCTCCTGGAGTCAAGTGATTCTCCTGCCTCAGCCTCCTGAGTAGCTGGGATTGCAAGCATGTGTCACCAAGTTCAGCTAATTTTTGTATTTTTAGTAGAGACAGGGTTTCATCATGTTGGCCAGGCTGGTCTCGAACTCTTGACCTCAAATGATCCACTCACTCAGCCTCCAAAAGTGCTGGGATTAGAGGCATGAGCCACTGCACCTGGCTGAGACAGGGATATTTTCAATAGATGTCATCTTCTATTACTTCTAATGGTAGTGGTTCTAGGCTGGGCACAATGGCTCATGCATGTAATCCCAGCACTTTAGGAGGCAGAGGCAAGAGGATCACTTGAGCCTAGGAGTTCAAAACCAGCCTGGGCAACATAGCAACATCCCGTCTCGACCAAAAAAAAAAACAAAATCAGCTCAGTGCAGTGGTGGGCACCTGTAGTCCTAGCTATTTGGGAGGCTGAGGTGGGAGGATTGCATGAGGCTGGGAATTGGAGGCTGCAGTGAGTTATGATTGTGCCACTGCACTCCAGCCTGGGCTACAGAGTGAGACCCTATCTTAAAAAAAAAATAGCTATGGTTCTGAAACTTTGGAGGCCTGAGGGATTTATTAAAAATATAAATGCAGCCAGGCATGGTGGCTCACACCTGTAATCCCAGCACTTTGGGAGGTTTAGGCGGGCAGATCACAAGATCAGGAGATTGAGATCATCCTGGCCAACATGGTGAAACCCCGTTTCTACTAAAAATACAAAAATTAGCTGGGCATGGTGGTGCACGCCTGTAATCCCAGCTACTCGGGAGGCTGAGGCAGGAGAATTGCTTGAACCCGGGAGGCGGAGGTTGCAGTGAGTCAAGATTGCGCCACCGCACTCCAGCCTGGTGACAGAGCGAGACTTGGTCTCAAAATAAAATAAAATAAAATAAAATAAAATAAAATAAAAGTGCTAGAGACGCACTCTAGGCAGGGTGTTTCCAGTTGATTCTGAAACAGCCCAAATTCAGAGTCTCTTGTTTAGAGGGAGAATAGAGGCCACTTTCTCTCTTATGTCTTTTATGCCTGTTCCTGGATCCCAGAGCAGGGGATTCCTTCTTTTGTTCTCTGATTACACAAATAATTTAAAGAGCCTCTGGAAAGTTTAATGACTGAGAATTTCATAGACCTGGGTTCCCAAAGGAGAAAAGAATTAGTAACCACATAGCCAGAAAATTGGATGATTCTGCCCACCATCTTCTCAAGATACATTCAGACCCTAATTTCATGAGAGACAGAACAAATGTCTAATTCACATGTTTCATTCATAGTTCTGAGTTATCCCTATCCTTTTTATCCCTACTCCTGCAGTCGTCCTAACCCAAGATCCTGCTTTCCCACTGGATTCTCTACCTTGGGCATCCCTTCCATGGCTTGTATCTAACCAAAACTTTGGATCCTTCTCGCGTTCCACACATTCATAATACCTTGTATTCCTCGGATTCATTTACATCCCTCATTCCCCAGTTCTCAACATTGGCTGCACATTGGAATCTTCTGGGACCTTTAAAAACACTGGTGCCTGGCCAGGTGCAGTGGCTTATGCCTGTAATCCCAGTACTTTAGGAGGCTGAGGTGGGTGGATCACTTGAGCTCAGGAGTTCGAGACCAGCCTGGGCAATATTGGAGAAACTCCATCTTTACAAAAATACACAAAAAAATTAGCTGGTGTGGTGATGCGCACCTGTAGTCCCAGATACTTGGGAGTTTGAGGTGGGAGGATCACCTGAGCCTGGGGAGGTCAAGGCTACAGTGGGCCATGATTTCACCACTGCACTCCAGCCTGGGCGACAGAGTGAGACCCTGTCTCAAAAAACAAAACAAACATGTACCCTAAAACTTAAAGTATAATAATAATAAAATTAAAAAAAAGTTAACAATACTTAAATGCTGATATGAAGTCAATAAATCTTATGTCACATGATAAAAAAACAAACAAAAAAACAACAAAACAAAACAAAAACAAAAAACACTCATGCTAGCTAGGTGTGCTGGTGTGCACCTGTAGTCCTAGCTACTCGGGAGGCTGAGGCCAGAGGATTGTTTGAGCCCAGGAGTTCAAGGATGGAGTAGTGATCTCCACACCTGGCAAATTTTTAAAAATTTTTTGGTAGAAACAGAGTCTTGCTTTGTTACCCAGACTGGTCTTGAGTTCCTGGGTTTGATAGATTTCACCAGTGTTGCTACCTAAGTCTGAAGTGATCCTTCCTCCTCAGCCTCCTAAAATGCTGGGATTACAGTCATGAACCATCACCCCTGGCCAGGTGAAACTTTTTTTTTTTTTGATGGAGTCTCACTCTGTTGCCCAGGCTGAAGTGCAGTGGCCTGATCTGGGATCACTGCAAACTCTGCCTCCCAGGTTCAAGTGATTCTCCTGCCTCAGCATCCTGAGTAGCTGGGATTACAGGTGCCCACCACCATACCTGGCTAATTTTTGTATTTTTAGTAGAGACAGGGTTCCACCACATTGGCCATGCTGGTCTTAAACCCCTGACTTCAGGTGATCTGCCAGCCTTGGCCTCCCAAACTGCTGGGATTACAGGCGTGAGCCACCATGCCTGGCCCAAAACTTTTAAAGGAAGTTGTTTTAGCTACTCTAAGTCCTTTGCACTTCCATTTGAATTGGCTCCTCAGTTACTACAAAAATGCCTGCTGGGATTTTGATCAAGATTGTATTGCATTTATAGATCAATTTGGGGAGAATTAACATCTTAACACTATTGAGTCTTTTCATACATGAACATATATTTTACCAGATTTATTCCGAAATATTTTATATTTTTGATGCTATTGTATGTGCTTTGTTTTTTTTTTTTGGTTTTTTAGAGGCAAGGTCTTGCTGTGTCACTCAGGCTGAAGTACAGTGGCATGATTATAGCTCACTGCAGCCTCGAACTTCTGGGCTTAAGTGATCCTCCCACCTCAGCTTCTCAAGTAGCTCTGGCACTACAGACATGTGCCACTATGCCTGAATATTTTTATTTTTGTGTAGACACGGGATCTCACTATGTTGCCTAGGCTGGTCTTGGACTCCTGTACTGAAGCGATCCTCCCACCTTGACCTCCCAAAGTGCTGGGACTATAGGTGTGAGCCACTGTACCAGGCTATATATGGTATTAAAATTTTTTAAATTTCCAATTGTTTATTACTAGTATATAAAAATACAATTAATTTTTGAATATTAATCAAAACAAAAAGCAAAACTGCTACACTCACTTATTAATTCTAGTAACTTTTTGTAAGACCGTTGAGTATTCTACATAGACAATCATGTTGTCTGTGAACAAAAACAGTTTGTTTTCTTTCCTATCTGGGTGCTTTTTGTTTCTGTTTCTTGGCTTATTGCACTGGCTAGAACCTCCAGTACAATGTTGAATAGAAGTGGAGAGAGGACATCCTTGTCTTGTTCATGATCTTAGGAGGAAAGCATTGTCTTTCATCTTTAAGTACATTAGCTGTGGGTTTTTCTTAGATGTCCTTTAACAGATTGAGCTAGTTCTTTTCTTTCTAGTTTGCTGAGAATTTTTATCAAAAATAGATGTTGGGTCTCGTCAAGTGCTTACCCTGCATCCATTGAGATGATAATATGGTTTTACTTTTTTAGTCTGTTAATATGGTACATTACATTGATGGCACGATATGTTAAACCAACCTTTCATTCCTGAAAAAAACTCTAGTCATTTGGTATTATTCTTTTGATATGTTATTAGATTAAATTTATTAAAATTTTGTTAAGAATTTTTGCCTCTAAGTCATGAGAGGATTTGTCTATAGTTTTCTTTTCTTGTAATGTCTTTGTTTTTGGTATCAGTATATTAGGGTTCTCCAGAGAGAGAGAACCAATGTGATATATATATGTGTGTGTGTGTGTGTGTGTGTGTGTGTGTGTATGTGTGTGTGTGTGTTTGTGTGCGTGTATCCCACTTTGCTATTGTGAATAGTAATCTTTATTATTTCTTTGTCTACTTTAATTTTATATATATATATATATATATACACACACACACACACATATATATATATATATATCTCCCATTGGTTCAGTTTGTCTGTTTCTCTGAATCCATGGGTTCTGCATTTGTGGATTTAACCAACTGAAGATCAAAAATATTTGGAAAAAAAAAAGGATGACTGCACTTGTACTGAACAGATACAGAATTTTTCTTGTCATTATCCCCTAAACAATATAGTACAATAACTATTTATATGGCATTTATGTTGTATTAGGTATTACAAGTAATCTAGAGATGGTTTAAAGTATATAGGAGGATGTGTGCAGGTTACATGCAAATATTACATCATTTTATATAAGGGACTTGAGCATCCATGGCTTTTGGTAGCCATGGGGAGGTCTTGGAACTAATCCCCCACCGAGGGATGGGACAACTGTGTATGTACCCTATTGGTTCTGTTTCTCTAGAGAAGTTGGCTCATGTAGCTGACATGTCTAAAATCTGCAGGGTATTTTGGCAGGTTGGAGACCAAGGGAGTTGCTGTTGCAACTGTCCATAGACAATCTAGAGACAGATTTTCCTCTTCCTCACAGGACCTCAGTCTGTTTTCTCTTAAAGCTTTCAAGTGATTGGATGAGGTCCACTCACGTTATGGAGAATAATCTACCTTACTTAAAGTCTACTAATTTAAATGTTAATCTCATCTATAAAAATACTTTCACAACAACATACTGATGTATTAGGCCAAATATCTGGGCCTAGCTAAGTTGGCACATAAAATTAACCAGGGTAATCAACACAGGGTAAATCTGGTCTCCACAGAACAAGTTGGAAGAATTCCTTCTTCAATTTTCTTGAAGTGTTTGTGTAGAATTGGTATTATTTCTTCTTTAAATGTCTGGTAGATTTCACCAGTGATGCTACCTAGGTCTGAATTTTTTTTTAAACTACAAATTCAATTTATTTAATAGATAAAGGGCTATTTGGGCTATCTATTTCATCATCAGTGGGCTTTTTCAAGGACTGTGTCCATTTTACCCGAGTTGTGAAATTTATTGGCACGATTGTTCATAACTGTTATGGGCTGAATGTTTGTGTTCCCCCGAAATTCCTGTGTTGAATTCCTAACCTTGAATGTGATGGTATTAGAAGGTGGGGACTTTGGGAGAAGGTGGGGTGTGGTGGCTCACGCCTGTAACCCCAGCACTTTGGGAGGCCGAGGTGGGCAGATCACTTGAGGTCAGGAATTTGAGACTATCCTGGGCAACAGGGTGAAACCCCATCTCTACTAAAAATACAAAAATTAGCTGAGTGTGGTGGTGTGCACTTGTAATCCCAGCTATTCAGGATGCTGAGACAGGAGAATCTCTTGAACTCAGGAGGCAGGGATTGTAGTGAGCCGAGATCGTACCACTGCACTCCAGCCTGGGTGACAGAGAGAGTCTCAAAAAAAAAAAAAAAAAAAGACTTGCGCCCAGGAGTTAGAAGCTGCAGTGAGCTATGATCAAGTCACTGCACTTCAACACAGGCAACAGAGCAAGACCTTGTCTTAAAAACAAACAAACACCCCTCCCCCTCTCCCTCTCCCTCTCCCTCTCCCCACGGTCTCCCTCTCTTTCCACGGTCTCCCTCTCATGCGGAGCCGAAGCTGGACTGTACTGCTGCCATCTCGGCTCACTGCAACCTCCCTGCCTGATTCTCCTGCCTCAGCCTGCGGAGTGCCTGCAATTGCAGGCGTGCGCCGCCACGCCTGACTGGTTTTCGTATTTTTTTGGTGGAGACGGGGTTTCGCTGTGTTGGCCAGGCCAGTCTCCAGCCCCTAACCACAAGTGATCCGCCAGCCTCGGCCTCCTGAGGTGCCGGGATTGCAGACGGAGTCTCGTTCACTCAGTGCTCAATGGTGCCCAGGCTGGAGTGCAGTGGCGTGATCTCGGCTCGCTACAACCTCCACCTCCCAGCCGTCTGCCTTGGCCTCCCAAAGTGCCGAGATTGCAGCCTCTGCCCGGCCGCCACCCCGTCTGGGAAGTGAGGAGTGTCTCTGCCTGGCCGCCCATCGTCTGGGATGTGAGGAGCCCCTCTGCCTGGCTGCCCAGTCTGGAAAGTGAGGAGCATCTCTGCCCGGCCGCCATCCCATCTAGGAAGTGAGGAGCGCCTCTTCCCAGCCGCCATCACATCTAGGAAGTGAGGAGCGTCTCTGCCCGGCCGCCCATCGTCTGAGATGTGGGGAGCACCTCTGCCCGGCCACGACCCCGTCTGGGAGGTGAGGAGCGTCTCTGCCCGGCCGCCCCATCTGAGAAGTGAGGAGACCCTCTGCCTGGCAACCACCCCGTCTGAGAAGTGAGGAGCCCCTCCGCCTGGCAGCTGCCCCGTCTGAGAAGTGAGGAGCCTCTCCGCCCGGCAGCCACCCCAGCTGGGAAGTGAGGAGCGTCTCCGCCCAGCAGCCACCCCGTCCGGGAGGGAGGTGGGGGGGGTCAGCCCCCCACCCGGCCAGCCGCCCCATCCGGGAGGGAGGTGGGGGGTCAGCCCCCCGCCCGGCCAGCCGCCCCGTCCGGGAGGGAGGTGGGAGGGTCAGCCCCCCGCCCGGCCAGCCGCGCCGTCCGGGAGGGAGGTGGGGGGGTCAGCCCCCGCCCGGCCAGCCGCCCCGTCCGGGAGGTGAGGGGCGCCTCTGCCCGGCCGCCCCTACTGGGAAGTGAGGAGCCCCTCTGCCCGGCCAGCCGCCCTGTCCGGGAGGGAGGTGGGGGGGTCAGCCCCCGCCCGGCCAGCCGCCCCGTCCGGGAGGGAGGTGGGGGGGTCAGCCCTCCGCCCGGCCAGCCGCCCCGTCCGGGAGGTGAGGGGCGCCTCTGCCCGGCCGCCCTTACTGGGAAGTGAGGAGCCCCTCTGCCCGGCCAGCCGCCCTGTCCGGGAGGGAGGTGGGGGGGTCAGCCCCCCGCCTGGCCAGCTGCCCCATCCGGGAGGGAGGTGGGGGGGTCAGCCCCCCGCCCGGCCAGCCGCCCCATCTGGGAGGGAGGTGGGGGGGTCAGCCCCCCTCCTGGCCAGCCGCCCCGTCTGGGAGGTGAGGGAAGCCTCTGCCCGGCCGCCCCTACTGGGAAGTGAGGAGCCCCTCTGCCCGGCCAGCCGCCCTGTCCGGGAGGGAGGTGGGGGGGTCAGCCCCCCGCCCGGCCAGCCGCCCCGTCCGGGAGGGAGGTGGGGGGGTCAGCCCTCCGCCCGGCCAGCCGCCCCGTCCGGGAGGTGAGGGGCGCCTCTGCCCGGCCGCCCCTACTGGGAAGTGAGGAGCCCCTCTGCCCGGCCAGCCGCCCCGTCCGGGAGGGAGGTGGGGGGGTCAGCCCCCCGCCCGGCCAGCCGCCCTGTCCGGGAGGGAGGTGGGGGGGTCAGCCCCCCACCCGGCCAGCCGCCCCGTCGGGGAGGGAGGTGGGGGGTCAGCCCCCCGCCCGGCCAGCCGCCCCGTCCGGGAGGTGAGGGGCGCCTCTGCCCGGCCGCCCCTACTGGGAAGTGAGGAGCCCCTCTGCCCGGCCACCACCCCGTCTGGGAGGTGTACCCAACAGCTCATTGAGAACGGGCCAGGATGACAATGGCGGCTTTGTGGAATAGAAGGGCGGGAAAGGTGGGGAAAAGATTGAGAAATCGGATGGTTGCCGTGTCTGTGTAGAAAGAAGTAGACATGGGAGACTTTTCATTTTGTTCTGCACTAAGAAAAATTCTTCTGCCTTGGGATCCTGTTGATCTGTGACCTTACCCCCAACCCTGTGCTCTCTGAAACATGTGCTGTGTCCACTCAGGGTTAAATGGATTAAGGGCGGTGCAAGATGTGCTTTGTTAAACAGATGCTTGAAGGCAGCATGCTCGTTAAGAGTCATCACCAATCCCTAATCTCAAGTAATCAGGGACACAAACACTGCGGAAGGCCGCAGGGTCCTCTGCCTAGGAAAACCAGAGACCTTTGTTCACTTGTTTATCTGCTGACCTTCCCTCCACTATTGTCCCATGACCCTGCCAAATCCCCCTCTGTGAGAAACACCCAAGAATTATCAATAAAAAAATAAATTAAAAAAATAAATAAATAAATAAAATAAAAAAATAAAAAATAAAACAAACAAACAAACAAAAAAACTGAAAAAAAAAAAAAAAAGAAGGTGGAGGCTTTGGGAGGTGATTAGGTCATGAGGGTGGAGCCCTCATGAATGGCATTAGTGCCCTCACAAAAGAGGACCCAGAGAGCCCCCTTGCCCCTTCTACCATGTGAGGATATGGTAAGAAGATATGAACCAGGAAGTGGGTCTTTACCAGATACTAAATCTGGGAAATCTTGGATTTCCCAGCCTCCAGAACTGAGAAATAAATGTTGTTCAAGCCACCCATTCTGTATTTTTGTTATAGCAAGGTGAATGGACTAAGACAATAACATTCCTTTCTTATTGTTTTTTTTTTTTTGAGACTGAGTCTCACTATGTTGCCTGGGCTGGAGTGCAATGGCGTGATCTTAGCTCACCGCAACCTCCGCCTCCCGGGTTCAAGTTATTCCCCTGCCTCAGCCTCCTCAGTAGCTGGGATCACAGGCATGAGCCACCAGGTAGGGCTAATTTTTGTATTTTAGTAGATGGGGTTTTGCCTTGTTGGCCAGGCTGGTCTCAAACTCCTGACCTCAGGAGATCTGCCTGCCTCAGCCTCCTAAAGTGCTGGGATTACAGGCGTGAGCCACAGTGCCTGACTTCTTATTCTTTTAATACCTGTAGGACCTGTGATGTTATTTCTCATTCCTAATATTGATAATTTATATCTTCTCTATTTTTTTCCTGATCAATCTGGCTAGAAATTTATCAGTTTTATTGGTCTCTGGACCATTGTTTGGTCACATTGATTTTTGTTTTTACTTACAGATTATTTATTTCTGAAATGTTTCATTGCTTTTTCTGTTGTTTTTCTGTTTCCTATTTTATTGATGTCAGCTCTGATCTTTATTTTATTTTTCATGGTTATTCTCATATTGTTTATTTTTGTTTAAACTTTGTTTATAATTGTTTAAATTATTTTTCATTTATATGTGGTTTAGTTTTATTTAAAAAAATATTTTAACTTTTATTTTAGGTTCAGGGGATCATGTCCAGGTTTGTTATATAGGTAAACTTGTGACATGGGGATTTGGTGTACAGATTATTTCATCACCCAGGTACTAAGCATAGTATCCAATAGTTTTTTTTCTGAACCTCTCCCTCCTCCCACCCTCCACCCTGAAGTAGGCCCCTATTGTTTCCCTCTTTCTGTCCATGTGTTCTCATTATTTAGCTCCCACTTATAAGTGAGAACATGAAGTATTTGGTTTTCTTTATTAGTTTGCTAAGGATGATGGCCTCCAGTTCCATCCATATTGTTGCAAAGTACATGATCTCATTCTTTTTTATGGCTGCATGGTATTCCCTGGTGTGTATGTACCTCATTTTCTTTATCCAGTCTACTGTTGATGGCCATTTAGGTTGATTTCACATCTTTGCTATTGTGAATAGTAATCTTCACTATTTCTTTCTTTCTTTCTTTTTTTGGGGTCTACTTTGAGTTAATTTGCTCTTCTTTTTCTAGTTTCTCAAGGTGGAAGCTGTGCTCATTGTTTAAGACCTTTATTCTTTTCTAATCTACATTTAATTCTGTCTATACGTTTCCTTCTAAATACTGCTTTAGCAGGAACCCCAAGATTTTGATGTTTTGTTCTCATTATCATTCAGTTTAAATACTTTCTAATTTTTCCATTGATTTGTTTTTTGTTCATAGGCTACTTAGAAGTGTGTTATTTGCTTTCCAAATATTTCAAGAGTTCCCAGTGTATTTGTTTTCTATTACTGCTGTAACGAATTACCGTAGGTTTAGTGGCTGAAAACTACACAAATTTATTATCTTATCGTTCTATAGGTCAGAAGTAGAGTATGGATCTCACTGAGCTAAAACTCAGGTGTCAGCAGCTTGCATTCCTTTTTGGAGGCTTTAGGGGAGACTCCGTTTCCTGCCGAGTTGAGTTGTTGGCAGAATTCTGTTCATCGTGGTTGTATGGCTGAAGTCCCTGTTTTCTCAATGGCTGTAAAATGAGAGCCATTTTTAGTTTCTAGAGGTCACCCACATTCGTTGGCCTCATGACCTCCTTCCTCCATCTACAAAGCCAGAAATGGTGAGTTGACGCCCTCTTACACTTTGTATCTTTTCTTTTTCTCCTTTTGTTTCTTCTCTGCAACTCATGCTTGTGCCTTCCTCTTCCTTTTTAAAGACTCATATGATTAGATTGGGCACACCCAGATAATCCAGGGTAATCTTCCCATCACGGAGTCTCTAACTTTAGTTACATCTGTAAAGTCCCTTCAGTCATGTGAGGTGACCTCTTGTTAGGTCTAGGAATTAGGATGTGGACATACTTGAAGGAAGCATTATTCTGGCTAACATCCCTAGTTTATCTTTCTGTTATTTATTTCTTATTTAATTCCATTATGTGACTAATCTTTTAAAATATATTGAGATTTGTTTTATGACCCCAAATATGGTCAATTTTGATAAATGTTCTGTGTGCACTTCAAAAGGCTGTGTATTCTGTTGGTGGTGGGTGTGGGGTTTTATAAATGTTAATCAAGTGAATTTGGTTTACGTATCTTACTGATTTTTGGTCTATGGTGGTACCTTGGTATTCACAGGAGATTGGTTCTAGAATCCTCAGATACCAAAATCCATGGATGCTCAGGTCTCTTATACAAAATGCCATAGTATTTGCATATAATCTATGCACATTGTCTAATATACTTTAAATCGTCTCTACATTATTTATAACACCTAATACAATGTAAATGCCATGTAAATAATTATTATACTGTATTGTTTAGGAAAAAATGATAAAAAAGTCCATACACATTCAGTGCAGATGCAACCATCCACTTTTGTTCTAAGTATTTTTGATTGATGGTTGATTAAATCCGTGGATGTGAAACCCTCAGATAGGGAGGGCTGATTGTACTTGTTTTACTACCTTTTGAAAAAGGGATGTTGAAATCTCTAACTACAGTTGTGAATTTGTATATTATTCCTTGAAGTTTCATTAGTTTTTGCTTCAATTTTTTTTTTTTTTTTTTGAGAGGGAGTCTCGCTCTTGTTGCCCAGACTGGAGTGCAATGGCGTTATCTCAGCTCATTGCAACCTCTGATTCTAGGGTTGAAGCGATTCTCCTGCCTCAGCCTCCAGAGTAGCTGGGATTACAGGCACCTGCCATCATGCTCTGCTAATTTTTGTATTTTTAGTAGGGATGGGGTTTCACCATGTTGGCCAGGCTAGTCTCAAACTCCTGACCTCAGGTGATCTGCCCACCTCAGCCTCCCAAAATGCTGGGATTGCTTCAATTTTTAAATTGTGTAATTGGGGTTTTTTTATTTTAAAAATTTATTATTTATTTACTTTTAATAAGCTAATATAAATTGTATACATTTATGGTGTGCAGTATGATGTTTTGAAATATGTATATCTTGTGGAGTGGCTAGATCAAGCTAATTAATATATGCATTACCTCAAATGCTTATCATTGATTTGTGGTGAGTTGCTTCAATTTTTTTTTTTTTTGGAGACAGAATCTCGCTCTATCGCTCAGGCTGGAGTACAGTAGCGTGATCTCGGCTTACTGCAGTCTCCACCTCCTGGGCTCAAGTGATTCTCCTGCCTCAGACTCCTGAGTAGCTGGGATTACAGATGTCCACCACTCCATCTGGCTAATTTTTGTATTTTTTATAGAGACAGGGTTTCACCATGTTGGTCAGGCTGGTCTTGAACTCCTGGCCTCAAGTGATCTGCCTACCTTGGCCTCCCAAAGTGTTGGGATTACAGGTGTGAGCCACCATGCCTGCCAATTTTGCATCCCTGTTACTAGGTGCATAAACATTTAGGATTGCTATATTCTCTTGACTCCTTTGTCATTGTGACATGACGTGATATCTCTCTGTATTCCAGGTAACATTCTTTGGTCTTTGAAGTATGTCTTTGGCTGATGTTAATATACGGTTTTCTTTTCATTAGTGTTAGCATGATATATTCTTTTCTATTCTTTAATTTTTTTCTTTGCGTTTCATTTTCTCTTTGTGTTTTTATTGTTATGTCTTCAAGCCCACTAATCTAATCTTTTCTTCTGTAATATCAAATCTGCTGGTTAGATATGGGCAATGCATTTTTTTTCTTTTCTTTTTTTTTTTTTGAGATGGAGTCTCCCTCTCTGGCCCAAGCTAGAGTGCAGTGGAGCAATCTTGGCTCACTGCAACATCCGCCTCCCAGGTTCAAGCAATTCTCCTGCCTCAGCCTGCAGAGTAGCTGGGATTACAGGCGCCCACCATCACGCCCGGCTAGTTTTTATATTTTTTAGTAGAGACAGGGTTTCGCCATGTTGGCCAGGCTGGTCTTGAACTCCTGACCTCAGGTGATCTGCCTGCCTTGGCCTCCCAAAGTGCTGGGATTACAGGCATGAGCCACCGTGCCTGGCCAGATATGGCCAATTCATTTTTTTCCCTCTCAGATATCATAGTTTTCATCTCTACAAGTTTGACTTGGGCCTTCTACACTCTTAATCTTTCCTTTATTCTGTATTCCTCCTTTCCACTGTTTCCCACCTATACACTGCATTCAAATGCAACGTGGTGTTCCTTCTATAATGTGTATCCCTCCTATCCTCTGCATCCCATATGTAATCTACAGCCTCCTCATCCTGCTTATTTTTCTCACCTCAGCATCTACATTTATCTTGCACTACTCTGCTTCTGTCCAGGTAGGAAACCTACTCAAGATTTCAACTCCACTTCCAACTCTTCCACCTGTCATTCCAAGGACATTTGCTAGGATATTTCTGCCCATGATGTCAGTAAGCAACAGGTACCTGTGGGATCAGACTTCACAAATAAAACCAATGTTCAGGGCTAGAAATTCTTTATTTAAAATTTTTTAATTTCCATAGGTTATTGGGGAACAGGTGGTGTTTGGTTACATGAGTAAGTTCTTTTTTTTTTTTTTTGAGACAGATTCTCACTCTGTCACCCAGGCTGGAGTGCAGTGGCGCGATTTCAGCTCACTGCAACCTCCGCCCTCCAAATTCAAGCGATTCTCCTGCCTCAGCCTCCTGAGTAGCTGGGATTATAGGCGCCTGCCACCGCACCTGGCTAATTTTTTGTATTTTTAGTAGAGACGGTGTTTCACCATTTTCACCAGGCTGGTTTTGAACTCCTGACCTCGTGATCCACCCACCTCAGACTCCCAAAGTGCTGGGATTACAGGCCTGAGCCACCATGCCTGGCCATGAGTAGGTTCTTTAGTGGTGATTTGTGAGATTTTGGTGCACCTATCACCTGAGCAGTATACACTGTACCCAATTTGTTGTCTTTTATCCCCAACCCTGAGTCCCCAAAGTCCATTGTGTCATTCTTATGCCTTTGCTTCCTCATAGCTTAGCTCCCACTTATGAGTGAGAACATGTGATGTTTGGTTTTCCATTCCTGAGTTACTTCACTTAGAATAATAGTCTCCAATCTCATCTAGGTCGCTGTGAATGCCATTAATTCATAATTCATTCCTTTTTAAGGCTGAGTAGTATTCCATCATATGTATACACACACACACACACACACACACACACACACACCCCCGTATATATATACATATATACACACCCCTCCCACATTTTCTTTATCCACTTGTTAGTTGATGGGCATTTGGGTTGCCTCCACATTTTTGCAATTGCAAATTGTGTGGCTATAAACATGTGTGTGCAAGTATCTTTTTCATATAATGACTTCTTTTCTTCTGGGTAGATACCCAGTAGAGGGATTGCTGGATCAAATGGCAGTTCTACTTTTAGTTCTATAAGGAATCTCCATGCTGTTTTCCATAGTGGTTGTACTAGTTTACATTCCCATCAGCAGTGTAGAAGTGTTCCCTGTTCACCACATCCACGCCAACATCTTTTTTTTTTTTTGATTTTTTGATTATGGTCATTCTTGCAGGAGTAAGGTGGTATCGCATTGTGGTTTTGCTTTGCATTTCTCAGGGCTAGAAATTCTTAGCTAAAGAGGGAATTAAGAGACCTGTTGTTCTGGTCGGCTTTAAATTTGGGAGGAGGAATATGGGATTAGGGTAAATAGAACCCCTGAGTCCATAGCCTGCTGAGTGAACAGGGTGTGATGATGGAGTGATAGTTACACTGCAATGTTGGAATTGTCTCTGAGTTATCAGGGTTTCCCTGGCTTCTCAGCTTCACCTCCAATTCTTCCATTTTGAGATATTCTTAAATAAAATAAGTGCTCAGGGTTAAATAGCTCAAGAACTCATTGGAAAAAGTTGGGAAATATTTTTGTCATTATATCTAGTTGCTTGTACTTTACATGACCAGGGAATGGGCAAATGCCAGGGGGGCAGATCTCTGTCTCCTAATCATGTCCCAGCTCTGGGATGGGGCCAAGACTTGTACCAGGGATGTCTGAAGGAACTAAGAGTCGACATATCTGAAAAGGGGCTCTTGGTTTTTAGAGAGCTTCCCTTTCTGAATAATCTATAACTATGGGTTCCCCCAGTAAAGAAAGCTCTTACCTTTTCTCATTCCACACCAAACTTTTTCTCTTATTCCCTACTGCCAACCAAAGTATCTTTGCCTAGGATGAGGTTGATTTTAGCTGGCTGTTCCTAGACATCAATCCAAGCCAGAGAGTTAGAGGAATAGCAAGTTCCTTTGAGTAGGGACGCTGTGCTTGCAAGTTTTTAGTATGTTCATTTTGATTATTTTTCTATCTATGTTAGTAATATCTGGATTTCCCATCAGTATCTTATTGGTCTTCTGTGGAAATTCCATCAGCATCATCTTCAAGGTCAGTTCATGTCAACATTTATTGAGGATATATTATGAACTAGGGTCTGAACTGTGTAGGAGCTGGTATATCAAAGAAAAATACAGATTCTGTCCTCTTATCTAGTAGTGAAAAAATTCATCCATCCATCATCTATTCATCCATTCATCCACCCATCATCCATCCATCCGTTCACCCATCCACCCATCCATTTATCATCCATCCTTTCATTAAACATACAGATACATCTAATATGATGGTAGGAATATGACAGAGTTATAGAGTTGTTTGGTACCAAGGAGTAGCGGCTTTTAGCCTCATCTGGGAGGGATTTTGAAAGCTTCCTGGAGAAAATCATCATCTGTTTAGTTTTGATGCATGAATAGAAGTCATGTGAGAAGTAGAGGCAAGGTGAGTCATGCCGCAGCTCGAGGCCTGGATCCACAACATCACCCATGGGTCAGGGATCGGCTGGCCACTTGAGGCCTTCTAGACTTTGTCTAGGAATGAGCTCAACGTCTCCCAGGCCCAGCGCCACGCGCTGCCCTTCACCAAGGTCTTCACCACCTGCTGCCCTTTGCGTGTGCAGGAGGTGTGCGGCGGCGCACTGCAGCTGCAGAACTACCGGCCCGTGTACTCTGAGGACCAGCAGCACGACCTCGCCCTGGATCTGGTGCTGTCACAAGGCCCAAACCACTTCAGCTGGTTGTCTTCTGACTTCGCGAACTCTGGGCCTCAGAGGAGGCCTCAAGTTGTGGTCGCCAGTCCTAGGAGGCGACTGTACGGTGGAGAGGGAGCTGGGGTGCACGGGGAAGCAGGTCCCTACTATTAACCAGGAGTTTGGGGTCCTCCCCTGAAGCAGGCAAGAACTGCGCTTCTCTTTCTCTCCTGATTCTTCGTTTTCCTTTGAGTCATCTGGAGGTGCCTTCTCATCAGGTGCACTCATCATGGGAAGCAACTCTTGCCTCTACGTCCTCTGGGCCCAGGGAGTAAGTTCTGCTAAATTAAATTAAATGTGTTCCAGGCCGGGCGCGGTGGCTCACGCCTGTAATCCCAACACTTTGGGAGGCTGAGGTGGGCAGATCATCTGAAGTGGGGAGTTCGAGAGCAGCCTGGCCAACATGGTGAAACCCTGCCTCTAGTGAAAATACGAAAATTAGCTGGGCATGGTGGCGGGCGCCTGTAGTCCTAGCTACTTGGGAGGCTGAGGAGGGAGAATCACTTGAACCCAGGAGGTGGAGGTTGCAGTGAGCCGAGACTGTGCCACTGCACTCCTCCAGCCTGGGTGACAGAGCAAGACCGCGTCAAAAAAAAAAAAAAAAAAAAAAATTAAATTTGTTCCAAAATGCTGCAATTCAGTGAACTGCAACCTCCTTTTTTCTCTTCTTCTTCTTCTTCTTTTTTTTTTTTTATTGTGTGATTCCATTTATTTAAAGTTGAAAAACCAGAAAAACTAGTCTATGGTGATAGAGGTCAGAATAGGGGATACTTTGTAGGGAGGATTTGACTGGGATGTAACCTCATTTAATATGTAAACAAACTACAACCTGACTTGAGGGCATATTTTTGTAAGAAGAAAGGAAGTCTCCTCCAACCATAGCAGCCAGCTTTCAGCCAGGGGCAGACTGCAGACTGATCAGATGTGTCTAAATTAGGCAAAGGGTGACCTGTAACCGATCAGGCTATATCCAATGCCACTTCCTTTTTCTGTTTATAAACACTGGCTGTCCACTGTTGCTGGGTGGAGGTCTCTGAGACATCTCTAATATAGCTCTCTCATTTAATGGAGTGAGTTTAAATCAGGTCTTTTTGTAGTGAACTGTGGCCCTAATCACCATCATCTCCTGAACCAAGACTGACCAGCTGGACTCAAATACTACTGAACTATCTTTATTGCACGGACTTTGAGTTGTTTGATTTTGACTAGTTGTTTGTGGAAACTCCTGATAAGGAGTGTACTTCAGTTTCTTGGCATTGTCCACTCATAGTCATCATAATAGTCTCCCTGGCCAGGCGCGGTGGCTCATGCCTGTAATTCTAGCACTTTGGGAGGCCGAGGCAGGCAGATCACTTGAGGACTAGAGTTCAAGATCAGATTGGCCAACATGGTGAAACCCCATCTCTACTAAAAATACAAAAATTAGCTGGCTGTGGTGGCGGGTGCCTGTAATCCCAGCTACTTAGGAGGTTGAAGCAGGAGAATTGCTTGAACCCAGGAGGTGGAGGTTGCAGGGAGCCAAGATTGTGCCACTGCACTCCAGCCTGGGTGACAGGGTGAGACTCCATCTTAAAAATTAAAATAATAATAATTGTCTCTCGTGTTGCTTCCCCTGGGAGGTCTTAAGTGCTCCTATGCAGCCATTCTTTATACATCAACTGGTCTATTAGGGTTAGTATAACAAAAACATGAAGAAAGCATAAAGAATCATCCAACTAAGGTGAAGTTGTGAATTGTGAATTCAATATTGAAACAAAACAAGTCCATTATGATGGTGACAGAAAATGGGGTCAGGGGCCAAGGTTCTGTTCAATCTCTCAAAATTGAGATGCTGACCAAAAGGCAGAAATGTTTAAATTAAATTTGGCCCAAAGCTGCTGGCATATCTGTTGAACTGCAACCTAACTTAGTATTTAAGTAAACTGCCTCCCAACTGAGACTATATTCTTGTAACAAATAGTTGAATCTCAGCAAGTCACAGCCACTGTGCTTTAACCAGTCACAGGCTGATCAGACCATGTCCATATAAGGCAAATGCTGAACTGTACCCCATCAAACTGTTTCTGTGTGTTACTTCCAATAAATTCGGCCTGCCCATGTTGCTGGGTGCAGCACTTTGAACGTTTACTGGTTCAGGATGCTGCCCGATTCATAAATTTTCTTTGCTCAAATAAAGTCTGCTTAACTAAAAAAAAAGAAAAAAGAAAAAGAAAAGAAAAGTGGAGACAAGGAAAGAACAGTCTAGGCAGAGAAGAAAGCATGAGCAAAGATGGGGAGAGACACCACGGAGGTGGAGAGCAGGGAGAATTTCAAGAGGTTTAGTTTTACTAGAGCATGAAGTTCAAGTTGCAGAGTGTTAGAAATAAGGGAGAGGTGGTAAGGGTCCAAAGGCGGAAGACCTGGAGTGTAAGGCTAAGTAGGGGGTATGGGCTTTTTCTGTATGAGGTAATGCATCCTTGAAGAGCTTCCAGCAGGAAGTGATATGGCACACATAATTCTGGAGGCAGAAACAGAGAGAAATCAGTTTGAAGAGCTATTTAGGGAGTGCCATTTGGATGTGGAAAATGAGGGTGCAGGAGGCATCCAGGCCAATTCCAGGGTTTCTGATCCAGTAGCACTGTGTAGATGGTGGTACCCTTCGCTGGGGAAGGACATGCAGGTTGAGGAGATGGTTTGAGGGATTGGGGGTGGGTGGGGGGTGGAATGGTGACTTCAGTTTTGAACATCTCAAATTTGAAATGTCTGTGAAGTCTGTGGGCTCCCAATGGATACATCCAGAATATGTCTAAAGCCTAAGAGGATATCTGATCTGGTCAGGTCTGGGGGTAGAGATATGGGAAAGTAAGAAAAATAGGTGAAGTGTGAAGGGTATTGGAATGAGAACAGAACCTCGAAGAACACCAGTGTTTAAGGAGCAGGGAGGAGGAATTTCAAGAGAGGTAAGGAGGGGCAGAGGATGTCATGGAAGCCAAGGAAGTGAGCAGTCAATCTTTCACATACTTCCAAGAGGTCTGCTCTTGAAAGGCTCATGGAGTGCTTCTTTGATTTGGCAAGGAGGAGGGCACTGTGATGTTTTTGAGAGTTTCTGGAGTGGGAGAGGAGGAAGCCCGACTGTAAAGGGCTGAGGATCAGAGGGAAATGAGGAAGTTGGCCTAGTAGACTTCTCTTTGGGACTTAAAAAGGCAGAGAGAGAAAGGGAAGTATCTGGGCAGGAGGCATGCAGGGTCAAGGGAGAGCTTATCTTAGCATGGGAGAGATGTGAGCATGCAGTGGAGGGGAAAGATCAAGTTAAAGGGGACAGTTGGGTAATACTGGGGAGAGGGAGAGGTGATGTCATGAGACACTGGAGCAGAAGAAAGGGGAGGCTATCAAGGTTTTAGGTGAGTGGGAAAAGTCCCATCCTTGGGGCAGGAAGGGCAGGTGAGGAAGCACATGAGGGAGTAGGTAAGGGGTTGGCTGCAGGCCCCGTGGGCCTATTCTCTGTTCTCCGTGAAGCTGGAGTTGCCCTCAGCTGCTCACGGTGAGGAGAGCAGGGATTGGGTGGCCTTTTGACAGGAGCACTGAAAGTGTGGCCCAACCACTCAGGGGAGTGGAAGAGGGAGCCAAGAAGGGACAGAGATTGTCAGCCTCCCTGCTTTGATGTGGCCAGGCACAGCCAGGAACCACAAGGTCCTAGGATGTACTTTGGGGACCTGCCATATTCACTGTATTTCAGCAAAGCAGAATCAGACATTTGTGGGAGAGTGTGCTAGAGGATCTGGGTTTAGGTTCCAGGGCCTTCACTTCCTTGCTCTGGGAACTTAAGGAAGTTACCTATTATTGCTGAAAGTCAGTTTTCTCTTTTGCGAAACTGATAAAATAATACCTACTTTGCATGATGCATTAAGGAGTGAGTAAGTAAGGCGTGGCTAGAACTTGAGAAAGGACCTGAGCATAGCATGTGCCCTCAAATAGCCACTTTCCTTCTTCTTTCCTTAAGTCGATTTGCTTCTCTAGTGCGGAGCTGGTTGCCTGGAAGTCTTTGTTCATAACCTTCTCTGCAATCTGGAGTGCCTTCTTCTTCTTTTTTTTTTTTTCGAAGATGAAGTCTCTCTCTATTGCCCAGGCTGGAGTGCAGTGGCACAATCTCGGCTCACCCACACAACCCCCGCCTTCCGGGTTCAAGCAATTCTCCTGCCTCAGCCTCCCAAGTAACTGGGACTACAGGCATATGCCACCGTGCCCGGCCAATTTTTGTATTTTTAGTAGAAACGAGTTTTCACTATGTTGGTCAGGCTGGTCTTGAACTCCTGACCTCATGATCCACCTGCCTTGGCCTCCCAAAGTGCTGGGATTGCAGGTGTGAGCCACCGTGTCTGGCCTGGAGTGCCTTCTTTATCTCCAAGTTCTATTCATCCTTCCCTTCAAGGCCTAGATAAAGTCTTTCCTCCGTGGAGCTTTTTCTGCCTCTGAACACCTGCAACACTCTGTAACACGCATGAGTGCTTAATCACATCATCTGTTCTTGTGTTGCTCTTTAACTTTTTGCATGTTTGACCGCTTTTATATAATTGCAAGCTCCTTGAAGACAAGAACTGTTTATTGATATCCTCTTAGCAGTTAGCATAGTGCTGATAGCCACATGAGTGATTAGAAAAGCACTCATTGAAGGAATGCATAAACAATTAAATACAGAGCTTTTAAGTCAGGACAATGAGAAACATTCTTTTTTTTTTTTTTTTTTTTTTTGAGACGGAGTCTTGCACTGTTGCCTGGGCTGGAGTGCAATGGCACGATCTCCGCTTGCTGCAACTTCTGCTTCCTGGGTTCAAGTGATTCTCCTGCCTCAGCCTCCCAAATAGCTGGGATTATAGGCACCCACCACCATGCCTGGCTAATTTTTTGTATTTTTAGTAGAGACAGGGTTTCACTATGTTGGCCAGGCTGGTCTCGAACTCCTGACCTCATGATCCGCCTGCCTCGGCCTCCCATAGTGCTAGGATTACAGGCGTAAGCCACCGTGCCCGACACATTCTTTTTTAAAATTTTTATTTTTAAATTTTACTTTAAGTTCTGGGATGCATATGCAGAACGTGCAGGTTTGTTACATAGGTATACATGTGCCATGGTGATCTGCTGCACCTATCAACCCATCGTCTAGGTTTTAAGCCCCTCATGCATTGGGTATTTGTCCTAATGCTCTTCCTGCCCTTGGCCCCCACACCCCCGACAGGCCCCAGTGTGCGACAATGGGGAACATTCTTTATGATCACAGTCAGTAATGAGTAGATGCTCTGACCATTAAAATTGGCTGCTAGTTCCAGCTCTGCCCCACCCCATCTGTGACTTGGGCAATGATTTGACCTCTCTGAGCCTCAGTATCCTCGTCTGTAAAATGAGGATGACATCTAACTTCTTGTGTCAACATAAAGATTAAATGAGATAATGCAGGTAAAGTGCTACGTACAATTTCTGAAGCATGTATTGAGTAAATGCTCAACACATGTCAGCTGTTATTGCCTGTATTACGCTGAGCCATGCCTCCCCTTGACAGGGCACAATCAAGTATACTTGGGACAAAACTGCCATCCAGCAGCTAGTGATGGACAACATCATGGAGGCATCTTCTGAACCTAAGTGTTGATGCTTAGAGTGAAGGAAGTGACTCTTCAACAGCGACCAAAAACAAATAGAAGCTGTAGCTACAGCCCAAGGCTGAGGGGGAGCAGTATGTGGAGGCTGCTGGTCACGAATGGCCTTTTTAGTGGTGGTCGCACTCATAAATCAGCAGGGTGAATTATTAGTGCAGGGAGGGAGAGAAGAGAGCCCACTGGTTTGAGCTGGATTAGGACAGTTCCTGGATGCTCCAGCCTCCTCTCTCTGCAAGCAGAGTGTGCTGTGGGAGACTGAGAACAAAGCGCTCTCACACGGGCCTCCGCCCAGCTGCCGCTGTACCTCTCCCACCCTCACTCCCAGAAGCCACGCTTAGCAGTGCAGCCCACATCCTGCACTGCTTAACCACAGCCCGCCTCTGGCTGCAGGCGGCTGCCTCAGGGTGGGGGTGTGCCTGCTTGAGACACCTCCCTCCTTCACTTCCCCAGCCCTGGCTCGCAGCTTTTCCTGGCAGCTTGTGGAAATCTGTGTCCCATCTCCAAGCCCGGCTTCCACCGCCACCGTCCTCTTCCGTACCTTCATCTGTCTTTCAAGGCCTATTTCTGTCTTGTCCATTTTCTACCAACCACTCCATCAGGGACCCATCAGTCTTTCTCTGCCACGTTTGATGTTTTCCTCCAAGAGAAGTTGGTGAAACTTTCTTTCTTTCTCTCCCTCCCATCCTCTTTCTTTCTTCCCTTCCTCAATCCCTCCCTTCTTTCCCTTTCCTTTTATTTTTCTTTCTCTCTCTCTTTTTCTTTTCTTTCCCCTCCCTTCACTCTCTCTCTCTCTTTTTTTTCTTATTCCCTTATGCCCTCTCTAAAGAGAGCTTCAGGTAACGGCCCTACCAGCTGTGGAAACAGAGAGTGCTCGCATCTGGGGTCATAGCTGAGAATTTAGTCAAAGATAGTGAGAACCTGAATGGTCTTGGGAGTTAAGGCAGCCTCTGAGGGTCTCTCAGAAAACAGGGACAGCAACTCTTGCAGCCAAATACAGTTTATTTTTTTCTCTCTCAGCTGAGGAGCAGAGCACATTTACGGAGATGCAAATGACCATCCAGTGGCCTACAGTGGAGGGGGGGTGGAGGGAGTAGGGGATTAGGGGGTTGGTAGGGAGTGTTGGGGGAGGGAGGAGCACAGGGCTGGCTCAGGGCCAGGATCTGTGAACGGGGCAGGGCCTCTGTCAACATTTACCCAGTCCATCCCCAGAGAGGGCTGCAAAAGGGGACGGCGATAGAAAAGTAGATGGAATACTTTGGGATGGGGGACAACTTACATGCAAGAAAAGGAGGGAACTGAACGGAGAAGTTACATCCAAAGGGAAGGGAGTGAATAGCACAAATAAATATCCTGGCAAGAGGGCAGGCCAGCTGTGAGGGTGTGACTACTGATGATGCTTCAAAGGAAGAGGAAGCAGCAATATTTTAGGACTGGGTACCAGCAGAGAAGGCAGGGAGGAGGGAGCGGGGGATCAGGCTGGAGGGCGCGAGTTCACCATGAGGCTGAGGAACGATTCTCTCTCGTGGGGTCCAAGACTAGCCCAGGAAACAGGGAGTCGCAGGGGGACTGGAGAGGAGACCTGGGCCAGCGGGAGGCAGTGTTCTCCAGAGGGTCAGATGCGTCTCTGATTCAGGCCAGAATACAGGTCCCGCTGGCCTTTCCGGATGGGCTGGGGGTGAAATAGAGAGGGGGCGGTCAGTGGTGCGGGAGGAAGTACCTCCTAAG
The DNA here is from genome assembly GCF_000001405.40 of Homo sapiens. Lineage (NCBI taxonomy): Eukaryota > Metazoa > Chordata > Mammalia > Primates > Hominidae > Homo > Homo sapiens. Next base: position 118,315,429 of record NC_000011.10, on the reverse strand, counting down.
AAAGGACACTGAAGAGCTAGCTTTAGTGCGTGGGAAGAACTTTGGACTTGAAGTCAGGAGGCAGGCTGGAATTCTAATTTGGCATGGACGGTAGGAGACTTGAGCTGGTCACCTCCTTCCGTGAGCCTCAGCTTTCCCATCTCAAAAATAGGAACTTAAAGACCCACATTCCAGGGCTTCTGTCAGGGCTAAATAATTCGCTTAAGCTAAAGTAAATACTACGTGTTTGGCTGGTGTTGAGTATTTGGCTCAACAAATATTTGTTGAGTATATCCAGGTGTGATAGTGAAAATATTTAACAACTAGGAGTGCACACATACCAATCAACTAGAACAATCCTGGTGATCCTCTGCCATGCCAGGCATTAACTCTTTGTTACCCCAACTCAAGAGGCAGCCCGGTAGGGGAGGGACTGGGATGTCTGGTCACGTGTGTGTGTGTGTGTGTGTGTGTGTGTGTGTGTGTGTGTATGTGTGTGTGTAAGGGTGGGTTGGGGTGAGCAAAGTTTGGGGCTATTTCCCAATGAGTATTTTAATATTTCAATAACTTTTATATAATATTTATATAATTTTAATATTTCAATAACTCGCTATACTGGTGCATGCTGGTGGAATATCAGCCCAGAATTTATTGTGTTAGAATTTGCATATATAATATTCTCCATGGCTGTATCCCAGTCAATGAATAAGCCAGAGAAAGAGGAGTATGTCTCCTGCAAGCTTCCACCTCTCCATGGTTGTGGAAGCCATGCAGCCTTTGAGACAGTCCTGTTTTACCATGAAGGACGCAGAGGTGGCACATAGAGGGTTGTAATGGAAGCCCTGAGTGAGGGGCTTTGAGGCATCTGGCAGACAAGATGGGCCATCCCATCTGTTTCCTTCCCCCCTGGAGGGACATCCCCTCCAGCGTCCTGGCCCATTTCTATCCCACGTTACCTCATAGTCTGGGTTGGGAACAGGTGGTGGCCTCTCCTTGTTTTGTCCTGCGGAGGAAGGAGGGGAAACATTTCATTCCCATGAGGGAACCAATCTTGCAGCACTGTCTGTGCCAGTGAGACCCAGATAGAGAATGGCAAACCCCATTGTTCTCTCCTCTACCGCTCCCTTTTCTGTTCAGACGTCCTTTCTCTTTTTTTTTCTTTCATTCATCTCTAAGGACCCTACACTCTTCTCATCATTTTGTGACTTTCCTCAGCTCAAGATCCTCCCATTGTTTCTCTCCATAGGGGAAGGGAAAGGAAAAGGCAGGAGCTAATATATCAAAGTCTCTCTTCCCACAGCTTAGGGGCGGAATCGGATGACTGCAGGCATTGACAGGTATGTGAGGAAGCCCATCACTTTCATAAACTTTTTTGCACTTTTCTAGGATGGGAAGGAGGGGAGTGATGTGAGATTTGAAACCGTCTGTTGAGATCTTGTCATCACAGTAATAGAAGCTGTGCATAGAAGCTCTAGAGAAGCTGTTCTGACCTAGCTGTGGACTTGCCACCCACCCTGGCCCAGGCTGGTCGTCCCCCTTGGCAGGAATCTCCTCTGACTGGACTCCACAGCCTTACCCCTTTGCCTGCCGCCAGCACCCGCTCCTCGTGTCACAGGCTTGGCCTTGGCCTTTCTATTCTTGCTCCAGTAGTAAACCAGCAGCAGCAAGCCCCCAGTGATGCAGATGTCCACTATGACAATTGTGGCCACCGACATCACATCCATCTCCATGCAGTTCTCACACACTGTGGGGGGTGGGGTGGGGAGAGGGGAAATCACTAAGCAAGGAAAACACAAGGCGCTGGAGGTGAGGAGGGAGTGCATGAAGGCCATTCTCCCCTTACTACTCACACGCTTGCCACGGTCAGAGCCCCCCCTTCAATATGTTTAGAACAACATTGACAAGCAAAGAGTGGTGGCCGTGGGTAGAGGCACTGGAGTCAAACAGCCCTGGGTTTGAGTCCCAGCTTTATTACTCACTAGCTGTGAGAAGCGTGAAATGTGTTTTCAACTCACAAACCCTCTGTTTCCTCATCCCTTTACTCATGGGAATAAAATGATACTTAACCCATATAGTTGTTGAGAGGATTACATGAAAAAGAATCCTTGATAAGTGTTGGGTACAGACAGTGCTTGAGACTTAATAAGCACTCAATAAATGTTAAGTATTGTTATTATTTTATTATTATACCTTAGCTTATGCCATTTTACTATAGTGGCCTTGAGTGTTTTTTGCAAACCTTTCTGAAAAATTTATCTCTGGAGGAAGCATTAGATAAACTCATGTTGGTGTGCTATGAACCTGGGTGTGATGCGGTGCAAATGACCCAGTCCTGTCTCTTAGGGAGTTGCTATTTTAGATCTCGCACAGACTGGGGTTACCCAGAAGCCTCATATTGGTGTTTAATCTATATTCCAGAAAACACTGATGCCGTGTGGTACCAGAGAGTCCCAGGATTGAGTGTGGGAGGAAGCGCAAAGACGCCTGGGCACTGTGAGCTGGGTTAGGGAAAATCACTGAGAATGCCCTTTTGAATGGTCCTCCCTAAAGAGCCGGTGGTACCTGTTCTGGAGACCTGGATTACCTCTTGCCCTCAGGTAGAGATAAAAGTTCGCATCTTCTGGTTTGCTTCCTCTGGGGTAGCAGACATAATAACCACTTTGCTCCAATTCTGAAAATTCCTTCAGTGACAGGTGATCCTCATCACTGCCTATGTTTTTATCATCCTCATCACCGCCTATGTTTTTATCATTGTGTTGCCATAGTATTTCAGATCCAGGATACTGAGGGCATGTCAATATTACTGTGGTTCCAGAGATGGAGACTTTATATGCTGGGGAGAAAGAAGGGAAATTGGCAGAAGAAACCAGGACAATTTTAGAAAAGGCAAATTAGTGACAAAAGAACCACCCAAATGCAGGAAGTCATCTGTCATCTAGATCTTAGACTTGCTTGTCAGAAGGGAGCTCTACTGGCTAGAGGGTGTGGAAGAGGAGATATGTGGAATGAAGGGAACTAGAGAACCTTGAAGGGAACTAGAGAACCTTTTGAGAGGTGGCTTTAGGGTTTACGCAGGGACATGGGGACTTGGGAAGGGTAAGATGGATGTAAAGAAAAACCCACAGAAGTCCCTATTTGGAACCTTTCTAAAATGGAGTTGAGAATGCAATGCTGGGAAGATATCAGTTCTTGGGGTTAATCTCTCTCAATCAGTTCCTTCTCATCTACCCACCAATCTGCATCCTCAGACAGGGCATAAATAAAAGACCAATAAACTCACGTGTCTGTGTAATACCACCTGAAAATGAAAAAAGGAAACAGCAGTAAGAAAATATCATGGTTTAAGTTTAAATTGTAGGTAAAACTTTTCTAGTGGAATTAGACACTGCCCACAAGACTTCCCAAAGAGGGTCTCATCCATTTAGGAACCCCGAGTCTTGGAGGTGAGGTTCATGCTTAGCCTATGAGATTTAGCTCATAGATATATTTATTAAGTAGCTCATAGATGTAACTCAGATACATCGGATTCAGAATATACCAGCATGAGCTCCTAGATCTAGATCTACTGAAGCTCAGAAAGCCTTAAAGTCCTAAAGCCGAAAAATTCCAGAGGTCTTCAAGCTTATCCTCTTAAATTAGCCAGAACTGTATTACAGATAGATATGAATGACAAAAGAACCAACCAAATGCAGGAAGTCATCTGTCATCCAGGTCTTAGATTTGCTTGTCAGAAGGGAGCGCTACTGGCCTTCTCAGAAATAAAGCTCTCCACACCACTGAATCACTGATTCGTGGACTTACCTATTTCTTACAATTTAAAATCCTTTCTCAGAACTGAGTCCCTCATAATAGAGAAGAAACATCTTTGTTCTTATTCCATATAATTTTCTCTCTATTTGCCTTTAAATAATGTGAAATACTCTACACGTTTTGAGGGAATGCTTCTTCCAATAAAAAGTGGCTTCACTTTACATTATATCTGAGCATAATCAGCTCTCAATTATTTTTGTTAGAGGGAGGCCTATTAGTGTGGACAACTGAAATCAACTAATAAACCACTAATGCCATTCGTAGGTCCAGCCTGTGTTTCCCACAGCAGCCATTTTTGCCCTGGGAGGTGGAGCTAGGAGTCCTTTATTATTTCCTGGAAAACTTGTGGCTGGAACACTGGGTTCTGCTACAGTCTGGACATAACAGCTGGAAGAGAGGAGAGGCAGTGCTGCTGCTGTCAGGGACAGAGCTCTGGACTCAAGAGTCAGAAGCCCTGAGTTTGAATCCTGGATCTGCCCTAGTCTGTGTGACTGAGGGCAAGTCATTTAACTTTGCTGAACCTCAACTTCTTTATCAGGGAAATGGAGATAAAACACCAACCTCACAAAGTTTTTGCGAAAATTAAATGGATTATGAAGGTGAAAGTGAATGACACATAGCAGGTGCTCAAGAAAAAGTTACTTCCTTTCCTCCTTTCCTTCTTGAGGTCCTGCTACTCCCAGAGCAGAACTAAACTCTGACCCAGTTGCTCAGGCAGCCCTCTGACAAAGACTGCACAGAATGTAAACAAAACATTCTCCAGGTTTTTCCACCTGCTTATAATTGGGAGTTGAGTATAAGGACAGTAGATAGTTTATATTATTTTAATTTATAAATAATTTTTCAACACGGATGTTTCTTAGACATGTTAAATGAACTAGAAATCATAAATAAAGTACATAGACATTATACTCTGCTGGGTGTGTTTGTTTGAAAAAAATGTAAAGAAAATTGCTCACAACTTTTATTGGCACAAATTCAGTAGCAGAGCTTAGACTTAACTCATGCTCACACAAGGGTCTAGATGTCTGTGCTTAGACAGAAATGTGCTCCACGTATGTTCATTGTGCACTATTCACAATAGCAAAGACATGGAATCAACCTAAATGCCTGTCAGTGGTAGACTGGATAAAAAAATGTGCTGCATATACACCATGGAATACTACGCAGCCATAAAAAAGAATGAGATCACGTCCTTTGCAGGAACATGGATGGGACTGGAGGCCATTATCTTTAGCAAACTAACACAGTGACAGAAAACCAAATACCACATGTTCTCATTTAGAAGTGGGAGCTAAATGATGAGAACACATGAACACAGAGGGAAATGACACACACTGGGACCTCTCAGAAGGTGGAGGGTGGGAGGAGGGAGAGGATCAGGAAAAATAACTAACAGGTACCAGGCTTAATGCCTGGGTGATGAAATAATCTATACAACAAACCCCCATGGCACAAGTTTACCTATATAACAAACCTGCACATGTACCCCTGAATTTAAAATGAAAGTTAAGTTAAAAAAAGATATGTGTGCTCACAAAGATTTTATACATATCCAGAAACAGTATTTCATAATGGTTGAGAAAATGAACTTCGGTATCATATAAATCTGCATTAAAATTTTTTTATTTTTAAATTTCTATTTATTAATTTTTTCAGAGACAGGGTCTTTCTCTGCCACAGAGGCTCGAGTACAGTGGCACAATCTTTGCTCAATGCAGCCTCAACCTTCTGAGCTCAAGCGAGCCTCCTGCCTTGGCCTCCCAAAGTGTTGGGATTATAGGCATGAACCATGGCACTTGGCCTAAATCTGCATTTATATCCCCAGGACTGGATTGTTTACTTATTTTTGTTTATTTCTGTATTTATTTGAGGCTTTGTTTCCTTAACTGTACAGTAGGGGTGTTGGAAGAATTAAATGAGGAAATTCAAGTAAAATATTTAGAGCAATGCCTAAAACATACATGCTCAGTAAACTTTAATGCTTATCATCTATAGTCAGCATGCTTTCCATGTATTAATAGCTAAAATTCACCTACTGTCTGTTTGTTTGTTTGTTTGTTTTGAGACAGAGTCTTGCTCTGTCGCCCAGGCTGGAGTGCAATGGCACAATCTCAGCTCACTCCAACCTCCGCCTCCCAGGTTCAAGCAATTCTCCTACCTCAGCCTCCTGAGTAGCTGAGATTACAGGCACCTGCCACCATGCCTGGCTAATTTTTGTATTTTTAGCAGAGATGGAGTTTCACCATGTTGGCCAGGCCGGTCTCGAACTCCTGACCTCAGGTGATCCTCCCACCTCGGCTTCTCAAAGTGCTGGGATTACAGGTGTGAGCCACCATGCCCGGCCCTCCTACTGCCTTTTATGTCAGATAATGTTCTAAGTGCCTTAAATGAATTACTCATTTGGTCCTCATAATAACCCTACAAGTTAGGTAGCACTATTATTTCCATTGTACCATGATGATGCTGTGGCACAGAAAAGTTAGGTAAATTACTCAAACACACCCAGCAAGTAGAGAGTTGAGCCAAGATTCAAACATTCTGATCTAGCTCAGTTAGACTCTTATCCTCATACTATACAGCTTTATCTCTTCTGCATAAAATATTTTTCTTCCCTAAAACATAAGCTTATCCTTTAAAATTCAGCTCAAGGACCACCTCCCCCAGGGAACCTTTCCCAACGACACTCAGTAGAGTTGACCACTCCCCTCTTTATACTTCATTTTACTCTGTATCTACCCATATTATAACATGCAACTCACTATATTTTCAATTATTTGTCTCTCACACAAGACCATCAGCTTCTTGAGGGGAGGTAATTAGCAATGTGTTCATATGTTTGTTCATTTATTCATTCAAAAAATATTCATTGAGCACCTACTATGTGCCAGACACTGGGCTAGGTAAATGAGACACTGTCTCTGTCTGCCTTCAAAGATTTCATGGCTTATACAAAAACACATGGTAGCTCCAACCCACATCCATATGTGTATGATCAGAGATACATATATGCACAGCTATAATCTGACATGACAGCTAGCAACAAATACAGGCAAGTTTCATACGGATCCCATTGAAAGATACTTGTATTTTCCCTTTAATAGTTTTAGTTCTCAGGGTTTGTTACTGTGATTGTACTCTATGAGCATTTCATTCCATATTTGAAAACTTTTGCTAGATAGAGTGGAAATCTTCTTACCCATTTCTTCATTACCTGAAAAGGAAACAGTAAGAAGCCATTAGTAATGTTTCTATCGGCAATGAAGATCAGACCCTGCTCCCGTGGGTTGGGACTCTTCCCTCAACTCTTAGGAAACAATGGATCTTCCAATTCCCTCAGCTGCATAGAAAAAGCTGTTATGGGCCTTACATCTTATCTGATGACTATTTACAAAAATGGCTCCTAAGGACACTACAAATTAGGCAGCATGGCGGAATCTAGGCTGGCATAATGGTTGTCTTTATTTTATTTTTGAGACAGTCTCGATGTGTCACCCAGGCTAGAGTGCAGTGGTGTGATCTCGGCTCACTACAACCTCTGCCTCCCAGGTTCAAGCGATTCTCCTGCCTCAGCTTCTCGAGTAGCTAGGACTACAGGCGTACACCACCATGTCTGGCTGATTTTGGTATTTTTAGTAGAGACGGGGTTTCGCCATGTTGGCCAGGCTGGTCTCGAACTCCTGGCCTCAAGTGATCTGCCCACCTCGGCCTCCCAAAGTGCTGGGATTACAGGTGTGAGCCATGGTGTCCAGCCATGGTTGCCATTAAATACAACATTGGTTCACTCAGTTTGGAAGAGCTGATTGAATAGAGGGGCTTCCAATGTTGGAACACTCCTGACTCTACCGCTGTGGTTGAGAGAGTAAGTTCAGGCCGGGCACACTCATATGCATGTGCACTTGCATAAATACACATGTACACACATATATTCAGAGTATTCAGACATGTGATTCTGAACACACATCCAAATGTTGCCCCAGCAGCTTATCCAGAGTAACCCTGTGCATGCATTCTGGCTACGTCTCCTCTGCAGAATCTCACATCAAATATGAAATGCAAACAAATGAAAACTGTTAGTGCTTTCAACTTCATTTAAGTCTCAATTTTTCTTTTGTATGGTTAAGACTCATTATTTCCTGCCTCTGTTGCTTCCCTCTTCTGGGCTAGAAATATCTCCAGACTTGTGAGGAAAGTCAAAGGGGTAGATGGCAGAAACTCCTTTTCCTGACCTCTGTGGAAGTTCTGTGGGAGGCCTAAGAGAAAGCTCCATTCATAACTACAAAGAATGATGGGGTGATTTCATAAAAAAGAAAGAAAGAAAGCATATCTCACCATCTTGCCCCCAAACGCCAACTAGAAAATAAATAAGAAAAAAAAAGTGTTAGTAAATGTTGTGGGTACCTGCATTCCTAAACAGAAAAAGGGCTGTGTTGCAGTATGACCACTGATGACATCTGATGTCCTTCCCTCTTGCTGCTGGGTCACAGCCATTTCTACACCCTAGAACAGTGGAACTTACTGCTGGTATTGACCAGGGGTTCCCAGGAAATTTGGGGGGAAATAGAGGAAGGAAGCATCTAGCATTAACTATGAGCCCACAATTTTTGACAAGCAGGAGTCAGAAAAAGTTAGGACCATTTTTTGGACGACTAGAGACATAGCAAAAGAATTTTGCCCCCAAGCCTCCATTTTGAACATTGGTGTCTGTGGAAGAAAAACACGCTCTTGGTTGGGTACAAACACTGGGATTCTTGTTCCATCTCTGGCTCTGCTTTTCTGGTGGTTCAGTTTTTCCATTTGTTTTCTGCTTGAGACAGAGATGGAAATATTTGAAACCCTGATTACTCATCAACTAGGGCCTGTGCATTGAAGAGCCTGACCACATTTCCACCGGGCCCTCCAGGATGCCCTCACTCAGCAATACCCTGGATTCATTACAATGATCAGTTTCCCTGGCATTGCCTGAAAGCTTTCTGCACACCTAGGCCTTTCTTTTACTGAAACCTCTACACAGGGGGAGACAGGATCCCCACTTTCCTATCCCCAGAGCAGACTGGGCACATTCCTATGATGCCAGATGTCTAGAGGTGATTGGGTCTTTGATACTGTCTCTTTTATTTATTTATTTATTTATTTATTTATTTATTTATTTATCTATTTTGAGACACTCCAGGCTGGAGTGCAGTGGCTTGATCATGGCTTACTGCAGCCTCGACCTCCTGGGCTCAAGTGATCCTTCCACCTCAGCCTCCCAAGTAGCTGGAACTATAGGTGTGTGCCACCTTGCCTGGCTAATTTTTAATTTTTTGTAGAAATGGGGTTTCACTACTTTGCCCAGGCTGGTCTTGAACTCCTGAGCTCAAGTGATCTTCCCACTTTGGTCCCCCAAAATGCTGGGCTTACAGGCGTAAGCCACTGCACCTGGCCCTTCTCCTCCTCCTCCTTCTTCTTTTTTTTAAGGAAAAGCATACTTTATAACACAGGTCTCTAAGAAAATGCCTGGCCACTCCTTACAGGAGTCACATCCTGCCCCTCGCTACTCAATATGTTCCTAGGACCAGCAGCAGATTAATAAACTTGAGAGCGTACTAGACATGCGGAATCTCCATTTCCAGTCTGGGTCTTTTGAAACAGAAGCTGCATTTTTAACAAGATCCCCAGGTGATTTGTGTGCACATTCAAGACGTGAGAAACCCAAGATGAAGCAGGAAGTGGAGACATCGTTGCTGTGGGTCTGAGACGGGAGCACCAGCTGTGATAGTGTTTTCTAGGTCTTTGAAATAAAACCATCACGAGCCATTTTGCCTCATGTGGTGCAGCCATTTAGAGTACAAACAGTCCTGGTCTCACAGATTGGCTTCGGCACTTACTATGTGGTTTAAAACAAGTTATTTAACTTTTTTGAGTATCAATTTCTTAATCTGTGAAGTAGAGAGGACTTATCAGTTTATATAGTCAAAATTAAAAAGAATTTTAAAAAGAGGATATAACACCTTCCTTCCTAGGCAGAAGTAGGATTAAACCAGTTAACACGTCTAAATAATTTTTTCTTTACACAGTATCTGACAATAAATGGCAACTTTTTTTGGTATTATTTATCTCATATGAGATACAGAAATGCTCTTGGTTATTTATCAATTCATAATCCATCTTGCTTCAAAAAAATGAAATAAACTGAAAGTTGTTGGTCACTTGAAAAGGACTAAAAATTACGAGGCGTTTTATGGTCTCAAAGATAGTGAATTGCTATATATGCCCTGTGCAGAGTTTGGACGCAAGTATCTGGTCTCTTCAAAACAAGGAGTGGAGCTTCGCTCTTCCAGTCTCTTTTGGGTTAGTTCTGGAGGGCTGGGTAAGTTGGAATGAGCTCGTACTTAGAGGTAGCGAGACCTCTCTGCTCACAATAGCTATGATCACCCCAACTGCTCTTCTTTGCCTGCTCCCCGAACGCTCTCCCAGGCACCCGTGGCCTATCTTTTTCTTTAGTCCCCAGCTCTAATCCCTCACCCTAACATAGCACAAACAGTTCCTTACATCTGGTAAATGAGGCTCCTTGGTGCCACTAGGCAGTGCCAGGTAAGGCTGTAAGCCTTCCAGCGGTCTGGAGACACACCACCCTTTCCACTCCATCCTACTCACCTGATAAGAGGCAGAGGCCCAGAACTCTCCAGTGAGTGCCCGACTGCATCTTTGTTTCATGGGACTGTTACTTTACTAAGATGGCGGAGGCCAGCAGACTTACTACTTCTGGAAAAAAAGCAAAACAGATGACTTTTTCAAAACATCTGCTAGAGATAAGGACCCTGGGGCCATTGTTCCCAATGCTAGGATGAAAAAGGAGGGCTTTATAAGAGAGAGACTCACCATTTTCTGAAGCAGGCACCTGAGGCTGGGAGGGGAGGAGGGTTTCTGAACCCCACACAGGAAGTAGAGAGGCCTCTGGGCCTGCGGGTTTTACCTCACTTGGAAACGTTCAAGGCAGAGGCCTCCACCTGGACTGGTTGAAGAAAGCTGGGTCCCACAGCCTTCCTAGAAGGCCAAACAAGAGGACTCTGACAATACCTGGAGGGGCCATGAAAAATACATGACATTTAGCTGTCCAGACCATGTAGTAGGTTGGCACAAAAGTAACTGCAGTTTTTGCCATTAAAAGTAATTGTAATACAATATGCCTCCACATTGCGGGGTCTTCCTTCCTCTATAAGCTCTGACAGGAAGAGGGAGATGCACTGAACATTTGCTTTCTGTGTGGTGGATCTGGCATGGAGCAGCAGGGTGCAGCCATCTTATTAACAAAACTTGTTGGCTTGAAAATACATGTTGACTTAAATCCATAAGAATTAAATCCAAAGAAAAAATGCCACTTTTTACCTATATTCTTTACAAAAATATTTAAAAACACAAGACTCAATGTTGAACAGGGTAAAGAGTGATAGTGTCAAAGTCTGCTGGTATGAGTGTGAATTGATGTAACCTTTCTTTATGTTTAAGCATGCATTAATCAAATGCTTACTATATCCAAGCACCGTTCTAAGAGCTTTTCTGATATATCTTATTTAATCCTCAAAACGACCCTCTAAGGTAAGTATTATTTTTATTTTTATTTCCATTTTATACTTGAGCAAACTAAGGCTCAGGCAGGTTATCTAAGTTGCAGATTACAGAGCTGGGACTCTAGAAAACATTTTGATGAAATTCACTTATTTAATACATATTTTCTGTCTACTGTACTGTAGTTATATGCTGGGTGCTAGTAATACAGGAGAAACAAGATAAATAGTCCTCTTGGATAAAAAAGGAAATGTGGAGATTAAACAGATAACCTCATAACCAATAACCATGCCCCGCATGATGGTGTACACCTGTATTCCCAGCTACTCAGGAGGCTGAGGCAGGAGGACTGACTGAGCCCAGGGGTTCGAGACTGCAGTGAGTGTGATTGTGCCTGTGAATAGCCACTGCGCTCCAGCCTAGGCAACATAGTGAGATCCCATCTCTAAAAAACCCCCCAGATAACTTCAGGAGATTGATGCTAAGAAAAAAGACGTTCAGGTGCTGTGGGAGTGATAGAAGGGATCTAAGATAGTCTGGGGTGGGATGGGGAAGAGAAGGTCCCCCTGAGCAGGTGACATCTAAGCTGAAATTTGATGGAGGAACAGCAATGAACCAGGTGGAGTGGAAAGCATTCCAGATAGAGGCAGCAGCATGTTTGAAGTCCAGAGATGAGGAAGAGAAATGGAAAATCCAGCACGGCAGGTAACAGGGAGAACGAGGAGTGTAAGAAATAATATAAGAAATTCGCCAGATATGGTACTTTGGGAGGCCAAAGCAGGCAGATTGCTTGAGGCCAGGAGCTCAAGACCAGCCTGAGCAACATGGTGAAACCCTATCTCTACAAAAAAATACAAAAAATTAGCCGGATGTGATGGTGCTCACCTGTAGTCCCAGCTACTCGGGAGGCTGAGGTGGGAGGATCACTTGAGCTCAGGAGGTTGAGGCTGCAGTCAGCTATGATTGTGCTACTATGCTCCAGCCTGGGCAATAGAGCAAGACCCTGTCAAAAAATAAAAATGAAAAAAATAAAAGAGATAGGAAACTCAGCAGGGGCCAGATGGGAAGGGATTTGCAAGCTATGTTAGGGATTCTTAAGGATTTTCTTAGGGCTGTAGGAAGTATTCAAATAGTTTTAAAAAGGTGAGTGACAGTATCAAATTCTTATAATATTCAAATGGAAAAAGTTGGGGTTTTTTTTAGATGAAGTCTCACTTTGTTGCTCAGGCTGGAATGCAATCGTGCGATCTTGGCTCACTGCAACCTCCCCCTCCTGGGCTCAAGGGATCCTCCTGTCTCATCCTCCCAGGTAGCTGGAATTGCATGTGCCTGCCACCACGCCCAACTAATTTTTGTATTTTTGGTAGAGATAGAGTTTCACCATGTTGCCCAGGCTGGTCTCGAACTCCTGAGCTCAAGCGATCTGCCCACCTTGGCCTCCTGAAGTGCTGGGATTACAGACATGAGCCACCATGCCTGGCCAAAATGAAAAAAGTTTTAATGATGGAAGTAATACGTGCATGTTAAAAACAATGCATATAGAAGGGCTGTATAACAATAGCCCCTGTTCTACCTTGCTTCACCCCTACACTTCTCCCTAGAGAAAACAACTTTTAAGTTTTTCAACTTTTTTTTTTTTTTCCTGGTGGTTACCTTCGTGTCTGTAAATGTGCATTGCTATCCATCGGGTTTTCTGGGAAAAAAAGATGGAGATTTGGGCAGGTGGCTCTCTGAGGAAGCACAGGAGCATCATCTGTAAGGGAGAGAGGGGCAGCATCTGGCAGAGAGAGGTGAACTGCGATGAGACATATCAGGAGCCTCAGCCAGAGCCATGGGGAGTTCTTAGCCTGGGATCACCTTCCCAAGTTATCCTGAGTTATCCTGAATTGAGCAAAGGGGCCATGAAAAATACAGGTATTATGAATTGAGGGGCTGCGAAGTTGGGTGAGGGGGCTGCGAAGTTGGGTGAGGCAGCTGCTTCTGCTGAAGGCAATGTCTTTGAAAGAGCTCAACTGTGAGTCCTCTGAGTACAAGAATCCCAGCAGTTGGGGGAGGGAGCAGCCCTGGAGTGATGACCTGGGTGCAGCCACAGCATCCATGCAGTTTAACACTTGCACTGCTTGGAGCCATTCGCTTCATGTGATAATTTCATCCTGTCCTTAAACAGCCTTTTCGGGATTCTGGTTATCTCTTTTTTTGGAGAAGCTTATAAAAGGAAAGTTTCCTAATGGGACAAATTACAGCCCCATTAGCACAGTTGCCCCAGGGCGCATCTGATAGGCAATGCTTGTTCCCTTTTCTGGATTGCTCCTAGCCTCAGTTAGCACCTCTGCTGACCTCAGGGAAGACATAGCTTGAGGAGTCTGAGCCCCTGGCCGTCGTGGTCTTTTCGGGTTGTGGCTGCTGCACTTGCCCATTTACCATCAAAATTGCACTAAAAAATGCCCCAGGGGAGCCCTTGGATTCTATCTGAGTTGTCCCTGCAGCCCTGCCTCCTCCTTATCATCAGATATGGAAAGATTCACTCTGCTGGGGGAGCAAATCATTTTTTTTTTTTTTTTGGCATGCTGGTCTCTTGGCAGTGGTGTAGCTTAAAGTTTAATGGGTGCTGTGGTGAAAGTGTTCTGTCTCTGGAAACCATGGCCCCTAGAAGCTCAGAGCCTAGAGTTAGCGGGACAGGAAGCACAGATTTCCTAAGTGGGTCACTGGAAGTAATGGTAAGCATGAATATCCCTACTTCTAACCTTTAGCTCTTGCACACATGCGTTTTACCTTTTGGAGACATAGTATCATATAACAGTCATTGGCTTAATATGTACACCACATCCTGAAGGACAGTGCCCAATCCTAGCAGGGTGTCATCTCTAAGTTGATACCTTAGCTATGTCTTGAAAAGACTATTCCATGGATCCATCAGGCTGGCAGCTTCTGGGTGTTGTGGTATATGATAGGGCCAGTGGATCCCATGGTCATATGTCCACGGACACATCCTTGTTTTAAAGTGGGTCCCATGGTCTGTTGTGATGCTATGGAAGATCTAATGCTGACGGATCAGACAGTATGTGAACTCTTGGATAGTAGGGCTAGCTCAGGCACTGCAGGTAAGAGAATCAAACTCATACCCAGAGTATGTCAAATGAATTGATTTGTCCTGTCAATGAATTGAGCCCTTTCCAGATTTTGGTTTGAAAAGGGTCCAATGTAATCCTCTTGTCAAGAAATGACTGGTTGGTTTCCTTCAACGATGATGCCAAATTGGAGGCTCTGCACTGAACTCTGTTTTGGCAGTGGCAGTAGCTGGATCAACCTTTGTGAGTGACAGCTCACCCTGTTGTGCCGAGGTCTAGCATTTACCATTGCCACCATAGCTACTACATTCATAACCCCACTGTTTGAGTCTTGAGATGGCCATGGACAGAGGCTAGTTGACTTTAACGGGCCAAGTCATTTTCTTCTACTTTGTGTTGTGGTGCTTCTCCCACGACGGATGTTCTCTGCTTGGTGTTCACATGTGACACAAAGATCTTCACATCTGGTAACGACTCCCGTGGGCCCATACACGTGCATCTTCCCCAGACTTTTCTGTCCCCAATCTTCTACTCTTACTTGTTCCAGGCCCCTAATCAATAAATCAAGCCACTCACCACTGCCCATGGATCTCTGTATATTCTAACATTAGGCCACTTCTCTTTCCACATAAAGTGAATAACCACGTACAATGGCAGAAGCTCTGCCCTTTGAGAGGATTTCCCTTTACTCCTCTTTCTTTTTCTTTTCTTTTCTTTTTTTTTTTTGAGACACAGTCTCACTCTGTCGCCCAGGCTGGAGTGCTGTGGCACCATCTCGGCTCACTGCAACCTCTGCTTCTGGTGCTCAAGCGATGCTTGTGTCTCAGCCTCCCGAGTAGCTGGGACTACAGTCACGTGCTAACACTCCCAGCTAATTTTTTGTATTTTAGTAGAGACAAGGTTTCACCATGTTGCCAAGGGTGGTCTTGAACTCCCAAGCTCAGGCAATCCACCCGCCTTGGCCTCCAAAAGTGCTGGGATTATAGGTGTGAGCCACCACACCCGGTTCCCTTTACTACTCTTTCAAGCTCGTTCCCTAGTGGGAATGCAGGACTGCAGGACTGCAGCATTCCATTTTTGGCTTGCATCCACATACTAAGATGACATCTGTCAAGGAAGCTCAGGCTTTATTCTCCTCTGTCAGCTGGACTTCAAGAATAGCCCATCAGGTAGCCACAGGTTGAACTGAAGGTGAATTATTAGTGTAGTAGCGGTGGATGATGGAGGCCATGTGCTCCTGCAGTTGCTGCTTGTGTCCTCTGGCACTATTCATGCCTCAGCCAGACTGCATTCCTTCCTTCTTACAGTGGATTGTTGCGCCCACCCAAACTTGTGACTTGGAGGGTCTGACACTGCTTAGCTTATAATGGGCAGATCAAGTTTAATGGTCAGCTGATGTCCCATTGTCAGTTACTCAACTTCTTCCTGTGTATCTACTCTAGTAGCATGCCAAGAGCTGCTTTTCAAATGGTATATAATTCACTGCTGTAGGTAGAATGGCTTTGTTCCTGAACCCTAGGTATCAACATTTTGATTCTCCTGCTGGAACTTGCCATAGACTCCAAAAGGCATCTTTTCCCACCACAGATACTTCTAACTGCCATCAGGGTTGCTGGTATGTGGCCCAAGCTGCAGAGCTGCTTGTACCACAGCATGGACTTGCTGCAGAGCACTTTACTGCTCTGGGCTCCACTCAAAGCTGTAAGAGTTTTATGTCACTTGGAAATGAAGAGGCCTATAAGGTATTCCCTTTCTTAACTGAGGGGATGGTGCAAGGTAAAATAACATAGCCTCTACTTGGAAGAAATGACCTGGATGGTCCAAGACCTTGCACTCTTAAAAAGGACACCTGGCCAGGCACGGTGGCTCATGCCTGTAATCCCAACACTTTGGGAGGCTGAGGTAGGTGGACCACCTGAGGTTGGGAGTTCAAGACCAGCCTGACCAACATGGAGACACCCCGTCTCTACTAAAAATACAAAAAAAATTAGCCAGGCATGGTGGTGCATGCCTGTAATCCCAGCTACCTGGGAGGCTGAGTCAGGAGAATTGCTTGAACCCGGAAGGTGGAGGTTGCGGTGAGCCGAGATAGTGCCATTGCACTCCAGCCTGGGTGACAAGAGCGAAACTCCATCTAAAAAAAAAAAACCAAAAAAACCAAAAACACACTTACGTGGCAGGCCCCAGAATCTTCATAGAGTTTATCTCCTATTCTCCAAGGCCTCCAAATACTCGCAATTTCTTGCTCATTTGATGTGATTAACACAATGTCATTGATATAGCGGACCAATGTGATGTTCTGCAGAACGTCCAGATTGTCCAGGTCCCTTCAGACTATGTTATGATAGAGAGCTGGCAAGTTGACACAGCCCCAGGCAAGACCAGGAAAGTATATTGTCTCTTGGCTATGAGTGAATGCTCTGATTAAAAATATTACATTTGGCATAACTGCTGCAGTTGGAGCTACTACTTGTTTAAATTTGCAGTAGTCCACTCTCATCCACAATGATTCCTCAATTTTTGCAAAGGCCAAATCAGTGAATTAAATAGGGTGTATAATGGGACCACAATTCTTTAAGTCTTTGAAAATGACACTAATCTCTACCATTCTCTCTAGGATGCAATATTATTTTTTATTTACTGTCTTGGCAGGGAGTCATGGAAAGTTACAAGGGCTTCCACTGGCTTTTCCTAAAGCAATAGCTCTTATTTACACGTTAAGGAGCCAAGGTGAGGGTTCTGCCAACTGCTATATCCATTATCATACTTTTGGGAACTGGGTAGATGGTGACTGGGTGGGTCAGTGAGATGGACCTGGGCAAGGACCCCATTTACCACCTGACTCTTATGTGCCTCTCCTCTAACAGCCATAAACAGCACTTTGGGACCCTGGTTATAATCATCAACTTGGGCCCTGTATCCAACAGCCCTTGAAAGGTCCAGGTATTCCCCTTTCCACGAATAAATGAGTCCTTGTGGGGAAGGACTGTGGGAATCACTAATTTATATACTTGCCATGGTGTTGTAATGTCCTTTCTTATGGGGACTTGGCCTTTCTTTCAGTTGATTGGTTCTGGGTATGAGAATCGGCTAAGATCTGGAAACTCAGAAGGGAATTATGGCTTTCCATTAGTAAGCTCAACTTGGCCATCTGTTCATTCATTCTTGGATCAATTTTGGGGAAATAAAAATACACACACATATTGTCAGATGTGTATGGGACATACTGACACTAAAAAATTCTTTGTTATTTATCTGAAATTTAAATTTAATTGGGCAGCCTATATTTTTATTTGCTAAATCTGGCAAACTCACCTTAGGAAAAACATATTCCATCAGTCATTGCCATAGATCTCTGTGAATCAGGCCTCCTGACTGGCAGTTTTGACCTTATAGCCACCTTGCTTTGGAAGATAAATGCCGCCAGCTGGCCTCTGCTTCTCCGGGACCTTCTCATTCTCATTACTACCTAGGAACCAGGTCTATGATACCATTAGCCCAGGCCTACAGAAAATGACTAATATTAACTGTCTCAATAATGCTGGTGCAACAGTTGAACTCATGGACTTAGAGAGTAGAAAGATGGTTAACAGAGGCTGGGAAGGGTAGTGAAAGACTGGGGTGGGGATGGTTAACTGGTTAAAAAAAAATTAGAATGCATAAGACCTACTGTTTGATAGCACAACTGGGTGACTATAGTCAATAATAACTTAACTGTACATTTTTAAGTAACTTAAAGAGGCCAGGCACAGTGGCTTACGCCTGTAATCCCAGCACTTTGGGAGGCCGAGGTGGGTGGATCACCTGAGGTCAGGAGTTCAAGACCAGCCTGGCCAACATGGCGAAACCCTGTCTTACTAAAAATACAAAAATTAGCCAGGCATGGCAGTGGGCACCTGTAATCCCAGCTACTCAGGAGGCTGAGGCAGGAGAATCGCTTGAGCCCGGGTGGCAGAAATTGCGGTGAGCTGAGAGCGCGCCATTGTACTCCAGCCTGGGCAACTGAGCAAGACTCTGTCTCAAAAAACAGAACAAAACAGAACAAAACAACCAAAAACCAAAAAATGAAAATGTAAAGAGTGTAATTGAACTGCTTGCAACTCATGGATAAATGCTTGAGGGAATGGATACCCCATTCTTTATGCTGTGTTTATTTCACACTGCATGCCTTTATCAAAACATCTCATGTGCCCCATAAACATATACACTTACTATGTGCCCACAAAAATTTAAAAAAAAAACTTAAAAAAAATAATGCTGGTGCTCATTTATTAGAATGTGTTGGCAAATCCTCTAGGCCCCCCGAGGGATAGAGTCAACTGGTGGGTTTTCTGGTATTTGAGAGTAGATTCATTCTAGCATGCTCACTCTCTGATCCTTTTTGGTCCTTTCTCCCTAGTCTGCCACAGCAGTTCAGACACTCTACTTCATTTAATGTGGGCCACCACTCTTACCAAAATTTCAAGAGCCTTCCTAGCAGCAGATTAAATCAGTCTCCTAGGGCCCATACCAGGTATTAAATCTCGTGTCATGAGAGTGCCCCCACATTGACAAAGCCTCTTCCATTCAGCTTTACATTCCACCCCACTTGATCCACATGCCTCCCACAGGCAAATGCCCCAGGTCTTGCCAGTCCACATCAGTGGGGTCCTGCAGCGGCCTTGGCATATCAATCTCTCTCTTCTCTCAGCAGCCCCAGCACTTCCTCAGTTGGGTCATCTTGAGATTTGACTGTAGTGATTGATCTGATGGCCAGGAGGGGAGGTGAGGGCAGATTCTGAGATGGGCTAATGATGTCTTGTAAGGTACCTTCTTATTTGAAGCCTAGGCCCAGTGGGTTCAGGGGGAACTGGAAGTTCAGGGGTCTCAATCACATTTGCTCAGCCTCAGGGTCCCATATCTTCCTTATCATGGCCCTGATTTTGGCATAAGCAACTTACCTAGGCTAAGAATTCCTCCTCTGAAATTCTTCCAGTTTTACAGAGGGTGCCCTCTAGCTGCAGGAGATGAGGTGCTCTTTAAATGCTGCTAAGGAAGCCAGCCTCTGACTCACTTTGTTTTAAATCGGTGATTAATTGATATGAGCTTGTCATTTTCTTTCTTTAACATATCAGTGGTTCTAAGCAAGAGCCACCCAATTTCACAATCTTCATAGTTACTATTTACCTGAACTTCTCACATGCCAGGAGCATTCGTAAGCCAGTGTATTCCTTCCACCTTAATCTTGGCCCAGGTCATCACAGGGGCTGTAGCTCCTCCTACCATTGATGATGGGGTCTTCATTGCCATCTGTTATCCAACTCCAGAATCCCATCTTTAAAATCTACTTTTTAGGACCACTTCTAGAACCAACTAGTTTAGGATTGATCCCCCAAGAGCAGAGCTTGAGATTGCAATTCTTGTTCAAGTGATTTGGTGAGGGAGTGCCTTCAGATGAGTTCTGTAAGGGAGTAAGGATGGCACTGGATGGCACATTAGAAGAGGAGAAAAAGCTAGTTCAAAATGTGGGTTCAGCTGAGGTCTATCCTTAATCTGATCTCCAGGGGAGCTCTAGAGCAAGAATGCCCCCGCGGAGTTGTCCCGTCTAGAGGCAGGAGACTGAACTTCTGTATTCCCCTATCTGTCAGTCATTGGCTGCAGGATGCCAGGTAAGGCAGCTTCCTGGAGGTGGAGGGCAATTCTCAGGCGAAGTGTGCTGCTGTGAAGCTATTAGCAGTCAATACTCACAGAAGCCAGGGGATGGGTGCACTGAGCAGGTGAAGGGGATGCGACAGGGCACCAGCAACACCTGCTACAGCATGCATCTCTAAACACTAATTTCCATTTCCTTTTAATGAGTTTTATGTAAATGAAATCACTCATATCACTCATACTTTGTGTTTGGTGTCTTTTGGTTAACATTGGGTTTCTGAAAATCTTATATGTTGTTGCTTGGGCTGCGTTCCGCAAATTTTAATATGTTGTATTTTACTTATTCAGTTAAAATACATTCTAATTTCCATTGATTTATCTTTGACTCATGGGGTATTTTGAAGTGTATTGCTGGAATTGGCATTAAGAATAGACATAATTCAATAAAACAGAGTAGAGAGCCCAGAAAAAGACCCTAACATATATAAACAATTGATTTTCAAGGAAAGTAAACAACGGGAGAAATGATAGTCTTTTCAACAAATGGTCTAGGAAAAACTAGATAGAAATCCATAAGGAAAATAATGAATTTCAATCCTTACCTCAAACTATGCAAAAAAAAAAAAAAAAAAAAAAAAAGAGAGAGAGAGAACTTGAAATAAGGACCTAAATGTAAAAGCTAAAACTATAAAACTTGTGGAAGAAAACATAGGATAATATCACTATAGCTTTGGAGTAGGCAAACATATTTTAGGATACAAAAATAGTAATTTTTAATAAATAATAAAAGGTAAAAAAGAGTAAGTTAGACCTTGTCAAAATTAAAAACTTTCCTGCTTTTTGAAAGACTCTATTAAAATGAAGAGGTAAGTCACAGACTAGGAGAAATAATTCACAATATGTGTATCTGACAGGGGACTTGTATTCAAAATATATAAGTAACTCTTACAACTTAGTAAGAAGGCAACCCAATAAAAAATTGGGCAAAGGATATAAATAGGCACTTCATAAAAGAAGACATACAAATAGCCAAGAAGCACATGAAAATATTCTCAACATCATTAGTTGTCAGGGAAATGCAAATTCAAATCACAATGAGATACTACTATACACATTCTAAAATGGCTAAAATTAGGATGACTGACAATAGTAAGTGTTGAAGAGGATGTGGAACAATTGGAACTTTTTTACTTTGCTGGTGGGAGTGTGGAATGGTACAACCACTTGAAATAACAATGGAAAAATGGTTGTCAGTTTTGTTTATGAAGTTAATATACTTTTATGTTACGACTCAGCAATACCATACCCAGGTTAATGAGATAAACGAAAACATGTATCCACAAAAAGACATGTATATGATGATCACAGCAGTGTTTTAAAAAAATAATAATGGCAAAAACCTGGAAACAGCCCAAATGTTCAACAAGAGATGAATGAATAAATAAATTGCAGTACATTCAGAGCATACTACTAAAGCAATAAAAAGGAGCAAACTACTGATGTAGCAAACTACATCTCAAAAACTTTATTTTAAGCAAAGAATCCAGACACAAAAGTGTATTGCTGTATGGTTTCTTTTATATGAAATTCTAAAACAGTAAAGTGTATTTATTATTATTTTTTAATTTATTTTCTTTTTTGTAGAGACAGGATCTCACCAGGTTACCCAGGCTTTTTTGGACTCCTGGACTCAAATGATCCTCTTGCCTCGGCCTCCCAACATGCTGAGATTACATGTGTGAGCCACTATGCCTGGCTTAGAACAGTAATATTTAATTTACAGTGACAGAAAGAAAATTATTGGCTGTTTGGGGCTGGAGGTAGGTGGAAGATTGATTGCAAAGAGCCTTGAGGGAACCTTTAGGGGTGACAGGAATGTTTTGTATCTTAACTGGGGTGGTGGTACACGAGTGCATACATTTGTCAAAATTCTTGAACTGTATATTTAAAAGGGTGCATTTTATGGTATGTAAATCAAGCCTCAAAAAAAGAATGTACAAATAGACACCTATACACACATGGGAGAAAGACTACAGAACAATGTCAAAGTAATAGATCATAGAGTAAAAGGGGAGGGGCAAGGATTGGTTGGTTGTTTTTTCATTCTAAGCCTTCAGCAAATTGATTTTTTTTTTTTTTCTAAGACAGGGTCTTGCTCTGTCGCCCAGGCTGGAGTAGAGTGACGCGGTCGAGGCTCATTCCTGAGCCTCCCAGGTAGCTGGGACTACAGGCACGCACCATGCCCAGCTAATTCTTGTAATGTTATATAGAGTCTTGCTATGTTGCCCAGGCTGGTCTCAAACGCCTGAGCTCAAGCAATCCACCGGCCTCAGCCGCCCAAAGTGCTGGGATTACAGGCATGAGCCACTGTGCCCGGCCTAGCAAACTGATTTTTTAAAACAATGTCCTTATACTTCTTCACTAAAAAAAATTAGGCATAAATGAGAGGTAAAGAGGTAGAGTCAGAATGTAGACATCTCTTTTGAGAAGTTTTTCAGTGAAAGAGAGCAGAGAATGGGGCTTTGGTTGGAGGGGATGTGATTTCATGGGAATTCTTTTTTTAATGATAGATACATAAAACTAGGCAAGAACTCAATATGCTTATATCTTTTATACAACTATAGAACCAAAAGGAATTGACAAGTTAAATCTAAAAAAATTCAAAACCAATTCAATTTAATCATACAAAAAAGACAGAATTGCACAGTATAATCTTTACCATGTACAATGCAAATGTATATTTATGAAAGTGACTGGAAAAAACTACAGCAAAATGCCTACAAAGATGGTACATGAATATAAATAGAACAATTTAAATTTTCTTCGTATACTTTTCTACGTTTGAAATTTTCTGTAATGAATATTTATTACTTATATAACTAAAGATAAACATTTAAAAAAGAAAAGAATAATTGATGCTAATTTTCAAATAGGTATGAATCTAATGTGAAATATAGATATATTTTTGAAACAGTCTCACTCTGCCACTCAAGCTGGGGTGCAGTGGCAAGAACATGGCTCACTGCAGCCTCATCCTTCTGAGCTCAAATGATCCTCCTGCCTCAGCTTCCCAAGTAGGTAGGACCACAGGTGTGTGCTACAACACCGAGCTATTTTTATTTTTATTTTTTGTAAAGATGAAGTCTCCCTATGTGGTCAAGGCTGGTCTTGAACTCCTGGGCTCAAGCGATCCTCCTGCCTTGGCCTCCCAAAGTGCTGGGATTACAGGAATGAGCCACTGCACCCTGCCTAACGTGCATGTATTTTTGATATCAGCATGTGGACATACCCATCCTGCTTTTCCTAGCGCTCACGTGTCTTACTTATTTATGCATTTATTTGTTAATTTTTGCTTCTTCTGACTCAGTCCTCATATCATTCATGCTTCTGTTCCTAGGTCCCCTCCTTGGCTTGAAGTCCTTCCCTTTCCGGCACCATCCAGTTCTTAATTAGTTGAGATGGCACAGCCCAGAACAACAACTGGCCACCTTAGTGTAATGTAGTCTTCTCAACTCCTAAGACACACGCCCCTTCCTATAACAACTATTTTGTAACATCCCCTTTACTACGCTGAAAGGAAATCACAGAAAAGAAAGCGAATCTCCACACACAATTTTCCCTCAAATCAATACAATGCTCCTTGTAAAGAAGAAATACAAGAAGTGTATGATGAAATAAATCCTTTGGCATGATTCCATGAGAAGACAGAATAAGAGTCAGATTCTTGCCTGTGTATGTATTAGCCATGTAAATGCTCAGCTTCAAATGTATGCTATTGGGTGGTGCCGGTGACTCAAATACCACGGGTGCTTTAGTGATGTAATTTTCAAAAGCAGTAAACAACGATTGATAAAGCTCTGAACAAAACAATCTTCCTTTAAATTATATGGTAGTTGCATGCCTGGAAAATTCAACATATATTAAAACCATGCAAAACATATTGTGTAAAATGGAGCTACGGTCTAGGATCAGATATTACACATTTAGGTTTTCCAGCTTCATTAATGTCCCATGTGCCATTTGAAAGTCGTGTGGGATGTAGGACAATTCTTTGTTTTGCTGAACTGTTCTCATGCATTGCAGGATGCCAGCATTTCTAGCCCCCAACCACTAAATGCCTCTAGCATCTCACAAAAACAGTCCCACACATTTCCAAAACATCTTCCGGGGAACCGTGCCATCTCAGTTAAGAATCACTGTTTAGAGCCTTCCTCCGACCTCGGTTTGCAGAACCTAGTATCGCGATCCCTCCCAAAATGAACAGAAGGAGGCAGCAACTGACTGGAAAATCAGTATTATGGACACGAATATACTTGGCATGAGGTGTCCTACTTCTCTGAACTTTGCCCTCACTCAACCTCCACCACGAGCCTCCGGACCAGCTTGAAGCCTGCTCTGATTTCTGGCACTCTACTTAATCATGTTCTCCTCTCTGGCCTCCCAAATGATTCCTATCTCCTCTCAGGTTCTAGCAAACTTGCAGTCCTCGAGCAGTGGCCCCATTTTTTTTTTCAGGATTGTTATTTTTTTAAAAATTGTGGTGAAATGCAAATAACAAAATTTATCATCTTAACCATTTTAAGTATACAGTTGAGTAGTGTTAAGTCCATTCACAATTTTGTGCAATCAATATCCAGGATTTTTTTTATCTTGCAAAACTGAAACTGTATACCGATTAAACATTCCCCTATCCCCTCTGATATAGTTTGGATGTGTGTCCCTGCCCAAATCCTACGTTGAATTGTAATCCCCAATGTTGGAGGTGGGTCATGGATCATGGGGGTGGATTTCTCATGAATGGTTTCACACCATTTTCTTGGTGCTGTCCTCGTGATAGTGAGTGAGTTCTCTCAAGATCTGGCTGTTTAAAAGGGTGGCACCTCAGCCAGGCGCGGTGTTTCACACCTGTAATCCCAGCACTGTGGGAGGCCGAGGTGGGCAGATCACCTGAAGTTGAGTTTGAGACCAGCCTGGCCCACATGGTGAAACCCCATCTCTACTAAAAATACAAAAATTAGCGGGCATGGTGGTGCATGCCTGTAATCCCAGCTACTCGGGAGGCTGAGGCATGAGAATTGCTTGAACCCAGGAGGCGGAGGTTGCAGTGAGCCGAGATTGTGCCATTGCACTCCAGCCTGGGTGACAGCGAGACTCTGTCTCAAAAAAAAAAAAAAAAAAAAAAAGTGTGGCACCTCGCTGGCTCTCTCTTTCTCCTGCTCTGGCCATATGATGTGCCCGCTTGCCCTTTGTCTTCTACCATGATTGTAAGTTTCCTGAGGCCTCTCCAGAAGCCAAGCAGATGCCAGCATCATGCTTCCTGTGCAGCTTGCAGAACCATGAGCCAATTAAACCTCTTTTCTTAATAAATTACCCAGTCTCAGGTATTTCTTTGTAGCTATTTGAGAATGGACAAATACACCCACAAAGCTGCAAGAAACATCTGTGTACATATCTCTTCAGCAACTATAGCTGCAGGATAAGCTACTAGAAGAGAGATTGCTGAACCAAAGGATACATGTACTTAAAATTTAGACAGATATTTGTAAATTACCCTTCCAAAAAGTCATACCAATTTATATTCACACAGGGTATAAATGTTACTCTTTCATTACATCTTTGTTAACCCTGGGAATTTTTTTCTTTCTTAAAAAGTAGTTTGTATTTTAATCTAAATAACATAACAGTCTAATAGTATTGTAAAGTTTATAATGAAAACCAACAATCTCCTGCCTGCCTCCTCCACCCCTTAACCATCTGGAGTTGATTTTGTGTACAATGTGAACTAGAGATTCAATTTCATTTTTTCCCCTATGGCATTTTTCCAAGCTCCAAATTTGGACATATTTTCCTTTCCCCACTGATCTGCTATGCCACCTCCATCATATACCAAATTTTTATATGCATAACATATGCATAAAGGCCTGACTTATAGGCTATATATTGTCTCATCAGTTAATTTTTCTATCCTTACATCAATACCACATCATCTTAACTATTATAGATTTACAATACATCCTGGCATAGAGTCAGTTCCCTGCCCTGCTCTTCCTTTTTCTGGCTATTCTTGGCTTTTTACTTCTCCATATAAATTTTAGAATCTTAAGTTTCATGAAAAACCCTGCTGTGATTCTGATAGGAAAAGAAACAAATTTATAGATCAATTTGGGGGGAATTTATATCTTTATGATATTATTATATTGTTTAAAATACATGAACATGACATAGCTCTCTGTTATTATTGCTATTTTTTTGAGACAAGGTCTCACTCTGTTGCCCAGGCTGGAGTGCAGTGGCACGATCTCAGCTCACTGCAGCCTCAACCTCTGGGGCTTAAGCGATCCTCCCACTTCGGCCTCCAAAGTGGCTAACACTGCAGGTGCACTCCACCATGCCCAGCTAATTTTTTGTATTTTTTGAAGAGGAGAAGTTTCATTATGTTGCCTAGGCTGGTCTGAAACTCCCAGGAGCAAGTGATCCGCCCGCCTTGGCCTCCCAAAGTGTTGGGATTACAGATGTGAGCCACCATGCCTGGTCTATGAAGGTATTTTTAAATGTCACTAAAGTTTTATAATTTCCGTTGTGTAGGTCATACTTTTTTTTTATTAGATTTGTTCTTAGGTATGAGATATACTCTGATACTATAGTATGTAGTATCTTTTTAAAAGTTATGTATTTTTGGCTGGGTGCGGTGCCTGACGCCTGTAATCCCAACACTTTGGGAGGCTGATGCAGGCGGATCACTTGAGGTCAGGAGTTCAAGACCAGCCTGGCCAACATGGGGAAACCCCATCTCTACTAAAAATACAAAAAACCGGGTGTGGTGGCTTACACCTGTAATCCCAGTTACTCAGGAGGCTGAGGCAAGAGAATCACTTGAACCCAGGAGGTGGAGGTTGCAGTGAGCCGAGATTGCACCACTGCACTCCAGCCTTGGCCGGCACAGGGAGACTCCGTTTAAAAAAAAAAAAAGTTATTTTTTTGTTGTTGATTGTTGTTGCCTTATGGAAATGTTTTTAAATATTATGTATATTGGTGTAATATTCAGTTTCATTGCTAAATTCTATTATTCTTAAACATTTGTCTATATTCTTTTGCTTTGTCAATGTAAAAAATCATGTCATCTGCAAACAATTACAGCTTTATTTTCTCTTTTTTTGTTCTGTAAGCTTCTAATTTGTTTTTCTTGTACTGTACCAGATGGGCCTCCAATATAACACTGAATAGCAGCGAAGATACTGGGCATTCTTCTTTAATTATTGAATTATATTGAATATTGGGAATGATCTAATATGTCTCTACTTAGAACAATATTTGCTGTGGGGGTTTAATAGTTACCCTTTATCAGGCTAAGGAATTCCCTTCTAATACTGATTTATAAAGAGCTTTTATCCTGAATAGGCATGAGATTTTATCCAATACTTTTTCCGGTTCTATAGACAGGTTCCTATGATTTTTCTCTTTTAAGCTGTTTATATGATGAATTACATTTATAGATTTCCTGATATTAAACCATTGTTATATAACTGAAATAAGTCCTACTTGGTAGTGGTGTGTTATCTTTTTAAAATTTTTACCCACTTGAAGTCAATTTGCTAATATTTTGTTTAGAATTGTTGTCTTTATTTTCATGAGAGAAATTGGCTTGGAATTTTTTTCTTAAGTGTCCTTATCTTATTTTCTTTTGTATCAGTGTTATACTGGCCTCAATAAATGAGTTGAGGAACATTTTATTTCTTCTATTTTCTGGAAGAATTTAGTTTTTTTCTGGCATTCTATTGTATTTATCACTCATTCACTTGTTTTTCAGCTTCCAAATTTTTATTGCATTTCTTGTCTGCTATTATCCTTATATTGTCCTTGTCTTTTATGGGTATATGCCATTTGAGTGGGCTTTCTAGGAGATAAAAAGAACGAAATACATGTGTGTTCACTTTGTCATGTTTAACCTAAAATCTGGTATTTCTGTTTGCTTTCCCATTAATTAATTTATCTATAAAGTTTGACTAATGGAGAGTTGATTGAATAAAGAGTAGATTGAAGTCTGAGCCTGAGTATTTAATTTTAAATTGTTCATTTTAATGGAAAAACTAAGAAGCCTATACAATCATACTTCAGAGATATTGCAGGTTCAGTTCCAAACCACCACAATAAAGTGAGTACTGCAATAAAGTGAGTCACACAAATTCTTTGGTTTCCCAGTGCCTATAAAAGTTATGTTTACTCTATACTGTAGTCTTCTAAATGTGTAATAGCATTATGTCTAAAAAACAATGTGCATACCTTAATTAAAAATACTTTTTTGCTTTAAAATGCTATTGATCCACTGGGCATGGTGCCTCACACCTCTAATCCTAGCACTTTGGGAGGCCGAGGCAGGTGGATTGCTTGAGCTCAGGAATTCAAGACCAGCCGGGGCAACAGGGCGAAACCCTATCTCTACAAAAAATACAAAAATTAGCTGGGGTGGTGGTGCATGTCTCCTGTAGTCCCAGGCTGAGGATTACAGTTTGGTGGCTGAGGCAGGAGAATCACTTGAACCTGTAGGGTGGAGGCTGCAGTCAGCTGAGATTGCACCACCACACTCCAGCCTGGGCGACAGAGTGAGACCCTGTCAAAAAAAAAAAAAAAAAGCTATTAATCATCTGAGCTTTCAGCAAGTCATAATCTTTTTTGCTGGTGGTGGGTCTTGCCTCCATGTTGATGGCTGCTGACTGATCAGGATGGTGGTTGCTGAAGGTTGGGGCGGCTGAGGCAAATTTTTTAAAAAAAAACAATGAAGTTTGCTGTATGGATTGACCCTTCCTTTCATGAAAGATTTATCTGTAACATTCAATGCTGTTTGATAGCATTTAACCGACAGTAGAGTTTCTTTCAAAATTGGAGTCAATCCTCCAAACCCTGTCACTGCTTTACCAATTATGTTTATCTAATATTCTAAATCCTCTGTTGTCATTTCAACAATGTTCATAACATCTTCACTAGGACTAGATTCCATTGTAAGAAACCACTTTCTTTGCTTACCCATATGAAGCAACTCCTCATCCATTAAAGTTTTAACATGAGATTGCAGCAACTCAGTAATATCTTCAGTCTCTACTTCTAATTCCAGTTCTCTTGCTGTTTCCACCACATCTGTAGTTACTTCCTTCACTGAAGTCTTGAACCCCTCAAAGTCATCCATGAGGGTTGGGATCAACCTCTTCCGAACTCCTGCTAAAGTTAATATTTTGACCTTCTCTCATGAATCATGAATGTTCTTAAATGGCATCTAGAATGGTGAATCCTTGGCAGAAGTTTTTCAGTTTCCTTTTCCCAGATCCATCCCACTATCTATGATTGTTATAGCCTTAAAAAATGTAGTTCTTAAATAATAAGACTTGAAAGTCAGAATTACTCTTTGATCCATAGGCTGCAGAATAGATGTTGTGTTGGTAGGCATGAAAACAGCAGTAATTTCTCTTTGTACATTTCCATCAGAGCTCTTTGGTGACAAGGTGCATTGTCAATGAGCAATAATATTTTAAAAAATAATCTTTTTTAGGGGGGCAGTAAGTCTCAACAGTGGGCTTAAAATATTCAGTAAACCGGCTGGGTGCGGTGGTTCATGCCTGTAATCCCAGCACTTTGGGAGGCCGAGGCGGGCGGATCACAAGGTCAGGAGATCTAGACCATCCTGGCTAACATGGTGAAACCCCATCTCTACTAAAAATACAAAAAATTAGCCAGGTGTGGTGGCAGGTGCCTGTAGTCCCAGCTACTCGGGAGGCTGAGGCAGGAGAATGGTGTGAACCCGGGAGGCGGAGCTTGCAGTGAGCCAAGATCACACCACTGCACTCCAGCTTGGGCGACAGAGCAAGACTCTGTCTCAAAAAAAGAAAAAGACAAAACAAAACAAAACAAAAAAACAAAAAACCATGCTGGAAACAGATGTGCTGTCATCCAGGCTTTGTTGTTCCATTTATAGAGCTCAGGCAGAGTAGATTTAACATCATTCTTAAGGGCCCTAGGATTTTTAGAATGGTAAATGATAAATTGGCTTCATAAAGTCACCAGCTGCATTAGCCACTAACAAGAGACTCAGCCTGTCTTTGAAGCTTTGAAGCCAGGCATTGACTTCTCCTCTAGAGCTATGAAAGTCTTAGATGACATCTTCTTCCAGCGTAAGGCTGTTTTGTCTACATTTAATTTTTTTTTAACTTAAAAAGATTTGATGGCTGGGCATGGTGGCTCATGCCTGTAATCCCAGCACTTTGGGAGGCCGAGGCATACGGGTCACCCGAGGTCAGGAGTTCGAGACCAGCCTGACCAACATGGTGAAACTCTGTCTCTACTAAAAATACAAAAAAAAAAAAAAAATTAGCTGGGCATGGTGGTGCATGCCTGTAATCTCAGCTACTTGGGAGGCTGAGGCAGGAGAATTGCTTGAACCTGGGAGGTGGAGGTTGCAGTGAGCCAAGATTGTGCCACTGCACTCCAGTCTGGATGACAGAATGAGACTCTGTCTCAAAAAAAAAAAAATTGAGAAAGGATCTTGCTTTCTTGCCCATACTGGAGTGCGGTGGCACAATCATAGCTGGCTGCATCCTCAAACTCCTGTACTCAAGTGATCCTCCCATCCCAGCCTTCTGAGTAGCTGGGACTAGAGATGTGCACCACCATGCCCAGTTTTCTTTCTTGTTTTTTTTTGTTTTTGTTTTTGTTTTAAGATGGGATCTCACTCTGTTGCCCAGGCTGGAGTACAGTGGCACAATCATAGCTCACTGCAGCCTCCTGGGACTCCTGGGTTCAAGCCATTCTCCTGCCTCAGCCTCTCGAGTAGCTGGGACTACAGGTGTATGCCACCATGCCCAGCTAATTTTTTATTTTTTTGTAGAGATGGGGTGTCACTGTGTTTCCCAGGCTGTTCTCGAACTCCTGGCCTTAAGTGATCCTCCCGCTTCAGCCTCCCAAAGTGCTGGGATTACAAGTGTGAACCCCTGCACCTGACTACATTGAAAATCTGTTGTTTAGTGTAGCCACCTTCATCAATTACCTTACTTAGATCTACTGAATAACTTGCTGCAGCTTCTACATCAGCACTTGTTGGTCTACCTTGTACTTTTATGTTATAGAGATGGCTTCTTTCCTTAAACCTCATGAACCAACCTCTGCTAGCTGCAAACTTTTCTTCTGCAGCTTCCTCACCTCTCTCAGGCTTCATAGAATTGAACAGAGTCAGGGCCCTGCCCTGGATTAGGCTTTGACTTAAGGAAAGGTTGTGGTTGGTTTGATCTTCTATCCAGACCACTCAAACTTTCTCCATATCAGCAACAAAGCTGTTTTGCTTTCTTATCATTCATGTATTCGAGTAGCACTTTCAATTTCTTTTAAAAACTTTTCCTTTGCATTCACAACTTGGCTAGCTGTTTGGTGCGAGAGGCCGAGCTTTCTGCCTATCTCTGCTTTCCATATGCCTTCCTCACTAAGCTTACTCATGTCTAGTTTTTGATTTAAAGTGAGAGACATGCGACTGCCTTTCACTTGAACACTTAGAGGCCATTGTAGGGTTCACCTGGCCTGATTTCAATATTGCTGTGTCTCAGGGAATAGGGAGGCCTGAGAATAGAGAGAGAGATGGGGGACTGGCTGGTCTGTGGAGCAGTCAGAACACGCACAACATTTTCTGATTAAGTTTGCCATCATGTATGGGCATGGTTTGTTGTGCCCCAAAACATCTACTACTGTAACACCGAAGATCACGATCAAAGGTCACCACGACATATAGAATAATAATAAACAAGCTTGAAATGTTGTGAGAATTACTAAAACATGACACAGAGACACAAAGTGAGCACATGCTGTTGGAAAATGATTTGCTCTACATGGGGTTGTCACAAACCTTCAATTTGTAAAAAACACAATACCTGCAAAGTGCAATAAAGTGAAGTGCAATAAAATGAGGTCTGCCTATACAGCATAAAGCAGTAGATGAGTCACAAAAATAATTTAACACCCTCGTAGCAGTGTATCCTTAATGCCCAGATTGTAGGTTCAAACACCATTTCCCACTAAAAGAAATCAGGGATCCTTGAAGAATTGCGGATGATTTTAAGTCTATGGCAAGAAGTGTTCAAGATGAGCCTGGAACATCTCGTCATATGGGTCAAAAGGACTGTCACATGAGGAATTACCTTGGTGCAATGATAACCTTCTAACATATTACATAACAAGCTATCCCAGAGGTCACAGAACAGAATGGCTCACAGACAAAATTACGATCCTGAATCACTTGGTTTATCAACTCAATTAAAATGTTTAGTAAGAAGCAATGGAAAAGAGATGAGGAAGGTTAACACCCTTAGCACAGGGTGGAAGAAGTACCCTATGTGAGTTCTGTGTTATGTAACGCTCATATGCCGAATCTTTCTATTGCATCAGCCTTCCCCACCGATGGTTACAAGGACCTGAGTTGTGGATGAGCAAGAGGACTCAGCAAATTGACTGGGCCTGGAGCCCAAACACTCTTGCTCTATTGTAGGAAGGCAAGGGCAAGAATCCTTGGCTACAGCTGTAGCTTGCCGATTACCCTGTTGGGCAGCTATGGGTTTTATCTGCATATCTCAGGCAGAGGATGCAGATTGCCAGAATGGGTGTCACAACGGGATGGCTGGTTTAAATTTTTGTGAATATTCAGTGCCTCATAAATATTTGGTGTTTCCTGTGTCTTGTGTCTACTTGGTCTGTCCATCCCTTCTTATATCAGCATAAATCTGCTCTACTTACCAAGGTCTAACACGTCTTACAAGCTACTTGCTTCTACACTTAATTTCATCTAGTCTCCATATTTGTTTCCTTCTCTTACTTTCTATAGCAGACTTTAACATTCATAAAGAATGCAGCAAACACACCTTGCAAGGATGCACTTGAAGCTGGAAGAGCCTCTTCCAACTTGAAGAGGCTCCCGATGGCCAAAGATGAGAAAATTTGAGAATCAATAAGAATAATAATGATGTTGTTTGAAACACATCAAATATATTTAATGCTATGTTTAGCTTTCAATTTAAAGTGAGAGGTGTGTTAACTACCTTTCACTTGAACACTTAGAGGCCATTGTAGGGTTTAATTGGCCTAATTTCAATATCATGTGTCTCAGGGAATTGGGAGGCCTGTGAAGAGAGACTGGGGAATGGCTGGTCATTATGTCACAATGTCATTATGTGTAATAACACTAAAAACAAAAAACTCTCATTGCTAATCATTGGAAGATGCTAGTGAACCAATGCATTGTGCTCAAAATCGATCTTTTCTTTTCTTTTTTTTTTTCTTTTGAGACGGAGTCTAGCTCTGTCGCCCAGGCTGGAGTGCAGTGGCTCGGTCTCGACTCACTGTAAGCTCCGCCTCCTGGGTTCACGCCATTCTCCTGCCTCAGCCTCCTGAGTAGCTGGGACTACAGGCGCCCGCCACCACGCCCGGCTAATTTTTTGTATTTTTAGTAGCAACGGGGTTTCACCATGTTAGCCACGATGGTCTAGATCTCCTGATCTCGTGATCTGCCCTCTTCGGCCTCCCAAAGTGCTGGGATTACAGGCGTGAGCCACCATGCCCGGCCTCAAAATCGATCTTTTCTATATGAACCATCCCAGTGAGTAGTCACTTTGTAGATGAGGGAGTTTCTGTTTCTAGAAATAGTCTAGCTAATAAATAAAGTAGGGATGATATGATTAGAAGATCATCACTTTGCACACCAAATGAATGAATGGATCTGGGCACTGAGCATCAAAGGCTACTGACATCAAACACACAAAGGAGACAACCACATACTATATTCCTCCTGGAGGAAGACCACAACACTGCCTGTGAGGTAGTCTTGCTTTAAAAAAGTCAGATTTCAATCTGATTGAGCCTCAGTTCAGTCCACATCAATAGCTTTCAAGGAGTGGTCAGCATCAAGCACACAGGAAGTTGCTGGAAATGCAAACTTTTGGGACTTTCCCAGACCAGAATCAGAAACTCTGAGGGTGGGGCCCAGCAACCTGTTGCGACAAATCATTCAGGTGATTCTGATGCTCACTAAAAATGGAAAACTACTGCTTTAAATACAATACCAGTCTATAGGAAATACAGAGGAACATATTAAACAACACCTTCGTGATGCAGGCAAAAAAAAAAAAAAATACTGTGGAAAACCATGAGACAAATGACTCAATTTCTTTAAATGTAAATTGCAAGGAAACAAAAAATAATAAGGAATAATAATAAAAGATAATAAGGAACCCATAGATTAAGAGAGATCTAGGAAACATAAAGACCAATTGCAAATTTTAGACCTTATTTGGACCTTCATTCAAATAAACAAATTGTAAAAACATGTTATAACATTTATGAGATAACTGGAAATTGTAACACTGGTTATTTGACATTTAGGAAATGCTAATTCTCTTAGAATATGATAATGGAGACTGGATATGGTAGCTCAGGCCAGTAATCCCAGCGCTTTGGAAGGGCGAGGCAGGAGGATTGCTTGAGGCCAAGAGTTCAAGACCAGCCTGGGTAACATAGACAGACTGTTTCTACTATAAGATAAAAAAAAAATTAGCCAGGGATGGTGGTGCACTCCTGTGGTCCCAGCTACTTGGGAGGCTGAGGCAAGATAATTGATTGTGCCATGCACTCCAGCCTGCGTGACAGAGCAAGACTCCATCTCTAAAAATATAAAATAAAATATGATAATGGTGTTGAAGTATTTAAATAATTAAATGGGGGGGGCATTAGACTGAGGAGGCTCTAACTAAGTTCCTACTAAGCAAGCTAAAACCTAACTCAGTCTCATTTCCTGTAAGCAGTTAATTTAAAAGAAACTTAGCCAATCACAGAAGGCCATCTGGGCATTAGTTATATTGTCTTTAACTTCCTATTGGATAGTCTAAATAAGGAAATTCTGGAAGTTTAACCAATCAAATAATTTCTTTGCTCTGCTTCTGCATTTACCCTATTAGAGCCTTCCCCTCTTGCTCCGTCCTCGAAGCCCAAACCATTTCCAGTTTGGAGCAGCCTGATCAATGAATTGCTGTTTGCTCAAATAAACTCTTCAAAGTTTTAAAGTGTGCCAAAGTTTATCTTTTAACAGAAGTTATATTTATGGGCAAAATGATATGGTATCTTCAATTTGCTTCAAAATAATATTGGGTGGGTAGATAAAGACATAAATGACCATGGGTTGCTGATAATAAGGGCTGGGTGATAGGACATGGGGTTTGTTATATTATTTTATCTACATTTGTATATGTTTGAAATGTTCCATAGTAAAAAGCAAAAAAAAAAAAAAAAAAATTATTGACTTTGTGTGAGCCCA
Organism: Homo sapiens; assembly: GCF_000001405.40. Taxonomy (NCBI): domain Eukaryota; kingdom Metazoa; phylum Chordata; class Mammalia; order Primates; family Hominidae; genus Homo; species Homo sapiens. The sequence continues at coordinate 118,280,059 of NC_000011.10, read as the reverse complement.
TGAGAAAAGCTTTGGATTTAGAGACAGAACTCCCAGATTCAGCCCTAATTTTTCCATTTATTTTCTAGCCAGAGTGAGCTGAGTAACTGGGTAAACTGTTTCATCTCTGTCATCCTCATTTTCCTTATCTAAAGTAGATGAGGAAAATTGGGTAGAATAGAATAGTGAGAATTAAATGATACAATGTATTCAAATGCTTTGCAAAGAGCTTTGCAGATGGAAGGTTCTAGTATCTGGGTTGTGAATTCCATGAAGCTAAATATGGCATCTTCATATATTTTTTTTCAGCACAGTGTTAGACATATAACAGGTGCTCTATAATTATTCAGCCTTAGTTTTTAAATTCAATTTAAACATTATTTGGTAGATGAATGAATGGGTATATTCCAAATCCTAGGTTTCAGCCCAACATAGTACCATTCTTGATCATTAACTTAGTAATTAAAACTTATAAAGAGTGAATAAAAGTAGGAGACACATTCTGACAATTAGTATTTAATTAGTGTTTATTATTTAATCGACATTATCAATTAGTTTTAATTTAATCATGTTCAAATAGAATATATTATGATACAGATTACATTTGCTCCTTTCCTTTCATGGTTGCACCTAGGCTGAAAACAGAGGAAGGTGGGAAGCCCTTGTTCAGTGTAGATATCCCAGTCTTAGAGATGATCTTCACTTAGATGCAAAGATAAGCCAAGTTAAAGCTGGGACTGAGTTTTAGGTTGTCACTTCACTTCCTTAGTAAACTTCTTTAGGTTCCAACAGTGGGAGCTCCATACTGCTTAGCATCACTGAGGTGTGGGGCACACAGATGCTTCAGTAAGAATGCATTCACTCATCCAGCAAATGCGTATTGAGCATCTACTATGTGCCTAACAGTTAGGTGTTGGGGATACAGAGACATGAACCCTGCCCTGGAGGGATTCAGTCTACAGTAGAGGCAGACGTGTAAACAAGTAATGACCATACAGTGCAGCAAAGGCTATAAAAAAGGTGTCCCAAGGTGCTAAGGGAACTATTAACTCCAGGTCCAGGGGACAGGGAAGGCTTCATGGAATGTGAACTTAATTTTGAAAGGCAAATAAGAGTTGATCAGCTGGATAAAGTAGACAGAACATATGCACAAATATATATGTGGAGGTAAGAACAAGTATGTGATTAGTTTGGCATAGTGATGAATAAGGCTTAAGGAGCCTGGAAAGTGGGGAAAGAGGGGCTGGTTAGTTGACAGAGGCAGATCATGAAAGGCCTTAATCTGTGAATTAAGAAGAGCCAGTTAAGGTATACATCCAGCTTAATAAGATAAGAGACCTTAAAGTAAATGGAAAATTATACCTTTATTATAGTTATGCACAAAACAGTTTTTAAAGAGGTTTTTTTTTTTTTGAGACAGAGTCTTGCTCTGTTGCCCAGGCTGGAGTGCAGTGGCGTGATCTCGTCTCACTGCAACCTCCATCTCCTGGGTTCAAGCAATTCTCCTGTCTCAGCCTCCTGAGTAGCTGGGACTACAGGCACACACCACCATGCCCAGCTAATTTTAGTATTTTTAGTAGAGACGGGGTTTCACCATGTTGGCCAGGATGGCCTCGATCTCTTGATCTAATGATCCGCCCACCTCAGCCTCTCAAAGTGCTGGGATTACAGGTATGAGCCACCGATCCTGGCCTAAAGAGCTTTTAAAGAGAATCCTGTCTTTTAAAGGATCCTCAGGGACCATTTATGCATTTCACAAGTCATCATACTTATGATTTTATAATCAGTGCCTGGTTTGGTCATTCACTTTCTTACTTTCTTTGGATTTGATCTACATGACTTTTAAATGTGTCCAAAAATCAAGCCCATTCTCAAAAGCATGAGGATTTGCCATCAGTAAAAATCTCAAGGCTGGATGCAGTGGCTCATGTCTGTAATTCCAACACTTTGGGAGGCTGTGGTGAGTGGATCACTTGAGGTCAAGAGTTTGAGACTAGCCTGGCCAACATGGTGAAACCCTGTCTCTACTAAAAATACAAATAAAATACAAACTTAGCCGGGCATGGTGGCACGTGCCTGTAGTCCCAGCTACTAGGGAGGCTGAGGTGGGAGAATTGCTTGAGCCCAGGAGGCAGAGGTTGCAGTGAGCCGAGATTGCATCACTGCACTACAGCCTGCGCAACAGAGCGAGACCCTGGTTTTTTTTTTTTAAATCGAAAAATGTTATGATTCAAACTCCTAAGGCAATTCTAAAAATGTTCTAGAAATATCTGGAATAACGTCAGCATCATTAGAATAAAAGCTTGTCCCCAAGGTGACAACTTTAAATGACAATTTTTCTTTGGCTTTAAAAGCTTCTTTTCCTCTTGGTTATTGCTAATGTAGCTCAGCAGATATTGACACTCAAGACAGCATATAACATTGGAACAAACTGCAAGAAAAGAGCGATGTTGCTGGGACTTTTCCCTGAGTTTTCCCCTTTCCAAAGCTAAGGGTGGACCCCCTCACTGAGCTAGGCAGGAAAGGCTTTCCTCTTTAGCTCTGACTCACCTGAGAAGACTCACATCCTGTTTGCCTGGACAAGCAGCTGGCTGCCCTTTCTACTCAGAAAGGCTTCTCAACTCTGACAAGTCCAACCTGCTTGTTCTCTTGAAGCTTCAGGCCTCAATGGGAAATGGAGGGGAAGGTAGAAAGGCTGAAATACCTTAGCTAACTCAGCACCTTTGCTGCTTTTCAGCATTTGGCAGATCTATGATGATGCCTCCTGCCATACAATTTGCAACCCCTGCACTGTTCTATAACCTGTCCAGTGAGTCCTCTGATCACAGCCTTGGATGTTGAGGCAATGTCAAATTACTTGTAATAACTTTAAATACTTACTCTCAGGTTTTGTATTTATCTCCTTAAGGACCAGTGACAGTTTCCAGGTAGTCTGCAGGCCACACTTTGAGATGCATTGTCCCAATTTTTTTCAGTGAACAGAAAGTTCTGGAAAGATGACTAGGTAAGGTATAAAAAACCTGGTCCCATGTTAGCATATTGAAAGCCCTGAGGAGTACTGTAGCTAAAACCAAACCAAAACAAAATTCTTTTCATTAGTTTAATCTAGCATTTTCCCTTGTGTACAGAATCTTTTCTGTTGTTCAGTACCTACTAATATCTTGAGGAGTGGTGTCTGTCCAGATGCCAATCTAGATGTTAGTGTAATAGGTCTCCACGGCTTCTTGCAATTTTGAGTTTTAAGCAGGCAAACTCTTCCCATTGCTTGAGTTATTGATTCTATACTTCTCCCTGCTTACATTATCTCAAACAAAATGTGTCTGCTGCCCCCTTTTCTCCCCTGAGATGGCTGAGATGGCTTGTGAAAAGAGCAAAGAACAAGAGGTGGAGTTACAGTAAGTCAAGGACCCTGGACAGAAAGTTGCTGAGGCTGAGGCCAGGGAAAACAAGAATTACTGGTGGGGATTACAAGTCAGTTCTTGCCATGAGCTTCTAAGCTTCCACTGCTGTTATTCAAGTAGGCTACTTGCAAGATCAGCTTTCCTCCAAAAAAGCTTATGTCTGTTTTCAAACGTAAGCTCACTGTCTCAGTGGTATTGATGGATCAAAATGTTTAATGGTGTTGGAAAAGGTGGAGCCTTTTTCCACTCTGCCTGGGACAGTGTACCTCTTGTGGAGAATCCACCTAACCTTCAGATTTTCCTCTACCCCTCTTCCTGTTCTGATTCAGTGAGTGCTCCATGCAACCACTTTTGCATACCTATGCTTAAATCCTTATATGTGTACAAAACCCATTGATAATGAAAAAGGTAAAACCTCTTTAGCATTACTGACAAATCTCTGTTGCCTTTCTCTTTCACACTTATTTAAAATTCCCATCACTTCTTAGAATTTCCCTGACATCATCAGACTTCAATGAAAAACCCTTGGACCAAACTGGAGACAAAAGACTCTCACCTTTGACAGCTCCTTTCCTGCTGCTCTGCCTCTTCTGTCTTAAGCTTGTTTTGTGGAGGAAGGATCATGGAGTTTGGAATTAAAGCCCAGTTGTACTACTTCCCAGCTATGTAAGCTTGGGTAAGTTACTAAATGTCCTAGTGTCATTTCCCTCATCTGCAAAATGAGGAGATTAATAAAGTACTTTCTAAGGTTGTTGTGAGATGTAAAGATATTAAAAGAAAATTATTGCCTGGGTGCGGTGGCTCGCGCCTGTAATCCCAGCACTGGGGGAGGCCAAGGTGGGAGGATTGCTTGAGCCCAGGAGTTCAAGACTAGCCTAGGCAGCGTAGCAAGACCCCGTTTCTACAAAGAATCCAAGTGTGGACGTGGTGGCACGTGCCTATGGTCCCAGCTACTTGGGTTGCTGAGGCAGGAGGATCGCTTGAGCCCAGGAGGTGGAGGCTGCGGTGAGCTGTGATCGAGCCACTGCACTCCAGCCTGGGTGACAGAGTGAGACTCTGTCTCAAAAATAAAAAAAGAAAGAAAATTATTTAACAAATGGTAGTTATTGCGATTCCCACAAGCTGGCCTCTGACTTGAAGCTCTTGTGTGAGCCATGCTATTTCACCCTAACCCAGCCCCCCTGTTCTTTTGTCATCGGGTCTTGGCTAAAGGATGCCATGTATGGTTAGCCTTTTCAGAGACAGCTTCCCTCATGCTTCCAGGCAGAGCTTGTTCTTCCTGTGCTATCATTTGAACTTGGCATTTCCTTTATTATTGACGTCACCCTGTATTGTGACTAATTTTCTTTTTCTTTAACCTGAGAGCTCCTTGAGGGCTAAGATCTTATCATTTTCACCCTTGAATTCCTGAGGATGGTGCCTGACACTTGGTAGTTGCTCAAAACTATTTTTTTAAAGTAATAGGAGGCAAACGGAACAAAATGAGATTTTGCACAGTCCTAACCTCATTGTAGGCAAAAATTCCAAGTATTTTCCCTTCGACTTTTTCTTTCAGGAGAGATGCTGAGAAAAGGATGCCTACTGTTTATTTCATTTGCTTTTGCTTCAAAAGTCTTCCAGAATGGTGGAGGTGCAGTTCTGGGGAGGGAAGGAAGGCACTACTGGTCAAAGAGTGGTTGGTACATACAACTGAGAGTTGACTGTTGACGTGTTTGGTAGATTCTAATGAGGAAGGGAGACTGATGTTGAAGGAGGAGTTGAAGTTGTCTCTGGAGTTGACCTGTGAGTTAGGCAGGTCTTGTTGTGAGTCTGACTATATCACTAGCCTGGTGACCTTGGTTATACTACTTGATCTCTTTAAGTCTCAGCCTTAGGCCAATTTCCTCTCTTATTCCTGTCAAAAAACCGTTGGGTCACCTCTGTCTTCAAGACTTCTGCCTCTCCATCTCCTCTACTCTAGGACAGTGACTTTCCTTCTCTACTACACAAGGAAAGTAGAGACCACTAGATGATAACTCCCTTACAGGGGAGAAAAAACTATAAAATCACACACACACACACACACACACACACACACACACACACACGCCCAGATCAAAAACTCCTTCAACTTTCTGTCCCAACCCTTTTACCTTCAAAGTTAACTGTACCTGTGCCCCATCTGGGGGCTCCCCTTTATGTAGATGGACTATATAAATTTTCTTCCAAACTGTAACACCACAGCGTAAAAGGCGTACAGTTAATCATTACAGTGGAATAAGAGGTATGAGCCAGGGCTGATTTAAGCAGCCAGAACATTCTTTACCTCTTCTTAACAATGCAAGAGGTACACTTCCTCCTGTCTTTGGCCTCAGTCCTAAAAGCATTTTAACATGCTAAAGTCTTTCCCTTAAAACCAACAAATAAATCAAGATCTGAAAACTTCTTTCTATTCCTATTTCTTTCCAGCTGCCTCTGTCTCTGCCCTCTTTATAAGCTCTGTCCTTTGAAGAGTAAACTACATCCTAGTCTACCATGATTCCTCAATCTACTGCAAAATGGGCTCTGCTTCATAACTTTTCTGATGAAACTGCTTCCACCAAAATCACCAACTGGGGAATCTTCTAGACATTTTCAGTCCTTGTTTTATTTGACTTTAGCAGCATTTGATATTTTGTGTATTTGCTCTTTTTTTTTTTTAGATGGAGTCTTGCTCTGTCACCAGGCTGGAGTGCAGTGGTACGATCTTGGCTCACTGCAACCTCCGCATCCCGGGTTCAAGCAATTCTTCTGTCTCAGCCTCCCGAGTAGCTAGGACTAGAGGTGTGTGCCACCACATCCAGCTAATTTTTGTATTTTTAGTAGAGACGGGGTTGCACCAGGTTGGCCAGGATGGTTTCGATCTCTTGACCTTGTGATCTGCCCACCTCGGCCGTATGCCTGTACTCCTAGTGTAGCCACTGCGTCTGGTCCCAATATTCGTTCATTATTTAAATACCTCTCTCCCTTGGCTTCTATGACCACTCTCTCCTGGTAATTCTCCTCTTTCCCTTTCGTCTGGACACTCTTATTCAGTGACTTTAGACATCTCCTCTTCCCCTTGTCCCTTAGGTATTGTTCAACCTCTAGATTCTGCCCTTTCCCACTCTACTGTGGTCTCGGACCATCTCATCTATTCCCACTCTCACAGTTACCTTCTAGAAAGGTGAAAGACGTCAGACTGGCATCTCCAGTCCAGAACTCTCTGTAGAGCTCAGATCTGTGTTGGGTACTACTGTCAAAAGACAAAATTACCACAGATTTAGCTTAAATATTGAATTGGCTTTTATTTGCAATTCTAGAAGAGGGCAACACCTCATTCCATAAAACAGAATGAGTGTTCTGATGAGCTGAGCACAGGGGGTTGGCTTTATAGGTAGAAAGGGGCTGAAGAAAGCAGATACAGGAAACAAAAAGTGGACGAACGGTTTTTTTGCTTGCTTTTGAGACAGGTTCTTGCTCTGATGGCCACACTGGAGTGCAGTGGCATGATTATAGCTGATTGCAGCCTCGAATTCCTGGCCTCAAGCAATCCTCCTGCTTCAGCCTCCGAAAGTGCTGGGATTACAGGCATGAGCCACTGCACCCAGCCTATGGGTGGTTTGGAAGTGACCTTCCTTCTTGGGCTAAAATAGAGGGGACTTCTGGCTGGGTATGGTGGTTCACGCCTGTAATCCCAGCACTTTGGGAGGCCAAGGCAGGTGGATTACCTGACATTAGGAGTTCGAGACCAGCCTGGCGAACATGGTGAAACCCCGTCTCTACTAAAAATATACAAATTAGCCATGTGCGGTGGCACACGCCTGTAATCCCAGCTGCTCAGGAGGCTGAGGCAGGAGAATCGCTTGAACCCGGGAGGTGGAGGTTGCAGTGAGCCGAGGTCATACCACTGCATTCTAGCCTGGGCAACAAGAGTGAAACTCCATCAAAAAGAACACACACACACACACACACACACACACAAAACAAAAAACAGGCTGGGCACAGTGGCTCATGCCTGTAATCCCAGCACTTTGGGAGGCCGAGGCGGGTGGATCACCTAAGGTCAGGAGTTCGAGACCAACCTGACCAACATGGAGAAACCCCATCTCTACGAAAAATACAAAATTAGGCAGGCGTGGTGGTGCATGCCTGCAATCCCAGCTACTTGGGAGACTGAGACAGGAGAATCACTTGAACCCGGGAGGCGGAGGTTGCGGTGAGCCGAGATTATTCCATTGCACTCCAACCTGGGCAACAAGAGTGAGATTCCATCTCAAAAAACCAAAAAACAAAACAAACAAACACACACAAAAAACACCAAAAAACGAAACAAAACAAAACAAAAAACCAGGGGACTTCCTTACCATACCAGTTCAGGTACACTGGCCTCTTTTGATTGGTTACTGTGACTCTTCTGTTCGTTTGCTTTAAACTGGCCCATTTCAGAGTTCAGTCTGATAACATGTCACCTAGCATGAGTGGCTCTATTCTGGTTTGGTCTGGTCTGCTGGGACCTACTGCAGGAGGCTAGTCCAAAACAATGGGCTCCCATAAACTTTATTTAATAGTGCTGTACTAAACTCTCTGCTTGGCTGTCCCATAGAAATATCAAATGCAGCAAGTCTTCATCTTCTCTGTTTGAGAGAAAGGCAGTCACCTTCCACCCAGTTACCTAGGTTCGAAATTTGAGAATTATCCTCCAATACTTAATATCCCTTCTGTCCACTTCTAATCATGTACCAATCCCCTTCCTTTCCATCTCCTTGATAGCTCTCGAACTCTTAACTTCTCTCAATTCCCTCTGCCACCATTTCAGCTCAGGTCAAATAATCTCTTGCCTGGGTTCCTGGAAGCCTCTTGCTTGGCCTTATTCCTCTCCAGTGCCTTTCTCCATACTGTAACTGAGCGATCTGTCAAATTCCCAAATCTGATCAAATCACTTACTGCTTAAACAGTTTCAGTGTTTCCTCATTGCCCTCAGGATAAAGCCCTAACTCCTTAACTCTTATCAAGGGCCTCTTGGGTCTGGCCCCTGATTAGATTTTCAGCCTCATCTCTGAGGGTCATTCACTTTTCTTTTTGCCCTTTTCTCTCCACTCACACTCAAGTTTTTTAATTGCCAAAAAGGCCATGTTTTCTCTTCTTTCTTGGGCTTTGTACCTACTTTTGCCCCTACCTGGGCTCACCTCTCAAATGCCACCTCCCATTGCCCACCTTGTATGTATCTTCAGAATTGAAGAATTATAATAGTAATTGCAATAATAGATAATGTTAATTGAGTGCCATTATGTGCTAAGTGATTTATTTGCACTATCTTATTCAATCCTCACAACCGCCCCATGAGGAAGGCCTCATTATCCTCATTGAATGGTTGAAGAGACTGAAATCCAGATACCCACACAGCAGTCAGAGTGATCATTTTAAACGTGAGTCAGATAATTTTACTTTTCATTTCATAACCTTTCTTTTTCTTTTGTGTTGTAGCAAAAATACATAACAAAAAATTTACCATTTTAACTACTTTTAAGTGTACAGTTCAGTGGCATTAAGTCCGTTCACATTCTTGTGCAACCATTATTACCGTCTATCTCCAGAGCTTTTACATCTCCCCAAATGGAAACTCTGTACCCATCAAACAATAACTCCCCATTCCCCTCTTCCCCCAGCCCCTGGCGACCACCATTCTACTTTCTGTCTCTATGGGTTTGACTATTCTTGATGCTCCCATATAAGTAGAATCATTCAGTATCTGTCCTTTTGTGACTGGCTTATTTCACTTAGCATAATGCCTTCAGAATTCATCCATGTTGAAATATGTGTCAAAATTTTATTCTTTGTAAGGCTGAAAATATTGCATTGTATGTATATGTCACATTTTGCCTATCCATTCTTACTTTGATGGACATTTGAGTTATTTTCATCTTTTGGCTATTGTGATTAATGCTGCTTTGAACGTCGGTGTCCAACTATCTGTTTGAGTACTTACTTTTAATTCTTTTGGGTACATGCCAGAAGTGGAATTCTGGGTCATATGGTAATTCTATGTTTAATTTTTTAGGAACTGTAATACTATTTTTCACAGTGACTGCACTCTTTTATATTCCCACCAGCAACACACAAAGATTCCAATTTCTCCACATTCTTGCCAACACTTATTTTCTTTCTCTTTTTTTTGGTAATAGTTATCCTAGTGGATGTGATAATAGCATCCTAATGGATTGAGGTTTTGATTTATATTTTCCTAATGTCTAGTGATGTTCAGTATTTTCTCCTGTGCCTACTGGCCATTTTATATCTTTTTGAAGAAATGTCTATTCCAGTCCTTTGCCCATTTTTTAATGGGGTTGTTTGGTTGCTGTTGTTGTTATTGAGTTGCAGGAATTCTTTATGTATTCTGAATATTAATCCTTTAGCAGAAATGTGATTTGCAAATATGAAATATTTTCTCCCTTTCCAGAGATTGTCTTTCATAACCCTTTAATGCTGCCCTGTACCCCTGGTGGTCTGGTCTGCCTTGTACCCCTCCATGCTTAGCCCCTCGCCACTGCCCCTTCACTCTGCTCCAGCCACACTGGTCTCCTTGTTTTTCTTCAAATACTCCACACATTCTCCTGGGAGCCTCAGGCCCTGTACTGTTTCCTCTGCCCGGAATGTCCTTCCTCCTGATCCACGTGGTTCACTACCTCACTTCATTCAGATGTTTCTTAAGTTTCATCTTATCAGAGAGGTCTTCCCTGACCACCCCTTGTCCCTTTGTTCACTACTTTATTCCTTGTGTGCCCAGGAAAATGCCTGGCATGTCATAGGTACCCAAAACGTGTTTCTTAAATGAATGAATGAATAAATGATGTAGACCTTTGATTCACACCCATGTTTCTCTCACCCTAGAGCCTGTAGCTGCTAGCCAGCTACACTGGATGGTTCCTGTTTTGGGAAGCCTTCCCAAGGCCTCCAAGGCTGGCTGAAGGACCCTGGCTTCCGTGTTTCTCTGATCACAACTCATTTGTCACATTGCATTGTAATTGTCTACTTATTTGACTGTGTTTCCTAAGATATAGTTAGCAACTTGAGGGCACACACTAATGTCTTGTTTGGCATCTAGCACAATTTCTAGCAACAGGGCTCAACAGGTATTAGAATGAATCAATCTCTCTGAGTCTCAATTCCTTATCTATAAAATGGAGATATCTACGTATCATCTTGCAGTTACGGAGATCAGAACTAATATATGTAATATGCCTACCACAGTGCTGGGTACGTGGTAGGCACTTGATAAATAGTAATTTAAAATTATTAATGGTAATTTTTATTTGTTAAAATCTACCAGTATTCTAAGGTATGTCTAAATTAGAATGATATAATGTAATGAACCTCCAACGCTTTATTACTGAATTTGTGTTGTCATTTACTTAATGCTGAAGAAACTTGGTGAATGTGGGAGCAAATTTCCCCTTAACATTTCATTATGAAAAATTTCTAACATGTAGAAAAGTTTAAAGAATTATACAGTAAATACCTGTGTATCCCACCTAGGTTCTTCAATTGACATTTTACTATACTTGATCACATATCTATCCATCCATCCATCCATCCATCCACCCACCCACCCATTCTTCCTTCCTTCCATCCATCCATTTATTAATGCATCTTATTTTTGATGCATTTTTAAATTAAATTGCAGACATCAGGATGCTTCCCCGTAAATACTTCAGCATTAATGAGAGTTTAGAATTTGTTTACAATTCTTTTAAAAAAATTACTGAAGTAAAACTTACATTCAATTAAATGTACAAGTCTTAAAAGTACACCATTCAAAGGGTTTTGGCAAGCGGTAACTCAAACCCTTGTCAAGATGAAGAACATTAATATCACTCTAGAAAGTTCTCTCATGCCCCTCCAGTCAATCCCTGCCCCCATTCCCCCAGGGGCAAACACTACTTTTATACTTTTTTCATGACAAGGTAGTTTTGCCTGTTCTAGAACTTCATATAAATGGAATCAAAGAGTTTATACTGTTTGTGTCTGGCTAATTTGTTCAACTTACTTTTGAGGTTCATCGTGGTGATATGTATCAGTGATTTGTTCCTTTTAATTGCTGAGTAGGATTCACGATATGAATATTCTACAGAGGATCCATTTTTCTGTTGATGGATCCCTGGGCTGTTCCAGTTTTGGGCTATTATGAATAAAGCTTCCATGATTATTCTCCTACAAATATCTTTCTGTATATATAATTTCATTCATCTTGGAGTGGAATTGCCAGGGTGGCTGAGTGTTTAGCTTCATAAGAAACTGCCAGCCCTTTTCCCAAACATCTTAACTAAGTATAGCCACAAACAACTAAAATTTACTGAATGTTTTGTGTGGGTGCTGAGCATAGAGCTTTAGTTAATGTACGTCACTTGATTCTTACATCCAGACTATGGGGTAAATGTTACTGTTCCCATTTTACATGTGAGATAACTGAAGCACGGAGAGTTAAATAACTGCCCAAGGTCACATAGCTAGTAAGCAGCTGAGCTTGGATCTGGATCTAGGCAGGTTGAACTCTAGCTCCTATACCTCATGCCTCCTAGAATATAGTAGCAAAAAAAAAAAAAAAAAAAAAAAAAGTGGCTATTTCTTTTCTCAGGAAATTAATTAACTCCCTAAGAATAAAAAATTGGTCATGGTAACCAATTTTAACAAGAGATAACTGGAACAATAATAAAAGATGCAGTGTTCATCAATAAACACAGTATAATGTAAATTCTTACCACCATTTAAATGTGGTGTGTATGGTTAACAGGGAGGTAGATAAATTCATTTATCAAGATCCCTTTATCCTCCCGAGAGGTTCCTTAAAGTTATCTTCAAAAATGCCCCATCTCTCTAGCCCTGCACAATCTATGTAGCTTCCCTTGAGAATAAGTGAAGCGTTAAACCACTTCAGAGTCTCTTCTTTGGGCTGGTTAATAAGGGCATGGTGCCTGTCCTCTATAATTACCAGAGGAGCCTGAGGCTTATTGGAGAGGTGCATATCAGCTGTAATGAGGTGGGGCAGGAAAGCGTTCCCTCCCACGATTTTTCTAAACTCATAGAGGCTCAGTTTCAGGCCCAGACCTGTTTTGGAATATCTCTAGGAAACTTCAGGCAAGAAGGAGGGCCACAGGGAACACAACTATTCCTTTGGGCTAAGAGCCCACCTCTCATCTAGGACTCTTGACAGCCTAGCCTCCCTCTCTCATCTTTGAAAAGCTCCCTTAACCCGGGGAAGTTTTGACAAAGGATGCTAGAGATTGGAGTTGTTGGTTGGGGAAGGCTGGGAGTCCCTGAGTCTTTGGAAAACAGATGTTAGGTCTACACTTTCATTCTGGCTCATAAGCCAGGAGCCCAAACGAAAGCCAGGAGAGTAAGTGGTCGTTGGTGTCCCAAGACTTTCCTTCTTGTTTTTAATGGTTCTGGGAAATACCAAAGTAATTCTACTTCTAGGGATGCTCTTCTTGGGTCACATATTAGCCATCCCCAATGGGTATATTTGTTAGGATCAAGTCCACACTCCTTAGGATGGTGGATGAGGGCACTGCCCAGGTGGACCTAGCCTCTCACCTGGCCTGCCACTCCTCCCTGTGCTCCAGGTTTGAGGAATTGCATGCTAGTCCCTGTGGGTACCACATTCCCACCCATTTGTTCCAATGGGAAGGACTTTGTTTATCCTCTTTCCAGAATTCCTATTCATCCTTTAAGGATTGAATTTAAAAATCAAGAAAGTGATAATTATTTGTTTACTTCACCTTCCTATCTTATATTATTTCCTCCCAGGTAGAAATATTCTATGTATGTCTGAATTTTTTCTAGTAAAAACATATGAACAGACACTTTTGAGTAAACGAATGCTTTATTTGATGACCCTAAGAGCTAAATTATTTGTTTTCCTTGCTTCACAGAATGCTAATTTCACCTTAGGTGAAAAAAAGATTTTTGCCTAGGAGGTTGAGAAAGACAACTTTTACAAATATTGATACAGGCCCACTGTCCCTTCTGTCTCCTGAGCCCCCAGTGAGTCTCCTGCTGGCTAAGGTCTAGATACTCACTAGAAATCATTTTTTGGGAAATGTGTAGATGGATGGGACAGATGAGATTCTTTCAAAAACTATTGGTATGTCACAATTTTAAATGACAATCAGGATCTTTCTCTGGAAAAGTTTAGAAAGAAAATGGTGTCTCTGAAAACTTTACTTTTCTTCTTTTCAATTTCCAGAACTCCTCTTCCTTTCCTTCCATTTGCCTGGGCACAAACATAACTTAGGCCTTATGTAGATGCCTGCAGTTTTGGTCTAAGTCCTGCTGACTGGTGTCCAGAAAACTGTGAGGGGCAAACATCCTTTTTATTTAGCATTTTCTCTTCTTAACCTTCTACCCTTGGCCTCTTCCTTGCCCAGTGAGGTGAAGTGGTTGACTGTGGAGCCACTCCTGCTAACTGGAAGGAACTGGGCGTTGCCAGGCACTAAGCCAGGAACTTGAACTCAGCTGAGAAGTGGGATCTGGATAACTCCTGCCCCTCAGAGCAAGGCTGGCAACCAGCTCATGGGTGTTTGGCTACCTGGGGGAGGGATTTCTGCTCCTGACAACAGGCAGTTTGTTCAGTTCTTCCTGCCCTGATTCTTCTCCTGTTGCTTTTCACTGCATCCCTGAGCTCTTTGGTAACTCTACCTCTCACCAGTTTTTGCAATTTGCTGTAGACTTCAAAATCCTGGCTCTACCTCTCCTTCCTCTGTAGCTGTATTTCCCTGCAAAGTTGGAAGCCAACCAAGATCAAGTTTCCTTAACTCTTTTTCTTTCAGGGTCCTGGAGCTGAACTCTTCTGACCTACATACCAGAAAGGCTGTATCTTATCCTTCCTCACCAACATCTGAAAGGTTCCCCCAGCAGACTGATTTTAGGTCCCTTTCTGAACTAGAATCTGACAAAGACGCCACACAGTTTTCAGAAACTCTCACCATGCAACAGATTTTCACTAGCACACAGCTGGTCTGCATTTGGGGCCACCTCTGCTTTCTGAGTTCCAACACAATGGATTTTTGTGGTTGTCTACCTGTTTTTGCTCCATGCCCATGTCATCTTTCTCCTGTTGCTTTCTGTTTTCTGCACTTCTGCATTCTCCTCTCTTTTGGTAGAATTTTCTCTTTTCTTCCCTCTTTATGATGTTTTATTTTTTTCTACTCAGCCTGCCGCCTTCTCTTGTTCCTGCCACCCTTTCTGCTCTGGATTCAGCTAGAAGATTTTATGAGTGACTGAAGAGTTTCTAGACTGCTAATCCAGGGATAAACGCAATCTGTCTTTTTTCAGGGTTAGATTCCCAGCCCAGCCTACTTCTTAACTGCATGTGTAATCTTCATCCCCCTCCTACCGATGTTTCTGTGCCGCTTCATTAATCTGTAAAGATGACCCACCCTCTTTCCAGACAAGGAGGCATCTTTTCTCGTTTAGATTCCTCAGCTCTTTAGACTTCTCAGTCATTTAGCTATTCAAAAAATGACAGATGAAATCCGAGGCACAACAAAGTTATCATGAAAACCTTTTCCTTGAGAGCCCCATGTCTGATTGTTCATATTAGCTGTTATTTGGTGGAAAGAACGCTAGATTTTTAAGAAAAGTTCTGGTTTTGCCACATGGTAGCTGTGCAACCTTGGGCAAATCATTTACCTTCCTCGGGTTCTTAGCGTCCTCACTGGTAGAATGGGAATGCTTCACAAGGGCGTTAATGGAGATGAAACAATCAGCAGGAGAGCACTTTGTAGATTGCACTCGGATGGCAGGGTGAATGAGCAGGGATGGTGTCCTCATTTGTTTTTAAAGTCTTCAAAGGTAAAGGATTGTTAAGCATGGAGATTTGATTTGTTGTTTCTGCCAGGTCTCCTGGAAAGCTACAAACTAGAAGAAGTGCAGGAATCCTTGTGGTAACAGGGGTATCAGCTTTTTGTCCACAGAGGGTCCTAAGGAATTCCGACTCCCGTTTTGAAATTGTATCGAATCCAGTCCCAAGTGAATGTGGCCCTGGGGTGGTGCTTTGAGAAGTGGAATCACTGCAGGACAGTTTCAACATTCACTTCCCAGGCAAGCCTAAAGCCTGTTTTAAAAGGGCGTGTGGGGGCCAAACCCATAACAGTCTGGGACATTTCAGACTGGCACCACCTCCTCTGGCTGTTTCCGAGGCCATCTAGAGGCCAGAGCCCAGTCAGATTAACTGAAAGTAAAGAGAGGACTGCGGGAGTTTGGGACCTTTGTGCAGACGTGCTCATGCTCGTTCGTGTAGAGGGCGGGAGAGAGGAAAGGAAGGAGGGCATTGGGAGCTGAGGCCCCACCTTTCATTTCAGAAAAGTGCACAGGCAGAGCGGGCTGAGTCACAGGCACAGGTGAGGAACTCAACTCAAACTCCTCTCTCTGGGAAAACGCGGTGCTTGCTCCTCCCGGAGTGGCCTTGGCAGGGTGTTGGAGCCCTCGGTCTGCCCCGTCCGGTCTCTGGGGCCAAGGCTGGGTTTCCCTCATGTATGGCAAGAGCTCTACTCGTGCGGTGCTTCTTCTCCTTGGCATACAGCTCACAGGTAAGAGCCGGCGGGCTTCTCTCAGAGTTTCCTCCTTCACTGCTCACTCTATAAAGTTAGCTAATTGTCTTAGAAGTTGCAAGACTTTTGTTTGGGAGCCTGAGCCACAGATACAGTTTGTTTTACTTTGGGTTTTACTGAAACCAAAGTTGGTGGACTGTTTTTGGAGAACTGCTCTCGGACAAACAGGTTTAGGTGTGTTCAGCTGCCAGTGATTCAGGCACAGAGAGGGCTTTCTAATCTCAGGTTACATGCCATTTTTTTGTGTGTGGCTGTTCTCAACCTCCCACTGCTGGCAGGACTTGGCATTTGGATTTCTGTGTGTGGGTCTTGTCTGTGACTCTCAGCAACACCAGGAAAGTGGAGATTGTTAGAGAGAGACCTACTGTGATTTTGAAAGTGCCCCAACACACACATTCTAAATGTAAATATCAAGTTTAAAAAAATGCCACGTGGTACAAAGGTTCTAGGGGTGCAGGCAAACATAAGCTGTCTGGAGTTGATTAATTCAGTTTCTGCAATAGACTAGTAACAGTATGAAATCCACCTAAGGACCCATCTGGAAAACTTACCTGCTAGGAGACCACTTTACATACAACACATAATGCTTAACCTTAATACATAATGTAATGTCTAATCAATGTTATGATTCATTTTAATTTTTTGTTTATGCTTTCAATTCTATTTGCGGATGTTTGTAGTTTGTTATAACAGTTTTGAAGTCAGTACCACGAGGCGAGGCTTTAATGCTGTGGAGAAAGTAAAAGCACTGCGAAGGCTTGCTGTGTGGTAGTTTAGTTGTCACATGGAATGGGAGGGTCCAGGCTGCATACAGGTAGGAGTATGTAGATTCTGGGTGAAGTAAGTTTGGGAGATGGGGCATCTCAGTTTCACTTTACTTTAAGTCCTACTCAGATATTTATTTTGGAAGTGTCAGCAGAAGTTCTCACAATACTACATCCCCTGTTAACCCTTCTTTTTCTTCTTTTTCATTGCAGCTCTTTGGCCTATAGCAGCTGTGGAAATTTATACCTCCCGGGTGCTGGAGGCTGTTAATGGGACAGATGCTCGGTTAAAATGCACTTTCTCCAGCTTTGCCCCTGTGGGTGATGCTCTAACAGTGACCTGGAATTTTCGTCCTCTAGACGGGGGACCTGAGCAGTTTGTAAGTAGATTATCATCATTTTCCAGGGTACTCTTGTTTAGGGAAATAATAAGCCAGTCCATTTCTCCTTTCCCTTCCAGTATTTTTCTTAGCAGCAAGCACAAGGTTAAGCTCGGAAACAATTCTTGGGACAGAGACTGAGAGGCCGTTGAAGGGGAAAGCAAGTGACAGAGCTGCAGACAGGACAGTTGGGTTTGCTGGTGTTTCACTTCCGCTCCCACCATCTTGGCCTCCTTGCCTGGGTGCTGAGTAAGAAGACCTTTTGCCATTTCCCCTCTCTAGGTATTCTACTACCACATAGATCCCTTCCAACCCATGAGTGGGCGGTTTAAGGACCGGGTGTCTTGGGATGGGAATCCTGAGCGGTACGATGCCTCCATCCTTCTCTGGAAACTGCAGTTCGACGACAATGGGACATACACCTGCCAGGTGAAGAACCCACCTGATGTTGATGGGGTGATAGGGGAGATCCGGCTCAGCGTCGTGCACACTGGTAGGTTATGCAGGGAACAGTGGTTTTGGAAAGGATGAGAGCTTGTAGAAAAGAAAGGGGCAATCTTTGTTAAGGCTGAGAGAGAGGGACAATCTTTTGTGATGGATAGAGAGAGGGACTAGCCCTTCAGAACTGGGAGCCTCAGAGGGAGACCGAAGAGTTCTGGGGTAAAAAGAGAAAGGCTTTGTTTGGCTGTGGAAAGAAACAGAAAGTAAAGCAAAGGAACTCAGAGAATCCGTTACAAAAATGGCATTGAGATTGTGAAAGGGAGAGGGAGCAATTCTTTGATGAAAGGCTTACAACAGGTCTGTTCACTCACTCATTTATTCGAGATACTTATTGAGTACCTACTCTAATGCTAGGCACCGTCAAAAGTGCATGACATACACTATCTCATTGAATCCCCACACCACTCTAGGAGGCAGGTACTAATGATGGGAGCTAACACTTACTGAGTACTTCCCAAATGTCAGGGGCTTTACATGACACATTTTATTTAATCTTTACATATCTCATCAGTTTATTGTGCATTTAATGCCTCCCATCTTGCCAATGAGGAAACGAGGCTCACAGAGGTTAAGTCATTTGCCCTGAGTCACGTAGCTGATAAATGGAGTAACTTAGGACTCAAACCCAATCAACTTTGAATCTAAAACTGTGCTCTAAATTGGTGCATTGTATTGTCTGCATCCCTATAAAGGACAATCTGGAAAACCATGCCAAGCAACAAAGAGCAAAGTACACGAAACTTATGAATTGTAGATCTGGGTTTGAGTCATTGCTACCATTTACCAGCTATCAATAAGTCTTATTTTCCTCATCTGTAAAGTGAGAATAACACAGTAAGGATCACAGTGAGGATAAAATGAGATAATAAATGTGAATATGTCCCAACCTCTGAATTGTACTTAACAGCTACCATACATTGAGTGTTTATTTTGTACAGGCACAGCAAGGAACAACTTACATGAATTATTTTATTTTTTATTAAGAACTCAAGAAATGAATATCATTATCTCTGTTTATACATGAGGAAACTGAGGCTCAAAGAAGTTAATTACTTCAAATCACACAGCTAAGTATTTCAACCTAGTGCTCTCTGGTGTGTGCTCTTAACCAACACTACTCCAAACATATAAGCCTGTGCAGTGGTACGATTTCCTTTCATTCATAGTACAGTTTAAAACCATTTCTCAATGCCCCACCAATAGAGGGCTGTGTGACCTTGCAGAAGTCATTTGAGTATTGAAAGAAATAATGTAATGGTTTTGGACCTCAGTTTCTTCATCTGCACAATGAAGAGGTTAAACACACAAAAAATCAGTGGTTCTTAAATATATGTGGATAATTATTCTTTGAGAATCAAATAAAAGCCATGGCCCTGCTTCCCATAAAACAGTGGAGACATACAAAATGAGACTTGGATTCTGTGGGCTTGCAGACTACCTTCCATCCTCTTCCCCATCCTCCTTCATGGAGTCAAGGCTGGGAATCCTGGGCTAGACATTCTCTAATGTCCTTTCTGGCTCTGAGGGCTTATGGAAGTATAATCAGAAATAAAGCTAAAGGACAAGAAAACCAGGGTTCACAGACTCTAGTGTGGCTTAGGGGACCTTCCCTCTGGTTTCCCTTTTCCATCATTTATCCACTAGACTGTAGCTTCTGATTTACTTTCCTATCCTCTCAGTGGCATGAGCTCCTTGAAGGTGATGTCTTTTTTGGCTCAGCATTTCTATCACAGTGCCAGGAATGTAGTAGGCCCTTAATAAATCTGAATAAATAACTGACTGAGTGAAAGTGGTGAGAAGTCAGGGAGAAATGGGTTGGGCACTACGTTTGATGAGGTTAGCAAAAACCTTACCCCATAAGTAGTTCAACCCACCCAGTGGTTTTCAAAGCTGCATCAGAATCACCTGGAGGACCTGTTAAGACACAGATTGCTCAGCCGCACCTCTAGTGTTTCTAATTCAGTAGGTCTGGGGTGGGGCCTAAGATTTCCATGTTCTCAAGTGATATTGTTGCTGTTACTTCGAAGACCACACTTTGAGAACCATTAAAGTATGTGTATGGTTTTCCTATTGCTAGTAGGATTCACAAGGTAATATATTATTTTATGCATAAAGGTAGGATAAAGGAAGATTCCATCTATTGATTAAATGCATCCCTATTATGTCATTAGATTTCATTGTAGTCCTCTTCTTTTTAGAATCCTAATTTAATCTTTTTCTCCTTACAGTACGCTTCTCTGAGATCCACTTCCTGGCTCTGGCCATTGGCTCTGCCTGTGCACTGATGATCATAATAGTAATTGTAGTGGTCCTCTTCCAGCATTACCGGAAAAAGCGATGGGCCGAAAGAGCTCATAAAGTGGTGGAGATAAAATCGTAAGGCTGGGCAGTTCTGGGAAAGTTCTAACACTCTTATGGCGACTCTTGGTATTTTGCAGTGGGCTAAATAGTTGCTGAACAGATGTTTTTCCCTTTAAGTAAATCCTATATAAAAGAATTCACATTTGCAGGACAGATAAATCAGGTATGAACTAGTAACTTTACAAAAGCTTTCTTAATTTTACAAAATATTTCCTTATGGGATTTCTTTACTATGTGGGGGGGTTGATTTTACAAAAATGTGCTATGTAAAGCTTTTCTAAAAAATCCCTTATGTTTAAAGTGAAGCATACATTTGTAAAAACCACTGGGCTAGGCAGTCAGCAGGGCCACTATGAGTCAGGGCTTAGGAAAGTCTGTTGTGCTGATAGCAGGTGTTCATTAAATGTATTTTAAAATTGAGATAAAATTTACCCACCATAAAATTTACCTTTTTCATTTTCACAAAGTTGTGCAGCAATCATCACTAATTGCAGAACGTTTTTAAGCTCCCTCCCGTAAAGAAACCCCATATCCCTAGCTATCACTCCCTATTATCCCCTCCTACCAGCCCCCGACAACTACTCATCTACTTTCTGTCTCTATGGATTTGCTTATTCTGGACATTTCATTTAAATAGAATCATACAATATGTGGTCTTTTATGCCCAGCTTCTTTCACTTAGCATAATGCTTTCAAGGCTCATCCTTGTTGATGTATTAGTATTTCTTTCCTTTTTATGACTGCATAATATTCCATTGTATGAATATACCACATATTGTTTGTCCATTCAATTGATGGGCATTTAGGTTTTTTCTGCTTGTTGGCTGTTGTGACTAATGCTGCTATAAACATTCATTTACAAGCTTTTGTGTAGATCATATGTTTTTAATTCTCCTAAAAGTGGAATTGTTGGGTCTTATGGTAACTCTGTTTAGTTTTTGGAGGAATTGCCAGACTGTCTTTAAACAGCTGGACTATTTTGCATTCCTGTCAGCAATATATGAGGGTTCTGATTTCTCCCCATCCTCCTCAACACTCATTGTCTTTTTTTTTTTTAATCATAACCGTGTATTAGGCCATTCTTGTGTTGCTATATAAAAAAACCCCTAAGACTGGGTAATTTATAAAGAGATTTAATTGGCTCACGGTTCTGTGGATGTACAAGCATGGCGCCGATGTTGGTTGGCTCCTGAGGAGGCCTCAGGGAGCTTTTACCGATGGCAGAAGGCACAATGGGAGCAGGAATTTTGCATGGTGAGAGCAGGAGAAAGTGAGAGAGTTGGGGGGAGGTGCTACATAGTTTTATATGACCAGATTTTGTGAGAACTCACTCACTATTGAAGACAGCACCAAGCCATGAGAGATCTGCTCCCATGACCCAAACACCCTCCACCAGGCCCCACCTCTAGCAATGCAGATTACAATTCAACATGAGATTTGGGCGGGGACAAATACCCAAACTATATGAAGCCATCTAGTGGATGTGAAGTGGTATCTCATTGGGGTTTTGATTTGCATTTTTCTAATGACTTGATGTTGAGCATCTTCCCATGTTCTTATTGTCCATTTGTATATCTTATTTGGAGATGCATACATTCAGAGTTTGCCCATTTTAATATGGGGTACATTATTTCACTTATTCTTGTTGAACTGTAAGAGTTATTTAAGGGATACTAGTTCCTTATCAGATATACAACTTGCAATTTTTTTCCCATTCTGTGGGTTGTCTTTTCATGTTCTTCATAGTGTCCTTTGAAGAACAAAAGTTAAATTTTGATGAAGTCCAGTTTATTTTTTCTCTTTTGCTGCTAGTGCTTTTGTGTCTCATCTAAAAAACCACTGCCTAATCCCCAAGATCATGAAGATTTATGGCTATGTTTTCTTCTAAGAGTTTTATAGTCTTAATTTTTACATTTAGATCTTTGAGTTCGTTTTCGTATATGGCTGAGGCAGAAGTCCAAATTCACTCTTTTGCATGTGGATATCTAGTTGTTCCAGCACCATTTATCTCATTTCCTTAATAAATATTTAATGAAATAAACAGCCTTTTTTTTTTTTGAGACAGACTTTCACTCTGGTTGCCCAGGCTGGAGTGCAATGGCATGATCTCAGCTCACTGCAACCTCCGCCTCCTGGGTTCAAGCGATTCTCTTGCCTCAGCTTCCCAAGTAGCTGGGATTACAGGCATGTACCACCATGCCCAGCTAATTTTGTATTTTTAGTAGAGATGGGGTTTCACCATGTTGGTCAGGCTGGTCTTGAACTCCTGATCTCAAGTGATGTACCTGCCTTGGCCTTCCAAAGTGTTGGGATTACAGCGTGAGCCACCGCGCCTGGCGAAACAGAACTAATTTTAAGAAGCCTAACAAACCCAACTCTGAGGTTCTAGTTTGAATAGAACCAATAAAGATGACTTAGGTCAACACAAAACTTTTTATTTTTTTTTTGAATAACAAATATAAATTAGAGGTGGGATACTAATGGTAAAATAAGGTGTCTGCTTTAAAACTCTGGAGTTCCCGAATCAGAACCCAAACTGTATTCCCTTACATTCTGAAAAGTCTCTAAGTTCAGAGGTGTGAATATTATTAATTAGATGGCACCAGTTTAGCTCTGTGTAAACTTCAATCTACTCCCAAGTGCATGTAATTCTTCCAAAAATATGGGGGAAAAATACCTTACCTGAAGCTTCTGTGGGATTTACCCACTTGCTTCTTGTCTTGTTCACCTGACATTTGGTTTCTGCTTGTTACAGAAAAGAAGAGGAAAGGCTCAACCAAGAGAAAAAGGTCTCTGTTTATTTAGAAGACACAGACTAACAATTTTAGATGGTAAGGTTCACAAATAGGTTGATTTCTTTCTTCAGCTTTCTGACATGTCCAGCCCATCTCTAATGAGGACTCCCAGATCATCACTTTATGGCTGTTAGGTGTTTCCCATATGAAATTAGAGGAGCTGGGTCAGGGAGACAAAAGTCTTCTATTAGTCTTATGGATAGCTCCTCCTTGAGTGTATTTTGTGCAAAAGATTAAGAAGCTGGACTCTACTGCCATTAAAGCTGAGAGAATCCTAAGGTTATTTGTGGCTTCGGGGTTATATTTATTACTACTACTACTAATAAATATTCAACAAGTAAATAAATCTTTTTTAAATCAAAAGATTAGTATCTGCTTATTCTTTTTTTTTAATTGTAAACCAATTATGGTATTAAGAGAGTGACTCAATAGACATATCTGGCAGTTTTTACAGGAGAGCTTTTGTACTATTTGGAATTGATTTCAACTCCTCTCATTTAGTTATTGGCACTAATAACTACATGAAATGAATCCAGTTTTAGTAGCGTATAATTTTATTTTTCCAGTTTTCAGGTTCATCAGGCTTAAAAAGTAGGATAATTTATTTTTCTTGTCTTTGTTTTTGAGACAGGGTCTCAACCTGTTGCCCAGGCTAGGGTGTAGTGGTGCGATCTCGGGTCACTGCAACTTCTCCCTCCCAAGCTCAAGTGATCCTCCTACCTCAGCCTCCCAAGTAGCTGGGACCACAGGTGCGCGCCACTACACCCAGCTAATTTTTGTACTTTTTGTAGAGACGGGGTTTCCCCATGTTGCCTAGGCTGGTCTCACCTGAGCTCAAGCGATCCACCTGCCTCAGCCTCCCAAAGTGTTGGGATTACAGGCATAAGCCACTGCGCCGGGCCAATTTATTTTTCATATGCTCAGAATTTCTCCCATTCTCTGAAATAGGTCCACACATTTAATTTCTAGATGTTATAAATCCGGACATG
The DNA here is from genome assembly GCF_000001405.40 of Homo sapiens. Classification (NCBI taxonomy): domain Eukaryota; kingdom Metazoa; phylum Chordata; class Mammalia; order Primates; family Hominidae; genus Homo; species Homo sapiens. Next base: position 118,256,284 of record NC_000011.10, on the reverse strand, counting down.
CAAACTTAAATTTTACGCTCATAAGAAAGTTCTTGATATTAATGACTTTATCCTGTAAAACTCTGGCTCTGTTACACGGGAGAACATTTTTTACAGACCGTTATTAGTTGCAAAGAGGGTCACATTTTTATAGGCTAAAGCTCCAGTGAAAGACCTCAAGGATTTATAAAATAGAATATGGAGTAAAATGATTGTATTGTAAAACCAGAAAACCAAAATTAACATTAGGGAGTTTTTACCAACCAACGGCTATTGTCTTTTTAAAGTTAAGGGGATTATCTAACAACTTGGGGTCATGGAAAATAAATATGGGAGATGTTTTAGATCAAAAGAAACTTAAGAGATGAACACAATCAAAGTGCAATGTGTGATCCCCAACTGGATGAATAATAGTGTGAACAAGCTAGTTGTAAAAACAAGCTTGGAGGGGCAATTGGGAAAGTCTTGAATATGAAAATGTTAAATATATGGATAATATTAGGGAATTATTGTTAGTTTGTATTAGGTATAGTGATGGTATTGTAGTTATAAAGAAAATGTACCTATTTTGAAAAATTCTTACTGGAGTATTGGGGTAAATGTCAGCAATTTACTTTAAAAGCATAGGAAAAAAGCAAATAAAACAAAAAAGGCTTCAGAATTAGGTGATGGGGGAGATGAGGGGAGAAAAGAAAAGAAAAGAATGAATTAATGAATTTAAGGGATGGGTAAATTCCACATACTCTGTTCTCTACTTTTCTATATGTCTGATTTTGTTTGTAATGAGAGTGAGAAGTGGGGAGAATATGGGATGTATGTGTGTGAACAAGTTGTGGGTCATCCAAGTGTCCATGCAAGGTACTTAGAGGCCATGATTTAAGGATACTAACTCTGAAAATTATGTAATAAGGATTAGGAAACTTCTTTTAAAAATTAAATTGGGGGAGAATATGAATACTTTCCCTCAGAATATTTTCCTTCTAATAACATATATGTAATTCATAATGCCAAGTATTCCTATTGTACTCTTCTCAAATATATTATCCATTTAAACTTTTGTTTTGTGTTTTAGGAAGCTGAGATGATTTCCAAGAACAAGAACCCTAGTATTTCTTGAAGTTAATGGAAACTTTTCTTTGGCTTTTCCAGTTGTGACCCGTTTTCCAACCAGTTCTGCAGCATATTAGATTCTAGACAAGCAACACCCCTCTGGAGCCAGCACAGTGCTCCTCCATATCACCAGTCATACACAGCCTCATTATTAAGGTCTTATTTAATTTCAGAGTGTAAATTTTTTCAAGTGCTCATTAGGTTTTATAAACAAGAAGCTACATTTTTGCCCTTAAGACACTACTTACAGTGTTATGACTTGTATACACATATATTGGTATCAAAAGGGATAAAAGCCAATTTGTCTGTTACATTTCCTTTCACGTATTTCTTTTAGCAGCACTTCTGCTACTAAAGTTAATGTGTTTACTCTCTTTCCTTCCCACATTCTCAATTAAAAGGTGAGCTAAGCCTCCTCGGTGTTTCTGATTAACAGTAAATCCTAAATTCAAACTGTTAAATGACATTTTTATTTTTATGTCTCTCCTTAACTATGAGACACATCTTGTTTTACTGAATTTCTTTCAATATTCCAGGTGATAGATTTTTGTTGTTTTGTTAATTAATCCAAGATTTACAATAGCACAACGCTAAATCACACAGTAACTACAAAAGGTTACATAGATATGAAAAGATTGGCAGAGGCCATTGCAGGATGAATCACTTGTCACTTTTCTTCTGTGCTGGGAAAAATAATCAACAATGTGGGTCTTTCATGAGCAGTGACGGATAGTTTAGCTTACTATGTTTCCCCCCCAATTCAATGATCTATAACAACAGAGCAAAGTCTATGCTCATTTGCAGACTGGAATCATTAAGTAATTTAATAAAAAAATTGTGAAACAGCATATTACAAGTTTGAAAATTCAGGGCTGGTGAAAAAAATCAACTCTAAATGATGATAATTTTGTACAGTTTTATATAAAACTCTGAGAACTAGAAGAAATTATTAACTTTTTTTCTTTTTTAATTCTAATTCACTTGTTTATTTTGGGGGAGGAAGACTTTGGTATGGAGCAAAGAAATACCAAAACTACTTTAAATGGAATAAAACCAACTTTATTCTTTTTTTCCCCCATACTGGTAGATAAAGCAAACTTTATAAGTGGGCTATTGAAAGAAAAGTTACAAGCTTAAGATACAGAAGCATTTGTTCAAAGGATAGAAAGCATCTAAAAGTTTAGGCTCAAGATCAATCTTTACAGATTGATATTTTCAGTTTTTAATCGACTGGACTGCAGATGTTTTTTCTTTTAACAAACTGGAATTTTCAAACAGATTATCTGTATTTAAATGTATAGACCTTGATATTTTTCCAATACTATTTTTTAAAAAATTGTATGATTTACATATGAACCTCAGTTCTGAAATTCATTACATATCTGTCTCATTCTGCCTTTTATACTGTCTAAAAAAGCAAAGTTTTAAAGTGCAATTTTAAAACTGTAAATTACATCTGAAGGCTATATATCCTTTAATCACATTTTATATTTTTTCTTCACAATTCTAACCTTTGAAAATATTATAACTGGATATTTCTTCAAACAGATGTCCTGGATGATGGTCCATAAGAATAATGAAGAAGTAGTTAAAAATGTATGGACAGTTTTTCCGGCAAAATTTGTAGCTTATGTCTTGGCTAAATAGTCAAGGGGTAATATGGGCCTGTTGTTTAGTGTCTCCTTCCTAAAGAGCACTTTTGTATTGTAATTTATTTTTTATTATGCTTTAAACACTATGTAAATAAACCTTTAGTAATAAAGAATTATCAGTTATATAATTTGTGTATATACATATCTAGAAGTTCTACATTGCAGGAAAAACAGATGGATATATATTTAATCTTTACCAAAAAGTTTTCTTAGTAGAGACAACCTGCAAGTCAATAATGGATACAGTTAGTTTCTAATGGGTAAACAGAAGTATACGGATTTCCACAGAATTTTCACACTGTTTTGGATAGCTGGGAATTGGGCATAACAACACTACTTAGTTTGAGGGCTCTTTCAAAGAAAAGTATCAAAGATTCTATTTAGTACTTTGCATTACACTTTTAATAGGGAAAACTACTGGCTTTCAAGTCTAGTAAAGGAATGGAAATTGAAAAATGGAAACTTATTAATTCTTCCCCAAAGCGAAAGCATACTTTTATTCTCCTCCTGCTTTCATTGACATGTGGCAATTTCCAGGGAAGAGGCTTACTGATTATTAAAGCAGTGTACTTATTGTACCATCTCTTTTTCAGAAGTATGTGACGCCATCTCACTTCAAGTACTGTGATAACATAACTTTCTTACTTTTCCAACCAAAGACACAGAAATCCCAGTTCCTCTTTTCCTCTAATACAGGCTGTAATGATTTGATCATCATTGCCACCGCCAAAAGTAATTTAATAAACACCCAATTTTGGAGGCTGCAATACTTACACTAAAAAGGACACCAACCAATGAGGCTTGTGGCACATATCACTACAAGCACCTAATATATATTTATCTATACTGTATGATCTCCCAGGTGTTTCTGAACTCTAAATTTACAGTAGTGTATTCTGAGAACCTTCAACTAAATCTCGAGACGTAAAAACGATGTCTGACATGCAGTCAGAGCATCAAAATTATTTAGTTCTGCAGAATTCCATAAAAACAAAATTGTAATTATTCCAAGTCCGTAGCCTACTTCATTTTCAAGCAAAAGAGAGCATTTAGCTCCCGCCTGAAAGTTAATAAATCTCTGGTCAGTGAAACCAGGTGTGGTTCTGGAAAGAAGCCAGGTTCCTATGGTAACTTCGGATCGCCATTTAAGTTGTCTCTCGGCCTCCTGCTCTGACGTCACTTCCGGTGTTACCTGTGTCGTTACCGGGAGCTGTAAACAAGGTGTGCAAGCATCTGAAGAGCTGCCGGGATGCAGCAGAGAGGAGCAGCTGGAAGCCGTGGCTGCGCTCTCTTCCCTCTGCTGGGCGTCCTGTTCTTCCAGGGTGAGTGCTCCGGCTGGCTACGCTCCACTTCCGGCCGGGGGGTTAGGGAAGATGGTCGCTTTTCCGGTTCCGGGTAGGGGGGTCTCCAGAAAGCCCCCGCATAGCTCTGGGAAGGAAGGAGGGAGGGAGCGGGACGTTGGGACGATGTCATCACCACCCCGTTGAGGATAGTTGGTATTTTGTCAGTCCTTTCCTGAGCTTTGGGAGCTTTTTCACCTTGCGTGACCTGTCATTGTAGTTTGGTGATAGCATACTTGATGGAACCACAAAGAGCTCTGGCTTTGGGGGCACCCGGTGTTATTTTGTGGTGTTATTATCAGTGGTTGACCGCTGTCGTTTGGGCGCTGTATACCCTGATTAGAAAGAAAACAGTTCTAGCATTCAGTAGTTTGCCCCAGTAGTTTTGGGAAACAAAATCATGACAGTTGGTAATTTTATTTTTTGTAGGTGATTATTGTAGTCTATAAAATGAAATATTTGCTAGTCACAGAAGGGATGTGATGTGATTCGTTATAGAGAAGCATATCGATGAAAAAGTAACTGCTTTAGCATTTTCATAACTTTTTTTAATACAAGAAAGAGCATATAAATTCTGTTAAAATTTATTAAGTAATATCAGAAGTAGGGTATTCACACTGACATTCACATCTTAAAATTAGGTGAGTTTTGCTTTCATATAATTTTCAAATTGCATAAATTTCAATCCAGCCTAATTACCTTCATCTTAAGGTACAATTATTTCCTGGATTTTGTGTATGTGTGTCTTCCTGGGAAATAAAATATTAGTATATCTAGTATTAGAGTGAATTGCTAAATTTATAAAATTTCCTTGAGGGTAATGGGGATTTCTGAAAGAGATATTTAATATTATATAAATATAAATAGTTTAATATAAAGACTTCAGATGTCCTAAATCTTAGCAGTTAAGGCTGGAAAGTTTTTAACTGGTGACTAATATTCATGTTGCCAGCACACCCCCGATCCCTCCCAGCTGCCTGTGTCATCATAAGTCTCCAGTTTTTAAGCTAAATTACTTTGCAGTATGATATTTAGGCTGGCCTACTGTCACTCCTAATAAACCCAGTCCTCTCTCTCTCTCTTTCACACACACACACACACACACACACACACACACACACACACGAGAAATATTCAAATATTGTCTTATTGAGAAAAAAAATCTGGAAATGGTGTTTTCTTAAATCTAATGTCATTTTGCTTTGAAGAGCATCTGTCAAGTCCAGCAGACCATATAATTCAATCAAACATTTAAAGTTGATTTTACAATCTCTATGTACTTGTGGAATAGATTTTTTGCCTTTTAAAAAATAACTGGTGGCAGGGTGTGGTGGTTCTTGCCTGTAATCCCAGCACTTTGGGAGACCGAGGCAGCTGGATCACCTGAGGTCAGGAGTTCGAGACCAGGCTGACCAACATAGTGAAACTCCGTCTCTACTAAAAAATACAAAAAAAATTAGCCAGGCGTGGTGGCGGGCGCCTGTAATCCCAGCTACTCGGGAGGCTGAGACAGGAGAATCGCTTGAACCCAGGAGGCAGAGGTTGCAGTGAGCTGAGATCTCGCCATTGCACTCTAGCCTGGGCGACAAGAGAGAAACTCCGTCTCAAAAAACAAAAACAAAAACAAACAAAAAAGAAACAACTGGTTTATCATATTATTCACATGCCATACAATTTACTGTCTTAAAGGGCATAATTGAATGGTTTTTAGTATATTCACAGTTATGCAATAATTACCACTATCAATTTTAGAACATTTTCATCACCCCAAAGAGAAACTTGATACCCATTAACAATCACTCCTCACTCTCCATTTCCCTTAGCCCCTGGCAACCACCAGTCTATTTTTTTGTATCTATTGATTTGCCTATTCTGGACATTTCATATAAATAGAATAATATCTGTAATCCTAGCACTTTGGGAGGCCGAGGTGGGTGGATCATTTGAGGTCAGAAGTTTGAGACCAGCCTGGCCAACGTGGTAAAACCCTATCTCTACCAAAAAATACAAAAAAAAAAAAAAAAAAAAAAAAAAATTAGCCAGGTGTGGTGACATGCCCCTGTTATCCCAGATTCTTGAGAGGCTGAGGCAGAAGAATCACTTGAACCTGGGAGGTCGGAGTTGCAGTGATCTGGGATTGCACCACTGCACTTCAGCCTGAGCGATGGAATGAGATCCTGCCTCAATAAATAAATAAATAAATAAATAAAAATAAAGTAAATGGAATTACACAATATGTGCTTTTGGTGACTGGCTTTTTTCACTTTGCATGTTTTCAAGGTTCATCCATTTGTTTGGTGTTTTAAATCTTATGTGGTTGAGTTTGGTTTCATGTCAGTGTTTATTTGCCTTTTGTTTTCAAAGATAAGACCACTTAAATTATTAGATTATTTGAATTCTCCTTAAGTTATAAGTCTGGTCCTGCTATATCAGTTATCTAAGTATTTAGAAATGGTAGACTAGGGGACCTAGGTTTCTTAAACTTTTCTCTCTTTTACTTAGGTGTGCAATATGAATAAAATATCAGTAGATTTGTATTTTAGAAAATGGGGCATACAAGATTGGGGGCTTTATTGACACATTTAATTCTTTCATGTGTAAAATTACTTATGTGAAAATGTGATTTTCTTGTTTTTTCCCCAGACTAAAAAGTTTTTGTTAATTATTATGAGTATTTCTATAGTTGGCTGTTTTTACCTGGCAAGAATGCTTTTCTGCTCAGATGAAGAGATAAAGGCATTAGGCCTGGGATGGACATTTCTGAGTGAATTAATGTTGGATTGGTATTTTTTTTATGAGTGGAAGAGACAAACTGTCTTACATCCATTGGTTTTAAAACATTTTTTAATTTCAGTATATATATGTAGAGAAAAGTACACATGTCATAAGCCTATACAGCTCAATGAATTTTAAGAAACTGAACACACATGGGTAACTAGCACCCAAATCAGGATATATAAAATGTTCCTTGCATTCCAAAAGCCTTCTTTTGTGCTTCTTTCCAGTCATTATCCTTTCTCCCCAAAAAGGAGTCAACACCCTGATGTCTAACAGTATAGAATAGTTTAGTTCATCCATGGATGCAGTGAGCCAAGATCACGCCACTGCACTCCAGCCTGGGTGACAGAGTGAGACTCTGTCTCAAAAAACAAACAAACAAAAAACAAACCGAAAATATTAGTCTGTAAAGATTGATCTTGAGCCTAAACTTTTAGATGTTTTCTATCCTTTGAACAAATGCTTCTGTATCTTAAGCTTGGAAGGACACTGGGAAACTAAACACTTTTAAAAGGCACTTTTCTTTCAATAGCCCACTTATAAAGTTTGCTTTATCTACCAGTACGGGGGAAAAAAAGAATAAAGTTGGTTTTATTCCATTTAAAGTAGTTTTGGTATTTCTTTGCTCCATACCAAAGTCTTCCTCCCCCAAAATAAACAAGTGAATTAGAACCAAAAAAAATCAAGAAAAAGAAAAAAGTTAATAATTTCTTCTAGTTCTCAGAGTTTTATATAAGACTGTACAAAATTATCGTCATTTAGAATTTTTTTTTTCACCAGCCCTGAATTTTAGTTCATCCATGGATAAACTATTACTTTTCTTATTTTTCTTTAACTATACAATTAAGACCCCACATATCCAGTATTTAGATTTCAACAAAATGACTTTAAATGTTTATAACTTTTTGGCAAAATCATGCTCATAAATATGGAGTTCAGATATATTAACAAGGGAAAAATTGGTAGGTAGGTGGGTTTATTGATGGCGTACTTACTATAATTTAGCAAACAGAATTTGGTTTAGTAACCAAAATTTACTATAATTTAGTAACCAGAATGTGTAATTTTAATGCTTATTTTGTAATAATTTTTGTTTTATAAAAAGGAAACTGGGCTGGGCACGGTGGCTCACGCCTGTAATCCCAGCACTTTGGGAGGCCGAGGCGGGTGGATCACGAGGTCAGGAGTTCAAGACCATCCTGGCCAATATGGTGAAACCCTGTCTCTACTAAAAATACAGAAGAATCATTTGAACCCGGGAGGTGGAGGATGCAGTGAGCCAAGATCGCGCCACTGCACTGCAGCCTGGGCAACAGAGTGAGACTCCATCTCAAAAAAAAAAAAAAAAAAAAAAAGAGGAAACTGTTGGTTTGGTCTAGTTGAATAAATATTACTATACTAAACATCCACAATATGCTAGGCTCTGTTTTGGTGGGATCAGGATCTATTGGAGAAGACATAAGTCAACAGATGATTTTAGAGTCTGATACTAAGAGGGAAATGCATTAGAAACCATGAGGATGGAGAGAGATGCTTTGATCTGGCATGAGAATAAAGGAAAGATTTCCTGGAGATGAAGTTAAATCTTGAAAGAGGAATAAGTTTGTTAGAGATAGGGAGTGAAGAAAATATTAGACATAGAGAGGTGCATAAACCGGGCATGGTGGCTCATGACTGTAATCTCAGCACTTTGGGAGGCCAAGATGGGAGGATCACTTGAGCCAAGGAATTCAAGACCAGCCTGGGCAACAATAGTGAGACCCCATCTCAAAAAAAACAAAAAATAAACAAGGCGGGTGTGGGGTGGGGGGCATTAAATAACTTTCCAAGCAGGTTTTCTGAAACTCGCTTTGATTGGATTAGCTTAGATCACATATTGACCTATCTTTATGATTGGGAGGATGTGATTGGCTCTCAAAAGCCAATTAAGTATTAATACACCTCTTCCTATGTCAGCATTAGGGACTTAACCTGTGTAGCTTGAAATTGACCATGGTAGGAGTATTTGCACCACAGAAATTGTCCAACCCTATGTATGTGGACCTTTTATTTTTTGTAAAAATGTTCTGCTGTTTACCAGGACACCACTAGATGTAATGATTGGTTTAGGTAAATCTGAGTCAGCCTCAGCTGGCAGTAAAGTCAGTTGCTGTTTACTTTTAGTTTTCTCCCCTCCCACCAGACTCATTCTTTTCTCTACTCTACTCTTTGGAAAGCTAACTGTATAAAGTACATCATTCAGGCTCTCTTCCTCTGGTTTCCAGTTATATTTGGCCAACGGGAGGCATTGGCAGGAGATTGGAGGGCAGGAGAGAGATCAGGATATTTATTTCCTGCTCCCTCCCTCTCTTGGTGCCATGATCTGTAGTACCTGTATCCCTCTAACAACAGCCCCTGTCAGGTTGCCCACAGCTCCCACTCTTACCAGGATCTAGTAACACCATTTCCTCCCTTTGCCCTTCAGACCTGGGGATGGTAAAAGCTTTGTGCTGCTGTCAGCTTCCTTAACCTTGGGAAAAGTCCCTTCGAAAAGTGGCCTAGGCTAAGCATGGTGGCTCACGCCTGTAATCCCAGCACTTTGAGAGGTTGAGATGGGAGGATTGCCTGAGTTCAGGAGTTTGAGTCCAGACTAGGCAACATAGGGAAACCCCGTCTCTACCAAAAATACAAAAAATTAGCCAGGTGTGGTGGCACACGCCTGTGGTCTCAGCTATTTGGGAGGCTGAGATGGGAGGATCACTTGAACCTGGGAGGCAGAGGTTGCAATGAACTGAGATCGCGCCACTGCACTGTAGCCTGAGCAACAGAGTGATGCCCTGTCTCAAAAAAAAAAAAAAAAAGAAAAGAAAAAAAGAAAAGAAAAGTGGCCCATACACTTTTCACAATCTCAGCTGATTGTGCCTTCCATTGCCTGCCTGGATCCTGACTGATAGTGTCATTTCCTCCTAGCTCATAGGCTGTGTGGGAAAAGGTAGGTATCAAAAAAAAAAAGGGTATTATTAGGAGATCAGGGGAAATGGATGTTGAGCTGGCAACAAACAAATGTTTACCGCATTCGATTTGAGGTCCTGTGGGGGTGATATTCAAGAGAGTATATCCGGTAACACTTGAACACTCAGAGGCAGATCATGGCTAGTAATATAGATTGGGAAATCATTATCCTGTTAGTGGTTGTTAAATCTACAAGTGAATAGGATTGTCCAAGGAAAACATGTTGAATGACTGTATATTCAGGCTGGAGCTCTGAGGAACACCAGTGTTTAAAGAATGGTTAAGAAAAGAATAGCATTAGATATTTGATACATACTGTCAGAGATGTGGGGAGACAGAGATAGAGTGAGTATGTGTGTGTGTATGTGTAACACAGTCAGTGGTGGAGTTGGTTGGAGGGAAACTAAAGAGATTCTAATCTTAAATTGTAACCCATATCTCTTTGTTCTAAACCAAGGGTTGACAAACATTTTCTGTAAAGGGCCAGAGAGTATTTTAGACTTTGTGGGCTACATGGTCTCTGGGGGCAACTATTCAATTCTGCAAAAAATGCAGCCACAGATAATACATCAACAAATGAACATGGCTGTGTTCTAATAAAACTTTGTTTTAAAAGACATTGTAAATGTTTTTTAGCTGTTTACCAAAAGACCACTGGATGTCATAATTGATTTAGGCCAATCTGGTCACACCCAGAGCTAGCGGCAAGGTCAGTTGCTAGTTGTTTTTAGTTTGTTCCCTTTCCACTAGATCCATTTGCTTCCATTTAGCTCATGGGCCATAATTTGCTCACCTTTGCCCTAAACCAACTGCTCCCTTGACATTATCCCTTGGGTATCTCAGAAGCACCTTAAATGCATCCAGAATCAAACTCCTGTTCCCCTGCCAAGCCTAGTACTTTTCTAGTCTTCCTGTCTCAGTGAATGACATCAGCAAGTCGGAAACCTGACAGTCATCCTTGATACCTCCCTTTCCCTAACATTCCACAGCCATACTTAGTTCAAACTTCCCTTCTTTCTTAATGGACTATCGTAGTAGCCTCCTCAGTAATTTCCCCATATTCACTCATTCACTTTTTCTTTTTTTTCTTTAAGAGATGAAGTCTTGCTCTATTGCCCAAGCTGGAGTGCAGTGGTGCGATCTTGGCTCACCGCAACCTCTGCCTCCCACCACCACGCCTGGCTAATTTTTCATTTTTAGTAGAGACGGGGTTTCGCCATGTTGGCCAGGCTGGTCTCGAACTCCTGACCTCAGGTGATCCACCCACCTCTGCCTGCCAACATGCTGAATTTACCCATATTCACTCTTGATTCCTTGTAAGTGTCTTCTCTAAAGTGATCTTTTTTTTCTTCTTTTTTTGAGATGGAGTCTTGCTTTGTTGCCCAGGCTGGAGTGTAGTGGTGCGATTTCGGCTCACGGCAAGCTCTGCCTCCCAGGTTCATGCCATTATCCTGCCTCAGCCTCCTGAGTAGCTGGGATTACAGGCACCTGCCACCACGCCCCACTAATTTTTTGTATTTTTAGTAGAGACGGGGTTTCACCGTGTTAGCCAGGATGGTCTCGATCTCCTGAACTCGTGATCCACCCGCCTCGGCCTCCCAAAGTGCTGGGATTACAGGCGTGAGCCACCGCGCCCAGCCTAAAGTGATCTTTTAAGAATGCAGATTTCATCAGGTCTCTTCTTGCCCAGTCCCACAGTTAAGTACTTTCCATGGCTTCCTATTACACTAAGGATGAGGACCCAAATCTGTAAGGTCCTGCCTGGTCTGTTTTTTGTTTACCTCCCAGCCACATCTCATTCTATTTTCTCTCCCTTTCGTGTTTTTTTGTGTTGCAGTCATACTCCTTTTCAGCTCCTTGACTGACTGAGCTCCTTCCTGGTGCAGGACCTTTGCATGTGCTGTGTCTTCTGCCTAGAATGCCCTCCCTCTCCTCACCTTGTTACCTTTTTCTTCAGATCTTAGCTCAAGAGTAACTTCCAGGGAAGCTTTCATTAACCACTCTCCTCTCCCCCATCATAACAGGGGCCGTACCCATAGCCACTTTCTTTTTCCTTCCTTCATAGTAGTTATCCAAGTTTGTTAATTATGCATTTGTCTTTATGATTACTTAATTAATGTATCAAACTTCTGCTGTATTTCAAGTATACAAGGGAGTGTATTTATTTTGCTTGCATTTAATTCCAAACCCAGAGGATGGCACAAAAGAGATGCTCAAGAAATGTATGTTTGAAGAATGAGTGAATGAATGAGAGCATTGTCATGCAAGCTTTGGGATAGAGAAGTTCAAGGAGCAAAGAGTCACTGGTAGAGGACCCAGTAAAATAAGTATAGAAAAGTGTCTACTGGGGTTTTTATCCCTCGGATTTTACAATTTTAAGATATATGATGCCTTTTACCAGAAGTGGTAGTGGAGTTCAGTTGTACCATAAGGTCCATAAGTGAATGGGAAGAAGGAAATGGAGACCTCAAGTGTAGACCACTCTTTCACAAACTTGGCTTAGAAAGGAGAGAAAGGGCAGTAGTTGGTAACTAGAGTAATATTACAGCGTTAAAGAAAGATTTTTTAAAATTGCTATTTGTTTTTAAGGATGGGAGAAACCTGTGTATTTAGAGGCTGAAGGGGAGGGGTTGAAGGCAGTAGAAAGGTTTTTTTTTTTTTTTGAGACAGAGTCTCGTTCAGTCACCCAGGCTGGAGTACAGTGGTGTGATCTCAGCTCACTGCAACCTCTGCTTCCCAGGTTCAAGTGATTCTCCTGCCTCAGCCTCCTGAGTAGCTGGGACTACAGGCATGTGGCACCATGCCTGGCTAATTTCTTTTGTATTTTCAGTAGAGACAGGGTTTTGCCATGTTGCCCCGGCTGCTCTTGAACTCCTGGCCTCATGTGATCCCCCTGCCTCGGCCTCCCAAAGTGCTGGGATTATAGGCATGAGCCACCACGCCTGGCCTAGAGAGGTTTTTCTGCTAAAGCAGGGAATGGAGGGGATGAATCCAGGCAGAGCAGAGGACCTGGCCTCGCATAGGAAAAGGGACACCACATCCTTTCAGGTTGGAAGTAAGGATGGGAGCAGATGCAGGAATGTGTGTGCCTGGGCCGTTTATATGGCCTCGAGTTTCATGACGATGTAAGAGGTAACATTTTCTTCTGAGAATGAGGGGTTTGGAGGTTGCATGGAGGACTAAGGGAGAATGACAAGGGCTTGAGGAATCATGGAATGGGAAGCTAAGCAAGGCCAGTTAAACGTTTGCCAGGCCTCGTTGAGGACTCAGCTGTGGGAGATATTCACGCATTTCTTATGGTAATTGTCCAGTCGTGTGATTTTTCTTGTTCACAACTAGCCTAGTCTGGTCGTCTAGAGCTGAGCTTTTTCTGAAAGGGTGCAATGGAAAGATAGGAGTGTAGGGGAGTTAAGAGTATTGCATGTACTATAAAAAAGGTGATAGGAATAAAGTGGGTGATTTACAAGCATGCTTTGTTCCTATACTAGAATTTCTGGTGACCTGTCCACCTGTTTCTCTCAGTGTCCCTCTGCCTGCTCCCCTCCCTCTGAATTTTTGCCCTGAAGGTGCTGACATTTAATAGAGGAATAGCCTTTGTAACTAGGTGCAATCGATGGCATCTGTGCCTGTGCAGGATTATGTACCTAGTGTTAGGAGGAGAAAGGGCGATGAACCGCATCAGGGAATTTGGGAAGGCACCGCAAAGGGGGCCGATATTTGAGCTGGAATTTGAAGGTGTGTGAATGTTGGGATATGGTGTGGTGGGGAACAACCCAGGCAGGATTATTAGAGGTGGGGAGAGCCTTTCAGACAGAGACCTGTTCAAAGAAAGGCTCAGTGGCATGAAAGGACACAGTACATGTGGGACATGGCAGGACATTCAAGTAATGATGAAGGGATTGGGAAGGTAGATGGGATGCAGTGACAGAAGTTTAGGGCTAGATTGCCACTCTCTGAATTTTATTTTGTAGTCCAATAGGAAATTACTGAAAGTTTTTGAATATGTGTGGTGTTCATTTTAATAATAATAGCTAATGTTTATTAAAGTTATTATTCCAGATGCTGTGCCAAGCGTTTCATGTTGTGAAATGAACAACATGATCAAAATGAAAAATTTTCTTTTTTGATTGTAGTGGCTCTTCAGAGTGATCCAGTGAAGTAGATCTTGTTATTATTCCCATTTTCCAAGTGAAGACATTGAAGCTTGAACTGGTTAGGTAACCGAGATCACGGTCTCACAACCAGAAAGTAGCTGAGCTAGAACTCAAGTCCAGCTTTGGCTAATTCTAAATCTGTATTTCAAATCTCAATATTATACTTATGTTTTAGGATAAAGGAATGGACATGGGGAGAGTGTAGATTGTCCATTCATTTCCACCTTCCAGTTTTTAGAGCTAGATCTTGAGTGATGAATAAGGATTTTCTTACAGTGATGGGTCAGGATTGAGGGCCTAAGAAAGTGGGGACTGAGGGATAAAAGCTTTCCAGCAGAGGGACAGCATTTGCAAAGGCACAGAAGGCAGGACAGGTTTAGCATGGCAAAGTCGGAAAGGGTGCCATAGGCAGACCAGAAGTAATCTTCATCTTTGGGAGGGTCAGATTCTTATGAGTTCTTATTAGTGGGTTCAGTTTTGGTCTCCTCCTTTTAAAAGGAATGTCAACAGACTGGATTGTCTAGAGAGGAGCAAGAAAAATGATTCAAAGCTGGCAGAGGTAGAGGCAGTGGAACTGATGACTCATAACTGTGACAGGAAAGGTTGAGAGTGTGTGGGCAGGACTGAAGAGGTGGCAATAATGACAATGACACTGTCTAACACGCACTGAGCACTTACTCTGGTTCGGGTAGGCTTCTTAGTGTTGTATGTGTTTTAACTCTTTTAATCCTCACAGTGGCCTTCTGAGGTAAGTACTGTTATTATCATTCCCATGAGGCTGAGAAGACTGAAGAAGTACGGTAACTTACTAAGGCTGCAGAGCCAGCAGGTGACAGGGCCGGGATTTGAACCCAGACCCTCTGGTGTAGGAGCCGTGGCCTGCGTGCTCAATCACAACACCATTCTGCCTGTACCAGAAGCACTGCCGATTTTCAGGACAGCGTGTGGGTTTGCACTTTTCTGAAATCTTGCTGCTCTGTTTATCTTGGCCAGCAGAAGATTCATGGCTTCTTGAGGTAGATAAGGAAGCAGGAAGAACAAAGTACTGGCAATGTCATTTCCTAAAATATGCCCCTGTAGGGAAAGATAAGTTTTTGTTCTCTGAAAGCAGAAGGAACTGGTTAGAACAAAGTGCCAGCCCTTTTCAGAGAGATGAAGTGTCAGAGTTGGATAAATGAGTGGTTTTGGAAGACGTAAGTCTCTAGTGGGTTTTAAAATGGTACCTTATTTTTACTTGCTAGAATGCATTTACCTATTCTGTTTTCTTCTCCATGATTTACTTTTAATGGATGTGTGATTCCTCAGCCAGCTTTAAGAAAAAGGGAAAAACTAGATAGTACCTTGGGGGCAGTTTTAGAAAATTATTTGAAATAAATTCTCCCATTCTTACTTCCTATTCTCATTTTGCTGTTGATGAGGCAATGGTAGCTTCATGATGCAACCATGCTATACTTGGGGTAAGTCCCTTAGACCACAAAAGCTGCCATATTCCCAGAGTGTGTGTGTGTGTGTGTGTGTGTGTGTGTGTGTGTGTGTGTGTGTGTGTGTCTGCGGGGGATGGAAGGGGATGGGTGATGTTGCCTTTTAGCCAGCCATGGGCAGACCCATTGTTTGTACTTAATTGAACCACAAGCCTGTATTCGGGAAAACGCTGGTGTGACCAGATTTTAAATTTTTACACAAGCATTCAGTTGTGATTTAAGATTAGAAAATGATTGAAAAATGCTATCTTTGATTAATGCAGATATCAACTCCTTGTCCCTTGTGGGCTTGCCTGAGAAGATAGTTGTTAATATTTATTGCTCTGGCTTTTTGATGAGGGCTCTAAAAATAATTGTTCACTCACATCTGTATATTCCACCCACATGAATGCATTTTAAGTGTTTGGGTTTGCTTTGATTAGGTGTTTATATCGTCTTTTCCTTGGAGATTCGTGCAGATGCCCATGTCCGAGGTTATGTTGGAGAAAAGATCAAGTTGAAATGCACTTTCAAGTCAACTTCAGATGTCACTGACAAACTTACTATAGACTGGACATATCGCCCTCCCAGCAGCAGCCACACAGTATCAGTAAGTGTGTACTTTTTCGGAATGTTCCTTTGGTCAACAGTTTTGGAATTGTTTTACTGCAAATCATAGGCATGCCTGAGGCCATCTCATCTTAGAGTAGAAGATGGGCTTCTACTTTAATAGAGATAGATGAACTTTTATCCTATATGACATTCATTTGGTCACGCAGGGCCCCACGTAAGAATTCTGTAAATAAGCTGCAGGAAAAAAGCTGTCAGAAACTCAGAGGAAATGTGGTTTAATTTTGTTTCCTCTTTGTTGTTTCTTTTTGCATTATTTCATAGCTTCATTTTCAGATTTAATGTACTAAAAAGGGTACCTTCAGGACTATTGAATAGAAAAATTCTATGGGTCCAGTCATGGACATCCTTTCTCTTAAGGCTGCTCATTTTCTGTCATATTAAGTTGTCTCAATGGGTGTATCTGTTTGCATATTTGCGCTTTGTGGAGTTATCTTGGCACTTTCTCCCAGTGTATAAACATCTGCATTGATTTATATGGCTGCCTTTGAAGGAAATGGTGGCACCTCGTGTTGGTGACAGATGTTGGTGACAGATGGTCTTGCAATATTGGAAGCAATATACCTTATTGAGGTATATTAGTCACACATATAAAACACATTTATGGTCCAAGTTTCATTGTAGGTGTCTAATTGAAGATTAAAATGCTATAAAATTTTTTTCTCTTTAAGCTTCCAGCAGTATCCTTAGCTCAGGATAGATGTTATTCAAGAATGTGAATGTCATAGCTGTATGGAAGATTGTATTTTTTAAAGTATTGTTAATTTATTTATCCCATTTCCTTCACTGGAAAAATGTCCTCTTTGACTTTCATGTATAAATAAGCTTTGCATTCTGTGTTAGGAGCCATTATAGAATGCCACATAGCTTGAGGCTAGGTAGGGGACTCCAGTGAAAGAAGCTAGGCTGTATTCATGCTCCCCTCCCACTTTTTTTTCAGACTTGAAATAGTTCACTTGATTCTGAGTGGTCAGGAAACTGTGGCTGGCCTTATTTGGCTCTGCCTCCTTGGTAAAAAGTAGGACAGAGCAAGCAATGGGGAGCTTCCTGGGTCAGAAACAGCAGCTCTCTCCTAGTGCTGCTCTCTGCAAGGCTGGTCAGAAAATCAACAAACTCATACAAGTTGGAATTAAAGTTACATAACATGATGTTGCAGTCATGGGGTTAGTCAATCAGGATTGTGTCAGATTAATCAATTTGCAAGGGATATGAGTTTCATGAACTTAACATTGAATTCATGGGCTAGACTAATCTCGAGGATACACAGTGGGCCGTGTTTTGTCAATAAGGAGTTTCAAACTCTTTTACACTGATGCTGATAATTAGTGGTAGGGATTCTTTACCTCCCCCTTTGAAATGTTCAACACACTTATTATTTCTCATTATCTGTCTTTATCACTAAAATGTAAGTTCCGTGAGAGTAGGGACTATGCCTGCGTGGCTCCCACCATATCCTTTTGCTTAACAATGCCTAGCACATTAGAGATCTGCACCAAATATTTGTTGAATAAATGCATGAACAAATGAATGAATAAGTGAGTCAGCATCTTTTCTGGGAAGTTGCTTTTCAAAATTGGGCAATTCAGTGGTTGTAAACACCCAGGTTCCTAAATGGGAAGGTACCAAGTAACAAAGAAAGAGGAAAGCCTGTATTTTGCATAAGCCATATTGCATAAGTCATATTATATTGTAATACCTGCCTGGCCTGCCCCAGGTATAATTAGGCTTTTGGTGATGAAGTGTCTAATCAAGGCT
The DNA here is from genome assembly GCF_000001405.40 of Homo sapiens. NCBI lineage: Eukaryota > Metazoa > Chordata > Mammalia > Primates > Hominidae > Homo > Homo sapiens. The sequence continues at coordinate 118,238,435 of NC_000011.10, read as the reverse complement.
TTTGATAAGTGTCTGATAATTAGGCTTTTGGTGATGAAGTGTCTGATCAAGTCCTAGGCAGCATTATTTTAATTCAACATATATTCACTGAGTACTTATCAGGTATTAGACTTAGGGATTATATTAATTGTCAAGATAGATAACTTGAGAGAGGCTGAATTATATTACAACCTCCTTGTGATTTTGAGAATAAGCAAAAATCTCCCTTTTGTCACTTACTAGTTGTATACCGTAGAGCAACTCACTTAGTCTTTTGTTTGGCTTTGTTTTCTTTCTTTCCTTTTTTTTCTTTTTTTTTTGAGGCGGAGTCTAGCTCCGTTGCCGAGGCTGGAGTGCAGTGGCACAATCTCGGCTCACTGCAATCTCCGCCTCCTGGGTTCAAGCAATTTTCCTGTCTCAGCCTCCCAAGTAGCTGGGATTATAGGTGTATGCCACCACACCTGGCTAATTTTTGTATTTTTAGTAGAGATGGGGTTTCACTATGTTGGCCAGGCTGGTCCTGAACTCCTGAGTTCAAGTAATGTGCTCACCTCGGCCTCCCAAAGTGCTGGGATTACAGGCGTGAGCCACCATGACCAGCCTGTTTCCCTTTTTATACATTTGGAATAATTATACCTGCCTCATGTAGTTCAGTGTAGTCATGAGGCTCAAGTGAGTAAATGTGTGGAAATTATTTGCAAACTATAGAGTGCTATTCAAATACGAGATGCTACTTTAGAACAAAGTTTCCCAACTTTGGCACTGTTGACATTTTGAGCCAGATAATTCTTTGCTGTGGGTGCTGTCCTGTGCATGGTAGGATGTTTAGTAGCATTCCCGGCCCCTACCCACTAGATGCCGGTAGCATCTCCCCAGTTGTGACAATCAAAAATGTCTTCAGATATTGCCAATATCTCTTGGAGGGTGAAATTGCCTCTGGTTGAGAACTATTATTTTAGGGTTCCAGGGAGAATTTAGAAGAGATTCAAGGGTTAGGATCCCAGAAGTCTCTCATCGGGCCTTTTTCTGATCAGTTTTATTAACCTATAGGATGGAGGTTAAAAAAGCATAAAAAGTTGCCCAACTGAAAAAAAACACACCATTATACAGTTGTATTTTATTTTGGACCTACTGAGCTTTATATTTTCATTGCATTTTCCAAGTTAACCTTTTCTCTCATGGTGTTGCTTTCTTAGATATTTCATTATCAGTCTTTCCAGTACCCAACCACAGCAGGCACATTTCGGGATCGGATTTCCTGGGTTGGAAATGTATACAAAGGGGATGCATCTATAAGTATAAGCAACCCTACCATAAAGGACAATGGGACATTCAGCTGTGCTGTGAAGAATCCCCCAGATGTGCATCATAATATTCCCATGACAGAGCTAACAGTCACAGAAAGGGGTAAGCTCATTGCCACCAACCTTCTTCTGCAGTGCTCTGTGACTGCTGTGGTGCTTTCTGGAGAGCTCGATGATAAACAAAGCTGTCTATCTTTGTAAGCCAGTTGGGTCATTAAATCATTGAATCGAAGTAATTTTTCTGCCATCCCAATATGTATGTTGGGGTGAATTTTTAATCTTTATTTTGAAAACTGAATTTTCTCTCCAAATTTTGTCATAGTTTCTCCATTACCCTTTTTTTAATTTTAACTTTAGGTGACCAAAGTTCTTGTGGAATGCACGGAAAACCCCTGAGTAAATATAGGGTTGTTATCTCTGTGAAATAGAAGTCATTCCAGTTTTCCTAGCATGTTCATACTCCCAGTTATGGCATAGTGTTCTTGCCTGTGTCTTGAAAGGGTACCCCCTCTAACGTTGAGAGGTAGTGCTTTTCTTTTATGCTGCAAAGAACAGTAGTTTCCCTTTAGTGTGAAACAGGAGAAGAGTAGATTAAGGACTGATTTTTTTTTCTATGTTATTCCCTGATGACGATTAAGTGGTCATGCTAGTCCTTAATTGGATTTGAGCTAAAGATTTAGAGGTACATTATGGGTCATTATAGATTCGTCATCATTTCTCAAGTCTTTCTCAAGTTTCTCTCCCTTGCTCTTTTCCTCCTTCTCTCCCTCCCTTCCTTCCTTCTTCCTTCTCATCTTCCCTTCCTTTCTCCTTCCCTTCCTCTCTCCCTGTCTCATTTCTTCCTTCTCTTTCTCTTTCTTGCTTTCTGTCTCTCTCTTTCTTTTTTCTTTTAAAGGTAATAACTTGTAGGTTTCAAAGATGAGCACATTCATACTGCTGGCAGAAGAATAAAATGATACAGTTTTGCTGGAAGGCAGTTTGGTAGTATGAATCAGTGCCTTAAAAATATAGGCCCTTTGATCTAGTAATTCCATTGTAAATTTCATCTTAAGGAATTAGAGCTAAAGATGAAGATTTATGTACAAGCCTGGCTATCCTAATGTGACTTGTAGATTCTAAGAATTCGAACCAACTTGAATGTCCAGCATTAGAGGATTAGTTCTATAAATTATTCAATGTGATAGAATGCTATGCAGCGATTACACATCACATCTGGAAGGAATTGTTAAATATTTATCATATTATAAGTAAAAAAGGAGGTTAAAATAATATATAATATATGATCCATACTTAAAAATATATATGCCCTCCTTGCACCCCATACCCGATACCCCTAGAAGAAGATTAAATGGGTAGATACCAAAGTGTTCTTCCTAGGTAGTGGGATTATCGGTACATTTTTATTCTTCATTGTACTTTTGTGTATTTTCTACCTTTCACACAATGATTTATTACTTTTGTAATCAGAAGAAATATAAGAGCAAAAGTAGAACCTAGTTGCTCATGTCGCAGGAGGCATATTTGCATGTCCCTGTCTTTTACCTTCTCTTTCTCCGCCTCTAGGTTTTGGCACCATGCTTTCCTCTGTGGCCCTTCTTTCCATCCTTGTCTTTGTGCCCTCAGCCGTGGTGGTTGCTCTGCTGCTGGTGAGAATGGGGAGGAAGGCTGCTGGGCTGAAGAAGAGGAGCAGGTCTGGCTATAAGAAGTCATCTATTGAGGTTTCCGATGAGTAAGTCCAGCAGGAGCCCTGGGCAGCAAGCCTGTTTCCTCCTTAGCGCTCTACCCAGACCCCCACATCCACACCTTCCTTTCTTCTGGACCGAGTTTAGTTCTGCTGGTGAACTTTCTTTTCAAAGAGAATAGTTCTGCTAAGGGGCGCCAAAAGGAAGGTTGAAAGTGATGTGTGTGAATATTAATTTGGAGAGAGATGGGGGAGTTGATATATGGTCCTAGTCTTCTGCTTTGGAAATCAGATTGTACAGTGCCATGGTCTGAATAAATTCTGAAGTCAATGTTTCATTCTTTCAATTCCAGGTCAATTATTTTTCCTTCACCTTGTATTTGGCACTGAGCTGATGATGTCTCCTGACAGAAAATGCCTGAGCAATGAGAGAGGCTTTAAGAATAGCTGTGGAGGGCAAAAGCGATTTGAATAAGCGAGATCTATTCTTGGTCCGCATATATTCTGAAGGGAGGGGCTACATGGATCGTGGTTATTAAAAAGATTTATTAAACATTATTCTGCCAGTAAGCAGGCATGATCTAGTAAATTCCCTAAAAATAAATGTAGTAAAAGGAAATCAAAACAAAAATCTACGTAAAACCCCTTTTCTCCATTATCTATGTCAGGGGAGGGGAGTCTTACATTGAGAAGGTCCAAAATTCAATCTCTCTCTGTGTGTGTGTGTGTATGTGTGTGTGTGTGTGCATTTATTTAATGATAAGAGAGCACCCTGTGCCATTTCCAAGGAATCTGTGGCTCAAAAAAGACAAAGAACTCTTGGTAAAAATGCTAATGTCTATTTCTAAGCATGGTATCCAAAACCCCTTATGATTTTACTCTAAGTCACATTGTTCCCTGACATCTCCCCACGTCCCAGCTGCCATGAACTTATTTATGTGCCCTAACATACTATACTTCATTCGTATATTTTTCCTAACTCATTCTCATCCTCTAAGACCCCTCCTTTTGACTTGCTGGGAATGCCCTCTTTCCTTCTCTTGTTTGCCTGGAAACTCTTTCTTATCCTCCAAGACCCAGCTGAAATAGCCCCTTCTCTTGAGTTTCCCTGAGACCTCAGGGGACAATTAGTCACTCCTCACTCTTTGCTGCTGCAGCAGTTTGATGTTAACTCTATTAAAACACTTATCACACTGCATTATAACATATTTGTTAAGTTTTAACAGGTCTCTCACCCCCATCATGAGCCCTTCACAGGCTCAAGTTTTATTTATCTTTTTACCTCTAGGCTAGCACAATGCTCAGACTTTGTCAGTGCTCAGTACACTTCTGAATGAGGGATAATTTATTGAGCATTTATTATGTGCCAGGCACTATGGTATGTGTTTCACATGTATTTATTTTTTATTTATTCCTAACAACTGTGCTTTAAGGGTGGGTGGTAATATGTGCATTTTTTGTTTGTTTGTTTTTTGATATGGGAGTCTCACTCACTCTGACACCCAGGCTGGAGTGCAGTGGTGTAATCTTGGCTCACTGCAACCTCTGCCTTCTGAGTTCAAGTGATTCCCCATCTTAGCCTCCTGAGTAAGTGGGATTACAGGTGTGCACCACAACGCCCAGCTAATTTTTGTATTTTCAGTAGAGACGGGGTTTTGTCATGTTGGCCAGGCTGGTCTCAAACTCCTGACTTCAGGTGATCCACCCACCTCATCCTCCCAAAGTGCTGGGATTACAGGCATGAGCCACTGCGCCTGGCCAATATGTGCATTTTATAGATGAGGAAACAGGCTTCTGGGGCTTAAACAATTTGCCCAGTCACCCAGCTAGTGAGTGGAAGAACTGGAATCTAAAACCAGACCTGTCTGATTTCAACACCTGTACTTTCAACTGCTCTACTCTATTGAGGATAGTGGTGATTCAGATTTGGTTTGTCCTCTTTTTACAGCACTGATCAGGAGGAGGAAGAGGCGTGTATGGCGAGGCTTTGTGTCCGTTGCGCTGAGTGCCTGGTAAGTGCATGCCATTCCTTCTGCTTACTGTTGATGTCCCACTTTCCTGCTTACCTAAGAGGATCCATCCTATGCCCTCAGAGGCAGCAGAGGATATGCAGGTAGGTCCAAGCAAGATATGAACCAGCATCTTTCCCCAAAGCATTTTGGACTCAGGGGACCCCTACCAATTCTAACCAAGATTTTGTTTCCTGTCTCGTGGTCGTAGAGCAGTGGTCTTAGGTTAGGGAAGGGGGCCACGTAGAGTAGTTTCTGCTGACTGACAGAAAATCCCAAAACAGGAGTGTCCTATGCCACTGAATTCATACTAGGAGACTTCGACTGGCTGGACTCGACCCTGAATTTAACTTTTCTACTGAGCTGTAGTATTTTTCAGGGAGTTAGGTTGATATAACCTTTTAGGTAACTTGATGTCTTTTATCAATAAGAAATACCACCCTGGAAGGCCCAAGTTTTGATTTAAATGTCAAAAGGCTGTCATCCCTCCTGCTTTGAGTACTCACTGTGACTAATGACAGAATCAGAGAGTCCAATTAGGAGGCTGGGGTGGGTGTCCTAGGATCCCAGCAGGAGGGAAGACTCTCTGATGTGGTGCAGTTGGAAACAGGTCACAAAGAACTTCTGATCTCATATGATACATACCTGTCATTGCCTCCTGTTTACTTATTGCCAAGCTCACACTTGGCTCGATGACTAATTGCAGTGTTTTTTGTTTTTCTTTGTCTCATGCACTTGAGTATCATAGGGAAGATGAGAGAAAGGTTGGTAATGCCAGTGCAGAGGACCTAATACCAACCTTTGGAGGCTCGGATATTTTTAAGAACGCAAAATAAGTTAATGTTCATACGGTTATTATCCACATTTCAGATATTAATCCATTCAACAGTGATTTGTTGAGCATCTGTCACGTGCCATATGTACTGTTCTAGGTGCTTAGGAACCAGCAGTGAACAAAACTGAGAAAAATTCCTGCCCTCCGAGAACTGAATGTTCTTTGCCTGGAAAACTTTCTCATCCTCTAAGACTCTGTTGAATTGGGGTACAAATACTCACAAAGTTTTTAAAAATAAGTAAAATATATAGTATATGAGATGGTACTTAATGATATGGAGAAAAAAGCAGAAAAGGGGGATGGGATGGCTGGATGGGGGTGTGACATTTAATAGGTTAGGGACAACCTCAGTGAGAAGATACTCAAGCAAACACCTAAGAGAAGCAAGCCATATGGCTATTGTGGAGGAGCGTTTCAGGCAGAAGAAGTGACTGGTGCAAAGGCTCTGAGGAGGGGCCATGATTGGCATATTCTTGGAGTAGCAAGGGGGCAGTATGGCAGAAATGAAGACAGCAAGGCAAAGAATACTATTTGTTGACATCAGAGAAGTAACGCAGCAGCTAGATCTTACAGAACCTTATAGATGATTTTAATGACCTGGACTTCTACTCAATGAAATGGAATCCATTGGAGGGTTTGGGAAGAGAAGCAGTATCAACTTATGTCTGTTTAAAAAGTATTACTCTGGCTTTTGTGTTGAGAATGGGTGGTAACGAGCAATGACAGAATCAGAGAGTCCAAGTAGGAGGCATTTGCATTAATCCAGGTAGCTGAAGATGCTGGTAGTTTGGACCAGGGTGGTGGTGGTGGAGGTGGTGAGGAGTGGTTGTATTCTGATTATAGTTTGAAGGTAAAGCCAGAAGGATTTACTGCTTCTGCATTTATATATGAAAAAATGAGAGGACTCAAGGGTAGTTCCAAGATTCTTGACTTGGGCAACTGGTAGAATAGAGTTACCATTTGCTAATATGTGGAAGTCTGTGGGTGAATCAAACTTTAGGAGGAAGAACAGAAGTTGGGTTTGGACATATTAAGTTTGAAATACTTATTAAACTTCCAAGTGGAGATGTGGAGTAGGCAGTTGTGGGTGTGGAGTTGAGAAGAGAGGTCTAGACTGGAGATAGAGATTTAGGAGCCATTAGCAGATAGAGACTGATAACAGACATTTCCTCCAGGGAAATGAATGTAGATAGGGAAGGGGTCAGAGGACAGAACCTGGGCCCTCCAAGATTTCTAGGATGGGGAGATGAAGAGGAATTATTAGTAAAGAGGCTAAGAAAGAGCGGCTAGTGAGATAGGAAGAAAACCAGGAGATTTTGGTATCCTGGGAGTCAAGTGGAGAATTATTTCTAGGAAAAGAGAGTGATCAACTGTGTCATTTGCTGTGGAGTCAGGTGAAGTAAAATGAGAGCTGATAATTGATTATTGGATGATTTGGGAATATGGAGGTCATTGGTGACCTTGGCAAAAGGATCTTCAGTGGAATAGTGGGAATGAAAACTTGTCTGGGGTGGGGTCAAGAAAGATTGCAGAAAGATGCATTGGAGGCAGTGGGCATAAACAACTCTTTCAAGGACTTGTGCTGTGAAGGGATGCAGAGAGACAGGCAATACGTGGAGGGCAATGTCACTGGTGGCTTTTCTTTTTAAGATGGGAGAAAATGAACACATTTGTATGCAGATGGGAATTATGTAGTAGAGAAGGAAAAAATTGATGCTGCAAGACAGAGAGGAGAGGATTGCTGGTGTAATGCCAGGATCTAGTGCATAAGTGGAGTGGAGATGTTGACCTTAGATAAAGTAAGACAGGGAGAGTGTATAAGAACAATAGGGAAGGCCAAATAGATGGATCCAGATGTAGATGAGTGGCCACATGTGATGGAGCTTGTGGAAATTCCCTACTAATTGCTTCTCTAGTCCCAATCATGGGAGAAAGCAAGGCCGTCAGCTGAGAATGATGGGAAGAGGAGGTGTTGGAAGTTTGGGGAAAGAGGGAAGGGTATGAAATAGTCATCAAGGAGAATAAATAGACTAGAGAAGTGTGGTATGCCAGTTAGTGCTAATGGCCCACTTGAAGTTAGAAGTAATGAATATGAGTATGAATAATAATAATGGTAACAGGAGCTAATCTTGAATGAGTGCTTATGAAGTGCCAGGCAGTGCTAAGTAATTTACATATATTGCCTCATTCAATTCTCATAACAGTTCTATGAGGTGTATTTTTATTATCCCCATTTTACAGATGAGGAAACTGAGGCTTAGAGAAGTTAATAACTTTATCCAAGGTCACACAGCCACAAGAGGTGGAACTCAGTGGTAGACTGACACTTAGTCTAAATTCCTAACCACAATTTTGCACATTTCTGCAAGAGAGTGAGGAGAGGATCGCTGGGGTGATTCCACTGACACTTGTTTTGCTAAGAAAGGGTGCGGTAGGCGGGCATCTTTTCTTGTGTGTTGAGGTTCTAAAAAATATTCACCAAGGGAAAGGAAACCACTAGGGCTTCAAAGCAGAAATTAGCCCAATAGACACCAATTATATTGAGGTCCTGTGAAGCTCCGTGGGAATTTAGGTGTATTGAGTCAGTGGCATTTCACTGTGGCTGTCTCCCCAAGCCAGGTTCCATTTGGAGGATCCTAACATGTGGTCTTTGCCTAAATTCCAACTCTGGAATTGTGTTTCACACCTGCTGTTTTGCTCCCTCCAGGATTCAGACTATGAAGAGACATATTGATGAAAGTCTGTATGACACAAGAAGAGTCACCTAAAGACAGGAAACATCCCATTCCACTGGCAGCTAAAGCCTGTCAGAGAAAGTGGAGCTGGCCTGGACCATAGCGATGGACAATCCTGGAGATCATCAGTAAAGACTTTAGGAACCACTTATTTATTGAATAAATGTTCTTGTTGTATTTATAAACTGTTCAGGAACTCTCATAAGAGACTCATGACTTCCCCTTTCAATGAATTATGCTGTAATTGAATGAAGAAATTCTTTTCCTGAGCAAAAAGATACTTTTTGATTCATCTTTGCTCTGGAATGTATTACATGTTTTCTTCCAACTGTTTGAAGGAGAATTTTGAATGTTTGCCACACCGCTGATACCCAAATAATTTTTTAAATGAAGTGGAGCTTGTGGCTTCCTGATGTGTCACCAGACAAAATATTCGCTTGGGATATGTATTCTTTGTTTTTTGCTCCATGTACACTTTCAGCTGTGAGTTAGTATAGGGCGTATACTTACCGGTTTAATGACCTCAACCTCAGTTGTGTTTGGATAACTTAGGGTGTATACCCTTAGTTTCCTTAGAGTTGGTAGGATCAAGTCATTGGTTTGCTTTGACTGGGTTTTTAAAGTATTAAGTACAGTGTCATCAATTTACAGTTAAGGAAAGGAATCGTGAAGTAGAAAAATTATTTTCTTTAGTCTTGCTGGTACAATTTGGGCTAAGGAGTCTTTGTTATTTTCTGTCTTGCTTTTTTTTTTTTTTTTTTTTTTTTGAGGCAGAGTCTCACTCTGTCGCCAGGCTGGAGTGCAGTGGTGTGATCTTGGCTCACTGCAACCTCTGCCTCCTGGGTTCAAGCGATTCTTGTGCCTCAGCCTCTCGAGTAGCTGGGATTACAGGCATGCGCCACCACACCCAGCTAATTTTTGTGTTTTTAGTAGAGACGGGGTTTCACCATTTTGGCCAGGATGGTCTCAATCCCCTGACCTCGTGATCCACCTGCCTCGGCCTCCCAAAGTGTTGGGATTACAGGCATGAGCCACTGTGCTTGGCCTGTTATTTTATTTTCTTATAACTACAACTTTTCTTCTTGAATTTTCAGGTCAGAGGCAAGAAAAACTCTTTACAGGTTTTTAGTGGGGGGCTTATGGAGTATTTCAGGAGTTCTTTGCAAATTAAATCATCTTTTCACTTGTATTGTTTTTCAAAACTTTGTTGATTTCTAAAATGTGCCAACTGTGAGTAAACTATGGTATTTGCAAGTGGTTTTTACATAATATTTGAGATGAGGAAGTGAGATTGTGCATGACATACTTCTCCTTTGTATTCTCTCAGTGCCTTACAGCAGGTTACTCCATTCTGCTATGACAACTTGTTTCAAATGTTAATTTACATAGGATTTTTTATAAGCCATTAAGGCATATGTATAGTATATCAGTAAAGATGGATGGTGCATATATAAATAGTCTTCTGTAATAGTGATTGGATTTACTTCTCAATTATGAGAGACAAAAATTATCCCCTCACCTGTCTCTATTCTTTCAACAGGTTGATCCCTTTTCATGATTTTTCATTAGGTGGTTCAGGAAGTTTCCATATTACAGCGCTTCAGACTGTATATGTTAGTTTAAAAATCACTTTTCTCTCTCTCAACTTCTTTCTTTTTTTTTTGAAGACTTAATTTAAAAAATTTGGGTTGTTAGATCCGTATCATAGATTTGGCCTAGCCTCTTCTGTTAACCTAGTCCACAGATGAGCGAATCTGGTTAGTTGAAGGACATTGTGATTTGACTCTGGTCACGCGAGGAAGTAGAAGGGCAAAGACAGGACCGGCAGTTTACATTTCCAGTGGTTAAACCTCACGGTACTTTGGGACTGCTTGTTAACTTTTGTGGTTGTCTGAGGCCAATCTAACGTGACCATTTCTGACACCTCAACAGAGAGAGGAAAGCAACTTGAGCAATGAGAGTAAATAACTTGGGCTCTCAGAGATTTGAAGATAGAGATCTCATTGTGAGGGGGACTATTTTGCAGGTCCTCATTTCTCCAAGAAAGAGATGGTGTTACAGGAACCCACTGAAAGCCATATCCCATTAAATGAGGAACTAATTTTGGCTGGGCCTTCTTGTAATGTCCTCGCAGGTGTGTTGTGAAGATTAATGCAGGGTAGTATGTTTGTAGATTGACACCTAGTCTAAACTTGAGGTAATTGGTGCTCTGTGAATACTCAGTCGTGTTCTTTTATAGCCTTAATCATGATTTGAACTAGTCCCTTGCTTTTTAAATGACTGAATGAAGTCCTTCGTGGTAAGGGAGTACGTTGATAACTTAGTTTACTATATGGGTTTGTGGTCGCATCCCAGTCATCAGCTGCTATCATTTTCCTTCTTCATCCCTTATACTGAGATTTGGGTTACAGCTTTTTATTCTTCGAAGGATCACAAAGCAGTGTACAGACACCTGCCTTCTTTAAGGATGAAAGGAAGATAAAGTGGTCTTTTTTTGTTTACTTATTTGTTTCACCTCTTGTTTGAGTAACTTCTAAGGTGCTATTCTCTCTCTCTTTTTGCTACCTCATGAGCTCTTGTCACAGCCATGGAAACCAGCCTCGTTTAGAAAGGGAACTTAGTTCAGAAGGGGTTAAAAGCCTTCCAGAATTTTTCTTTAGCTGCTGAAGTTTTTACATGTGGTTACATGACTTTAAGTTTTATGCATTACGCTCTTAATTCTATTACAAAATGTGGACTCACCAATTGCTTTGTGTTTTCCATGTGACCTGTTACTTCAGGCTACTTGGGGAACATCTTAGTCCTCTGTAGCTCCTGAACCCAGCACTGGTGCTTCAAGAGAGAAGGTAGCACGTCTTTGTTCAAAACAAAACAAAACGACACTTCTGGAGGCCACATCCTGAATATGAATGTTCTACTAAGTCACTCAGTTATGGTTCTAAAGGGAAACTGTAAGAAGACCCACAAGGAGTGGACCAAGACTATTATTTAATTGCACAACTTGAAACTTTGCTGCCAGAAGAGGCAGCTCCATTCCTTTGACTCCAGTGTTGGGCTGTTAACTGCTGCACCTCATTGCCTTTTTTTGTTTTTGTTTTTGTTTTGTAGGAGGGTAGGCACTGTTGGGCCATATGCACAAATATTGTAACTCTTGGTATCTTTACTGCATCATAGTCAATAAACTTCTTTGTACCCTTTGGCTACCTTTTGGTGTGTGCATATCTACATAAAAGGTGGGAATTGTCATGTGAAAAAGATGGGGGTTTGTGGTATTAAAAGCTGAATTAAATTTAAAAGAGTTTAATTGAGCACAGAATGATTCATGAATCAGGCAGTCTCCTGAGCCAGAGTGGACTCAGAGACTCCAGCGCAGCCACGTGGTGGAAGATTTATGGACAGCAAAAGGAAAGTCATGTACAGGAAACAGAAGTGAGGTACAGAAATAGCCGGATTGGTTACAGCTCGGTGTTTGCCTTATTTGAATAGTTTGAATCATTGGCCATCTTCGATTGGCCAAACTCAGTGACTGGCACAAGAGTAGACTAGAGTCCGTATACTATTCCATTTACGTTATAGTTCATGATGTACAGAGAAACCTTTAGGCCAAACTTAAAATATGTAAGGAGGCAGCTTTAGGCTAAACTTGATTTAACAGTGGTTTTCAGCATCGTGCAACCAGTCATGTCGGAGCTGTACCCCCGCAAGAACCTGCAGAGGTTCCGTGGTGTGCTGGAACCAGCTTACATAGCAAGAGCTGATTACAGGCTGAGTACCCCTAATCTGAAAATACAAAAGAGTGGTTGCTATTTCAACTCCAAAATCTGTAACTTTGAGTGCCAACATGATGCTCCAAAGAAATGCTTATTGGAGCATTTTGGATTTTCAGACTAGGGACGTTCAACTTGTATGTATTCGGCAAATATTCTAAAATCTGAAAAAAATATGAAATCTGAAACATTTCTGGTCCCAAGCATATTGGATAAGGGATACTCAACCTGTATTAAGTTTTTTAGGAATTTTGCAAGCCAGTTGTTAAACTGTTGGTAGCTTGAAATAGGTTATGATGGGAATATTTATGCTGTGGAGATTGCTGGCTCTCTAGCACATCACTTCTCAAGGACCATGCAGCGTAGTGCTTGGGAGCAAACGTTCAACAGCTTTTCAGATGATACAGGACAAGTTCCATGAGTCTGCCCATGCCTAGGTCAAGCCAATCTAGCCGAGGTTGAAGGTGCGTACATTGAGAACACCTATTTTGAAGTGGTGACTAAGACTGAGAGGTATCTTGAAGTGAAGAAACCTTGAGTTCTAATCTAGGATGTCCAAGTCACCCAAGAGGTTCTCTATGGGAATCAATGGCTGCCTGTATTCTGGAAATGCTGATATCACATGGCCAGAGGAAACTTTCATGTCTACATGGTGAGTTGGAGGACTGGGCAGGCGTATCTTTGGAAGCAGGGATTGGGTGATTGCCTGGCGAGGTTGCACCTCTGTTTTGAGAGGAAAAATAAAAGAGGTTGCTGTATCTTTAACACAGAAGGTTTTGTGTTAATATTACGTTTATTGTATTTTGTTTGCATGAAATGGATTTCTTTCTCAGCACCTATTTGCCTGGTGCCATTCAAGCTCCTACCCTCAGAGGGCTTGTCATCTAAAAGGGGAGATGGCACCTGAAGAGGTCTGAGTGTGAGGTTCACCTCAGTAGGTTGAATTTGTCACCTCTTTTTAGAATGAAAGTATACATAACAATTGGGTAATGGGCCAGATGACTGAAATGAGAACCTTGATTTAGAGGTTCCTGTTTGCATCTCTGCAACCACTTCAGAAGGCACGTGTTTGGTTTGCTCTGAGCCTAACCTAGAGTGCTCGCAGCAGTCTTTCAGTTGAGCTTGGGGACTGCAGCTGTGGGGAGATTTCAGTGCATTGCCTCCCCTGGGTGCTCTTCATCTTGGGTAAGCAGTTGCTTTGAATTTCTTAAGCCATTTTTTGAACTTTTCTCACACAGAAGTGTGCCAGTCCTGAAGGCTGGTTGAATTGGTAGTCTCTCAGGATTGTGAAGCTGCGATTGCAGAACTCTTGATCTCTGCAGGGGGATGTCATAAAGTAGTCTAATGGGTGCTGTTTCAGTTACTGTCGTGTAGAGTAACTTAGGTGAATCTCCTCAGCAAAAAGAGGAGCAAAGTTTCATCATAATAAGAGTACGTGACAATGATTATGACAAGGCTTCAGCTTTTAAGTCACCCGTGGGTTTAGGTGGAGCTGTGACTGGCTGTTCTTGAGCTCACAGCAGAGCTCTTTCTTCACTGTTTTTCTTTTTAGAAGACAGTTTTTAATTTTATTTTTAAACAAATTTTATTGTGTGTATTTAAGGTATACAACATGATGTTGTGGGATGCATGTAGATAGTAAAAAGTTTACTATGGTGAAGCAGATTAATATATCCATCATTTTACATAGTTATACCACTGTTTTTCTTCTCCCCATTATAGACAAACCAATATTTAACCTTTAGAAGCCCGAGACTTAAATCTCCCAAGAAAGCTAGGCTACTGTCCATGCTTGTTACACCCTCAGCACAGCCCTGACCTTGGGAAAGGCTGATGCAGGATGGTTTAGGTATAACCTACTCTGGAGAAGAGAGCAGGAGTAAGGACCTCCAGGGTCCCATTCGCGTAGAGCATTAACCGATGTGACCTAGACTGTGTTACAGAAGCCACGTGACCTACCAGTCTGTATTCAATGGCTTAACAATGGAAAATGAGGGCATATTTTAAGACGCATGGCTTAGAGTGGTTATATGGACTTGTAGACCTAAAAACATCTGAGAGCCTAGAAGTGCACAGCAGTGTGCAGATAGATTGAGAGGACTTGGCTCTGCAGGTGGACAACACTCTGTGAGTAAAAGAAGGCTGTGCAGTTGTCCGTTTGCTCAGTGGTTAGTTGTCCTTACTAGGGACAAACACTGAGAGACAGCAGCTCTCCCTTATTTTGTCTCATGATATTGTAATTTGGGGGGTAACTTTCACATCTTGTATGGTAGTCTCATTGTAGCATGTCTCTTTTCTGAAGATTTCTTTTCTGTAATATAAAGGGGTATGGATTTTTTGGAGGGAGGGGGTGCCACTTGTTCTCATTACCCAACAGGATATGGAGGAGAGTTGCTCAGAGAAGATTAGTATAGAGTCACTACAAGTCATTTAGGTAGCCAAAATGATAACTCCAAAATTTCTAAAAGGCAAAAATCTTTACTTGCTGATAGAGGGGAGAGTCAACTTTCCAAGCAGGTCGCAATAAAGACAGCATGATGCCAACCGAATCTATTTCCTCTCTCCTCCTTTTTCTGTTGTTTATTAAAAGGTAAACAAAAATCTCATTATTTTAAAATATTATGCAAAAATCTTGTTTATGAGAGAAAGCAAAATTTCACCTTTGCATTAGTATATTATTAATGTTAGATCCAATTCTTAATAAAACCTTATAAACAAATCTATACAATCATAGTTTGACCATAAGGTAAAACGTCCACAAACCTCTCATAATTCTTTACAATTTTCTGTTAAACAAATAAATTCTCTAGAAAACCATTATTCAGACACATGGGCCCGGATTCTGGCCCTACATCAGTGTGCTTTTATTTCAGTGTTCGACCTATGGAAAAACTAAGTAATCCCCTTTAAATCTTAGCCAACCTGCTTATACCCACAGAACTTTTCATGAGATTAACCCTTCACAAACCCTTTTCAACTTGCTTAAACCATCAGTTTTGTCACATTACTCTTTTTTTTTTTTTTTTTTTTTGAGACAGAGTCTCACTCTGTCACCTAGGCTGGCATGCAGTGGCACAATCTCGACTCTCTGCAACCTCCGCCTCCCGAGTTCAAGTGATTCTCCTGCCTCAGCCTCCCAAGTAGCTGGGATTACAGGCGCTCACCACCACACCTGATTAATTTTTGTATTTTTAGTAGAGACGGGGTTTTGCCATGTTGGCCAGGCTGGTCTGGAACTCCTAACCTCAAGTGATCTCCCCACCTCAGCCTCCCAAAGTTCTGGGATGACAGGCGTGAGCCACCATGCCCAGCTGTCCCATTACTCTTTTAGGTGAGGCCAATAGTTAAAACCCTCTGAGCTAGACAAAATTACGTTCTCTTTAACAGAAACCATATTCACACGCCTTCTTATAACCTCCCACCAAAACACATTCTTTACTTACACTGTCTTTATTTTTTATGTTATTTACACTGTCTTTATGTTTAAAAATCATTAGAGTCACGTGACCTAAAAGAGATTAAAGTTTCAATTTTTTCTGATAAAATGTTTGATTTTAGTTTCTTTAAGCCAATTAATTAGAGCTCTTTTATATAAATACTATACATACAACACATATAAATACACAGACAGACAGAAATGGAAAATCAAGACAAAATTCCATTGACTGAGAAGTTCTTAGAGGGAAAGCAGGGGCTTTTTGTTTGTTTAGATGGAGTCTCGCTCTGTCGCCAGGTTGGAATGCAGTGGTGCGATCACAACTCGCTGCAGCCTCAGCCTCCTGGGCTCAAGTGATCCTCCCACTTCAGCCTCCTGAGTAGCTAGGACTACAGGTGCCTGCCACTACATCCAGCTAATTTTTGTATTTTTTTTTTGTTCAGATGGTGTTTCACCAAGTTGCTCAGGCTGGTCTCAAACTCCTGGGCTCAAGCGATCTGTCCACCTTGGCCTCTCAAAGTGCTAGGATTATAGGCATAAGCCACTGTGCCTGGCCAGCAGGGGCTTTTAAAACAATATCTGTATACATACAGCCCAAATATCGTCTTTAATTAAGTTGATTTCTGACTATGGAGTTCTCAAAATAAAAATCCTATAAAAATCTTTTATTACCAGATTTTAGCCAGGACAAATGGCCAATATTTCTGGCTTTTGAATCTTTACCTAAAGGTAACCTCCTATGTGAAATTAATAAACCTTAAGTAAGGGGATAACTTAAACAGGGACACACAAGGTGTCTCCAAAGAGATGGTAAGCAATTTACAAGATCTAGAATTGCCCCAAAGGTAACTCAGAGAAAAGAAAATTTCAAGACAGGAAATTAGGAGCTCTCCATGGAGGGGAAAAGAATCAATAAATGATTAAACCACAAAAGACTCACTTTTGGAGCCAGGAATTGAACCCAGGGCACCACTGTGAGAGGGCAAAGCTTTAGCAGTTGAGCTACAGCAGGGGTCCCCAACCCCTGGGCAGTAGACTGGCACTGGTCCATGGCCTGTTGGGAACCGAACCGCTCAGCAGGAGGTAAGTCGGGGGCAGACAAGCAAGCATTACTGCCTGAGCTCTGCCTCCTTTCAGATCAGCGAGGGTATTAGATTCTCACGGGAGCATGAACCCTATGGTGAACTGCACATGCAAGGGATCTAGGTTTCATGCTTCTTAGGAGAATCTAATTCCTGGTGATCTGAGGTGGAACAGTTTCATCCCCAAATCATCACCCACCCTCCCTGGTCTGTGGAAAAATTGTCTTCCATGAAAAAATTGTTTTCCATGGGGAAAAATTGTCCCCGGTGCCAAAAAGATTGGGGACCAGTGAACTATAGTGCAAGATAACTGCTGTTGTTTTTTTCCGGGAGGAGTTTAGAGCATTTCAAGCTTGCAAAGGATTTTAACTGCTCAAGAGAACTTTCTAGGACTAGCCATGTAATTATTACGCATGCTTCTTTTAATTTTGCCTTTTCCTTTTAATGGTGTACTCAGTTCCAATGGTGACTGAATCTAAAAGCCTGTTAAACTCCAGATAGTGATTTTCCAGATTTTTACCATATAAGCAAAAGGTATTTCCAGAAAGGGGTAGAGGAGGCATCTCTATGACAGGGAGCTCTTGAACTCAAGGGGAAATTGATAATTTTACTTGCCACCTCCAGAGTCACCCTTGGCTTTGTTTTGCTGTGATTTGGAATTCAGCGGGGGCAGAGAGCCCACTTCATTTTAAGGCCATCAGGGGCTAGAATTCTGTCCTCAGGGTCTTTCAGCCCTCAGGACAGTCCCATTTTCAGCAGCTGAGCTTGTGGCAGAGGGTACAAGCTGTGCGGGGCTTTTTCCCATGTATCCCATTGGGGCAGTTTGCCTTCCAGTGGCCTGGCCATCTGCACTGAGGGCACTTACCTGGAGGAGTGTCCTTAGGGCAACCTGGAGGGAGCTGAGGGCTTCTAAATCAGCCAACAATTGAGCCTGCCTTTCTTCCCTGCATTTTTCTTTCTCCTTAGCCCTGGCCTCCTTATTCTGCTCTTGGTTATAAAAGATCGAGGAGGCCAAGTTGAGGATTCTTTGCATAGGGACCACGCTGTATTACACAAGAAAAGTAGATGTTTCTTTTTGAGAGTCTGAGGGTTAAATTTGTCTCAATGTTTTAGGATGCAATGCAGAGGTGAGTCTGAAGGAACAGATGGGATTTGTCCCATGGTGGGACTGGAAAATGATGAGCCAACCTCTGGGGGCTAATGTCCGCTGGGGACACAAACTGCTTTCTCTTGAGGCTTCTCGCTGAGGAAAAGCGTTCCACTCTCATCCACTGATGGACTTGGGTGCACTTTCTAAAGGGCATCCCAGCTATCAGAAAGACTTCTCTGCACTGGGGCCTTGCACCGGATAATCGGTTCAGGTATGAGGAGAGGGGAGGTGAATGGGGAGACTCACTGCTCTGAGGTTGCTTGAGCTCACCTAGTTTGGGAACATCCAGAGCAGGAGGTTTGCCTGTCTTCATGGGGAGAATTTAGAGTGAGAAAGAGGTGGGTCTGAGTTCCCCAAACCATGTGTGCCAATTGTGACACATAGAGGGACTTTTGACCAGAAAAGGTAGGAGAGGGTTTTCCTCTCTCCCGGGCAAGGCAGACAAAACTCTTCAGCCCCTGGCCTTCAGGCCACACCAGGAAGTGGCCCTGGTCAGTTGTCATAAGTCACCAGAGGGATACTAGAGTTTGTTTCAGTTGAAAACTGAAAAGGAAAGCAAACTCTGATTGGGTGGTGACTTCTCACCAGGACCTTCTGGTCCACAGGGAGCAGCCCTGGCCAGGACCTTCAGCTGTCTCCAAACTTGGATGCTGTTCACTGAGATAGTGGAGTTGGAGAGGCAAGGGACAGAGTAGGGGAGAGGTCCCCAAGCAATCCCCTTTTGGATCACCAAAATGTTGCGGGTAGTGACTAGCTAGGGCCGATGTCACCGGCAGCAAATGTATTTACCAAGACAGTCATAGGAAAGAAAGGCAGATTTATTAGAGAAGGTATGAAAACATGTTGCAAGGTTGTAATGGGCAGCACAGCAGAGAAGGCACTGTCTGCAAAGAGGCAGGGGCTGAAGGGAAGTTTTATAGGGTGGTGCTGGAGGGGGCTACCTGTGAAAGAAGTCATTGTGCCCATAGAAGTCATTGTGCCCTCAGGTTGTTTGATTAGCTATGTCTCAGAACAGTTGTTCATTGTTCTTCCTCACCTGGGTCCTCCCCAGCTGGGACCCCTCCTCATTGTTGCTTACTTAACAGGACTACACACATACTGTTCTCCATAGTGGCTGTACTAGTTTGCATTCCTACCAATAATGTATAAGAGTCCCCTTTTCTCTGCATCCTCACCAGCATTTGTTGTTTTTTTGTCTTTTTGATAATAACCACCCTAACTGGTATGAGATGATAACTCATTGTGGGTTTGATTTGCATTTCCATGATTACTGATATTGAACATTTTTTTCCATATATGTGTTGGCCATTTGTATGTCTTCTCTTGAGAAATGTCTGTTCAGACCATTTGCCCATTTTTAACCCCCCATACACTATTAGTAATAGAAAAGAAGATCCTGATAGTTATAACCCCCTAGAAGGACAGAAGGTATTTGCCAGAATTTATACTGTGAAAGAACCATGAGCTCAGGTCAAAATATTTGGCCAACAGATGAGATAACTTACTATGGAGAATTATCTCCAAACATCTGCTGAGGAGATAAATCAGTATCTGGAAAGAGAAGGAAGCAGTGTAGAAGTTGTGAATGTCAATGGTGTCTATTATCAAGGTGCTTAAGGTGCTTCTGAATGCTTTTGCTGGATTTTTTTTAAAACTGAAATTCATTTTATTCATCTACATATGCAACCAGAATTTTGTTATTCAGCTAAATATGTATATATAAAATTCAGAATTTGTGGGTGTTGGTGAATATATAGATAGGAATTTGCAAATATCTGTCAACTCACTAGGAAATTCAAACTTGAATAGTGTTCTTGGTAAATGTCCAAGGTGTTATGAACTCATTTGACAAGTAGTTACTGAGGATGTCCCCGTACCTCACACCATGCTGGCACTGGAAGTGTGGTGGCTCATGGGCATGGCTCTTGGCTTCATGGAGCTTATAGTCTTGGGGGTGGAGGTAGAGAGCAGGGTCTTAATTAAATGAGCACACAAATAAATAGATAATTAGACATAGTGGCCCATGCCCTAAAGGAAAGGTAGAGGTACTATTAAGACATGTGGCTGCCGGGCATAGCAGCTCACGCCTGTAGTCCCAGCCCTTTGGTAGGCTGAAGTGGGTGGATCACCTGAGGTGGGGAGTTTGAGACCAGCCTGGCCAACATGGTGAAACCCTGTCTCTACTAAAAGTACAAAATTAGCCAGGCATGGTGGCTCATGCCTGTAATCCCAGCTACTCAGGAGGCCGAGGCAGGAGAATCACTTGAACCCGAGAGGCGGAGGTTGCGGTGAGCTGAGATCGTGCCATTGCACTCCAGCCTGGGCAACAAGACTGAAACTCCATCTCAAAATAAAAAAAAAGACATGTGGCTTGGGGACCTGTCCTGGGATGAGTGGTTGAAGAGAGGTTTCCCGAGGAAATGATATTTAACTTGAGATGTGAGCGAGGAGCAGGTGTTAACTGGGTGAAGGCCTGAGCAAGGTGGATTGGTAGACCATTCAGTCAGGAGGAACAGATTAATCTTGTTTAGACAAATAAACTTCAGAAAAGCTTTGCTCTAAAATATTGATTACTTTCTCAAATGTGGAGGAAGAGCATAGTGTGGCAAAGACACAGGCTCGGATCCAGGATGGCTGGGTTTGAATCCTCGCTCTGCCACTTGCTCTGTGTTCTTAGGCAAGTCACATTGTCATTCTCTGCCTCATTTCCTCATCTGTAAAACCTCATGGGGTTGTTGTGAGGATTAAATGAGTTACTGTGTAAAGCACCCAGGGCCTGGCATTAACCTTCTCTGCTTTATTACACATCAACTACTGATTTCTAGTGTGCTGCTATATTAAGAAAAAGGTCTGATCTTTTAATATTGAAAACAAGGCCCGGTGATTTTCCCAAAGATCAAAGAGTTGGTTAAAGGAAGATCTGAGCCCAGAAGAGCATTTAAAAAAAACTTTTAGTAATTTTTCCGCTAAAATCATTGCTTCTGTCTTCACGGAGTTCTAGAGGTGCATCCGAGTATGTAGGACTGACAATGAGCGTTTTCCATTCATGATACTCATGTTTCTTAGCATTTGTTTGAAGATGGTTTGGATGTGGCTCTGAGTTACTCGGCTTTAGTGCCAAGATTCAGAATCTTTTTAGAGTCGCTGGCTTCCTCTTAGAATAGAGTGGAGCGGGGACTGCTGCAAGATGCCTTTAAGTTGATTTCAACTTAATGGTCACATTGTCAGCTATGAGCATTTATCCAGTATATGCCAGGCATTTTGCCGGTGCTGCCCCACGGTAACAGGACACACATCTAAATAAGGCACGTATGGTGCTGCCTTTTAGAGTCTGCAGACTTGAGTTGGTGGCAGACATATAAATTAGTCATTACTCCTCCATGCGGTTGGTGAGCTGCAGGGGGAATGTCCCACTGCTAAGTGCTGTTTTCTGGGCAGAGGAGGGAGCACAACCAACTCCCTGGGGAAGGCAACAGATGTCCCAGATGTGATGAACTTATGTTAGGACACACCATAAAGGAAGCCCCTTATGACCTTCATCCATGTATGTATGGGGCAAGGTGGGTGGCACGGAGCAGGAATGGGGTTTTGCTTATGTTGAGAGAGGTCTGTGTTTTCACTAGAGGTTCTTTTGTTTAGGGGAATCTATGTGACTCCTGATATATCTGGCTCAGTGTAATTATTATCCCCATTGTTACAACAAGGTTCAAAAATGGAAACTTAAGTTTCCTGTTCATTCTGATTCATCATTTGCCATTCTTAGAAAGGTAGAAGCTCAGAACCTGAAATCTCCCCTAAAGCTACAAACTCTGTTTCTGACTCTTATCTATATAAAGAATCTTCCATGGTAATGCTTCCTATTTTCAAAGCACTGTTATCTACGTTATACTATTAGATCCTTTCATTATCAATCCCTTTTAAAGGCAAGGAAACAGGTTCAGCAAGATCAGCTGACTTCTCTGTGTAAGTGGGACCTGAGGTAGGAACCTCCTTGAATAGCTTGACTCTGATTTTCCAGGTAGAGGATTTTGTTGATTGGAGAATACGATTAAGGAATGTCTTAAGTAATCAATTTTTTTTTTTTTTTTTGAGACAGAGTCTCGCTCTGTCGCCCAGGCTGGAGTGCAGTGGCGTGATCTCGGCTCACTGCAAGCTCCGCCTACCAGGTTCACGCCATTCTCCTGTCTCAGCCTCCCGTAGCTGGGATTACAGGCGGCCGCCACCATGCCCGGCTAATTTTTTGTATTTTTAGTAGAGATGGGGTTTCACCGTGTTAGCCAGGATGGTCTCGATCTCCTGACCTCGTTATCCGCCCGCCTTGGTCTCCCAAAGTGCTGGGATTACAGGTGTGAGCCACCAGGCCCGGCCAAGTAATCAATGTTTATTAATTAAAATGGCTACCGTATGTGCCAGATGTCCTAGCAGAGCTGGGTGGGGTACCTTGCTGTTAATGCAAAAAACATATCTTTCCTCTTAGCAGATTCTGAGGTGGAATCTCCCCAGCGGCAGGGTGGCCAGGGGTAAAGACCACGGCTGAGGCCAGGAGCAGTAGCAGGTGGGAACTCAAGACTGGTTGCACTGTAACTCCTGAGAGTCAGGGTTCTTCTGTTTAGCTAAGAAAATTTGGGGGTGTTTGGTAGAACAGTGAATCCTTTTCCAGGGGCTGGTAAATGCAATGAAATGAATACTACAGAGATAACATGCATATCAAACACATACTTTTGTCCAATGCACAGCCCAACTCTCATTCTAGCCACACTGCCCTGCCTTTAAAAAGTTAAAAAGAAAAATAAGATAAAAAGTGCACCATGGGCCAGGTGCAGTGGCCCACGCCTGTAATCCCAACACTTTGAGAGGCTGAGGTGGAGGATCACTGGAGCCCAGGAGTTTGAGACCAGCTTGGGCAACACAGTGAGACCTCTCTACTACTTAAAAAAAAAAAATAGCAAGTGTGGTGTAGCATGCCTGTAGTCTCGGCTACTCAGGAGGCTGAGACAGGAAGGTTGCTTGAGCCCTGGAGATCACGTCACTGCACCCCAGCCTGGGCAACAGAGTGAGAATCTGTTCCCTCCCCCAACCTCTTCCTCCCAAAAAAGTAGTAATTCTAATTTAGGTGGAGAGATGGGGAAAAATTTCAGGCTGGATATCCTATAATTTTTTGTTTGTGTGAAACATACAGGTAGTGGAAAATCTAGGGTTGTCATCTCAAGGGCATCCTGCAATCATTTGCTTTTTTTCTCTTGAAAAGCAACTTTCATCTAATCTTCCCTTATGGCCAATCTAAAGCAGCCCCCAAGTGACTCTTCAAACACTACTCTGTTTTGTTTCATCATAGCACTTATTGACATCTGGTATTTTCTTATTCATTCATTCATTTATTTGCTTCTTTTTTCTCCACCTCCCGCTGCATACAAACTGCAAATGAGCTGGGACCTCGTCTGTTTTTCTTGTTCAATGCTGCATACCAGTGTCTCAAACAGAGGCTGCTCCGTATAGTCCTTCACTATTGGTTTTTTAAATTAATGAGCTTCTCTTGACATGATTTTGTGATTTTTGTTCTTTTATCTTAAGATTTGAAAGTTGAGAGCAGCATGTTTTGCCCACTGAAACTCATCCTGCTGCCAGTGTTACTGGGTAAGTAGAAGCTAAGGGACTCCGTGGGGTATTTGATTTCTCCTGAGTTCTGTGCATTATTAAAAGCCAATTTTACATATTTTCGATTCCCTTGGGTTTGTTGAAGATGGAAACCCTAATGTGGAACTTCACAGTTTTGTTGAAGCAGCTGTTGTTGAAGCCAACTAGCTTATGGTTTCTTGGGAAGCTGAAGCTTCCTGTTTCCATTAGAAACAGAATGCATTTGGGTCCTAAAGGGTGTTCTGGGACCCTCTTACGTGACAAAGGGAAAGTTTCTCTGTGGCATTCCTGCACTTTAAATTGTTATCTTTAAAACCACAGTTCGCCTTGAATCAGGAACTGAAATTACCAAAGAGAGACCCAGAGCTGTTTTTCATACTGTGGCCATGTCAGCCTTCTTGTGGTTCCTCAAATGGACTGAGCTCTTTCCCAATTTATGGTGGTTTCCTTTGCCTGGAACCTTCCTCCCAGCACTTCAACCTAGCAAGCCCGCCCGATGCTTCCTTACCCTTCAGGTTTCCCCTTATGCTCCACTTCCTTCTGAGGAGCCTGACCTGGCCATCTCCTCAGACCAGATTGGTCTCCTGTTTATGCCTCCACCTAAGTGCTGAGCTTCTCGTTGCTCATCTCCACTGGTTTCTAGGTTTTCATCCTTTTCCCCCATGCCTTTTTCTTTATCCCATGGATGTAGTTCTGGAAGGAGAAGAAATTAATCAGGTGCTTTGCTCTCATAGCCTTTTCTTTTTCTCTTTATTATTATTTTTTGAACTTTGGACAGTAATTTAAACCCTGACTCAGCAAAGTATACAACAGGATTGCCTTTGCTCCTATTCCAGGCAATCCAGAGTGTGTACAAACATGCACACAGGCACGCACACCAAAATGGTGTTCATTAGATAATTTTTCTCAAAGAAGCAGGGTTATAATGATCTCAGAAGGTATTTAGACATTTTCCTAGAGGTCTGTGGAGCAGCCTGCAGGTTTTTGCCCTCCGATCCAGAGAGCTACCAGTCCAACCCCTGTATGTGGTGACTTGGTGGCACTGGGGGTTTTGTAGTTTTTTGTGGAGAGGTTTTCCTTTCTTGCAGAAAATCTCATCTTCTTCAGCTGTTTCTCTACCAAGATTGCCCTTCAAACATCAGTTTCTCTTTGCTTTGGTTGCTGTTGTTGCTTCCTAGCAGTCCTTCATTTAATTCTACACACAGTGTTCTTAATATTAAATTCGCTTATTACACTTTCAATCACACATGGAGCTGCTCAATTCTTCCTTACAGGAAAATTCCAAATATTTGTTGGAGCTAATTTTGATTTCTTTCAAAATAATTCCCTCTGAAGGGTTTAGAGTCGATGTTTTCTTTTGTGTCCTCCCTGCTGTGTGAGCCTACTGTTGGGGCAGGAAGTTAACTGTCTTCTCTCAGGGAAACAGCTTGGATGAAAAGACTGGCACATTTTCTGTTCATTCCCATCACTTGGCTCTTCTCTGATATGAACTGGGCAGCATCTAAATGTATCTTTCTTGATTTTGTTGTCTCTTTGCATAGAGCATATCTTGTGAAAACAGAAATATCCATGTAATGGTTTTTTCTTGTAGTGACCGCTCGAAATTGCTTGAGCAACATAGAGATAATGGGCAGGGGTCCCTGTGTGAAGCACCTAGAGGCTGGAAAGCTGATGGCAAAGCTGGAGGGGTGAGGCAGGGAGAGGATAAACACAGTGGAAATGCAGGAGGAAAGCTGTGCTCTGTGGTGGCCTAATTACAAGGACCTGCCCTACAGCCAGAATCAGCCAGCAAATGCTTTTGTAAAGGAACTAAAAGAAAGGGAAAAGAGGAAGTAAACAAAAGGTCCCTTTTCAGAGAGGGAACCAGTGGGAGATTTAAGAGCAAGGAACAACCCATTTCGTCGTTATGGTAAGTGGAGGTGAGTTTCTAAATTGATGATCAGAAAGGAGAGACTTCTGGGGTTTCCCTTATTTCTTTAGAAAGGTTGGGAGGAAGAATTCCAGAAAAGTGTAAGGGGCTGGATAGGAGGAGGGAGCCAGATAGCATTTATTGTAGTATGAAGATTGCAGAATCCTTCTGATGAGCCATATAGGTAACTAGAGGACAGGGATGCCATGCTGCCTTTGAACATGCCTCCGAGGACTTTGTCTATGTTGGATCATCCAGGGAGAGGGGTGTTTAGTACTCCATGATTGGAATTGATTTTTGTTGTTGAGAGTATTTGTCTAAATGATGTGTCCTCTTGCCTTTGACTTCTATAGATTATTCCTTGGGCCTGAATGACTTGAATGTTTCCCCGCCTGAGCTAACAGTCCATGTGGGTGATTCAGCTCTGATGGGATGTGTTTTCCAGAGCACAGAAGACAAATGTATATTCAAGATAGACTGGACTCTGTCACCAGGAGAGCACGCCAAGGTAACGCGGGGGAAACATCACTATGTAATAGAAGCCCCTGACTGCTGGTGTCAGGACAGAGTGGTGTAAGAGTCAGGCATCAGGTGCCACCAGGAGGTGTTGCAAGAGCCGGGGCTTTGGAGATTATCAGAACTGGGCCTCGTCCTAGCTCAGGAATTTGGTTATGTTATCAGCTGGGTAAGTAAGTTACTCAACCTTGCTGATCTTAGCTTCCTGAGCTGTGAAGAGGAAGGCAATTACAATAATGGTAATGCTTACCTTTCAAGTAGTTAAGGGGCTGATGGGAGACACAAACTTGAAATGAGAGGTTCCTTGTTCTTGCACATGAAATTCTTTGAGTTTCCTTCCTTTATCTCTACCCTTTGTTAAGTAGCAGAAGCAGGTGAGAGGGGTAAATTCCGAGGTTCTAGAAAGGAGAGCTCTGACCTAGGCATAAGAACTATACCACAATGATCTTTTTTGGGGTGGGGAGGAGGACAGATTCTTTCAGTGTTTCACTGCTCCATGTATGTGCTGGGGAATCATCATTTTCTCCTTTGTGGCTGCTTAAAGTGTTGGGATTAGCAGATGCAGCATGGTGGGCGAGGTTCTTTCATGGAGCTCTTTGGAGTGAGGAACAGTGTATTAAGCCTCATCAGACAGTCTGTATAGATACTCGTATATCAGGATCATTTGTGAAAAACATCCCAAGTAGTTTGTTACTAACAATAAAGTCCTAATGTTTGCAAACAAAATATTGTTTTTGTAGCTCAGAGCACATTCCCTGTTGTCCCTATAATGCTACTCTCATTCAAATTTTTATTGGCCTTTATTTTTATACGAGGGATAAACCCATAGTGTAAGTAGAAATAAGAATTTCTGCTGGGTGTGGTAACTCATGCCTGTAATCCCAGCACTTTGGGAGGCTGAGGCGGGGTGATCACTTGAGCTCAAGAGTTTGAGACCAGCATGGGCAACATGGCAAAACCCCATCTCTATAAAAAAACAAACACAAAAATTAGCTGGCTGCAGTGGCATGTACCTGTAGTCCCAGCTACTTGGGAGACTGAGGTGGGAGGATCACCTGAGCCTAGGAGGTTAAGGCTGCAGTGAGCTGTGATTGTGCCACTGCACTCCAGCCCGGGTGACAGAAGAAAACAATACAAAACCAAAACCAAAAACAAAAGAATTCCCCAGGGCCCAGCCTGGAACCATTCCCTGTGGATGACTCCTTTTGTGTTACGATACTGCTGCCGGGAGGAGGGTAGAAATGAGAAAAGTGGCAGCCAGCCGGCCATGCCTGGAATTCTTACGCCAACACCACCCACAGCACTAGTGAAAATAGATCATGCATTTGAATGCCATCTAATCCGGGGCTGTGGCAGAAAATAGGGTGAAAATGAGAGATGGTTTTCAAAAGTTGTAAGTTAAAAACCGTAGAGTGATCTTCAGAGTGGGTGCTATATTTTACCTTAAACTGTAAGAAATAAAATGTGGACTGCATTTCTCCATTTGTCTTTGTAGAAAGGGAGTTGCAGAGCTTGTGCAAGTTAGACTGTTGCCTGGCACATTATTTTTATTAACTGGGTACCAAATGCTTTTGGATCATGATCATGATGATAGCTCTGCTGCCCCCACATAACAGAGTCTTTGGGATCCAGGCTCCTCGGTCTGGCACCTCTTTTGATTGTCTCCAACACTGTTTTGCCCTTCAGGACGAATATGTGCTATACTATTACTCCAATCTCAGTGTGCCTATTGGGCGCTTCCAGAACCGCGTACACTTGATGGGGGACATCTTATGCAATGATGGCTCTCTCCTGCTCCAAGATGTGCAAGAGGCTGACCAGGGAACCTATATCTGTGAAATCCGCCTCAAAGGGGAGAGCCAGGTGTTCAAGAAGGCGGTGGTACTGCATGTGCTTCCAGAGGAGCCCAAAGGTACGCAAATGCTTACTTAAAGAGGGGCCAAGGGGCAAGAGCTTTCATGTGCAAGAGGCAAGGAAACTGATTATCTTGAGTAAATGCCAGCCTTTGGGCTAAGTACTTACCACAGAGTGAATCTTCAAAAAATGATCATAATTATTTCAGTCAATAAAAATAGAGTTATTTTATTAAATAAAATATTGATAATTATTGTATTATTACTTTAAACACACTTCCCCCTCACAAAAGCCCTGTGAAGGATGTTTTGTTCACATATATGTCCAAATATGTTTTGGACACATATTTATTAAATGGAATAAATAGTACTTGAACCCTGGCACCTCTGACAACAAAGTCCATGTTCTTTTTACTATGCCCTAATACCTTTCATCAGTTATCCACATTGATGCTACATCTGTATTTTATAGGTACCCTATGTTAGGTGATCTGGGGGATAGAAAAGAAATAAGCAGGCCAGGCTCAGTGGCTCATGCCTGTAATCCTAGCATTTTGGGAGGCTGAGGCAGCAGAACTGCCTGAGCCCCAGGGTTCAAGACTGCAGTGAGCTATGATGGCACCACTGCATTCTAGCCTGGGTGACAGAGCAAGACTCTGTCTAAAATAAAAAAAGAGAAAAGAAAAGAAAAGAAAAAAAAAGAAAAAGTCTGGGTGTGATGGCTCATGCCTGTAATCCTAGCACTTTGGGAGCCCGAGGTGGGAGGATCACTTGAAGCCAGTTTGAGACTAGCTTGGGCAACATGGTGAGACCCTATGTCTAAAAAAAATAAAAAATAAAAAAAAAATAATAATAATAGCTGGGCATGATGGCACATGACTGTGGTGGTCTCAGGTACTGGGGAGACTGAGGTGAGAGGATCACTTGAGCCCAGGAGGTGGAGGTTGCAGTGAGCTGTGATCACACCACTGCCCTCCAGCCTGGGTGACAGAGCTGAGACCCTGTCTCTTAAAATAGAAAAAAGAAGAAAGGAGCAGATCTTTCTAACTCTTCTTTGCACTTTATTTTTCCATTTATAAGTGGAAGGAGTGGGTGGTTTTAAAATTTGTGCTCTGTAGAACCTTAAGCTCCAAAGAACATGAAGGGTAAGAGCGGGGCAGGGGTAGGACCCTAGGCTCCCACCTGCATTGCAACCAAAGTCCTTTTCCTTTTTCCTGTTGTATTCATTGGGCTGCCAGGTAAGATTTGGTCTGAATAAGGATTCTGCTGCTTGCAAGCAGTTTGAAAGGGAGAGTATAAGCTGTGGTGGCCCGAGTCATTTAGAAAGTTTTTTTCGCCTCTTTGACTGGGTATTAGTTGAAAGGAATGCAGCTGAGACTGTAACCAAAGGAGGCATTATGCTTCCAGAAAAATCTCAAAAGTATTGCAAGCAACTGTAGAAGCTGTTGTATTGGGCTCTAAAGGAAAGGGTGGAGAGATTCAACCAGTTAGCCCAAAAGCTGGAGATAAAATTCTTCCCCCAGAATCTAGAATATGGAGGCACCAAAGTAGTTCTGGACGACAGGGATAATTTCTTATTTAGAAATGGTGGCATTCTTGGAAAGTATATATACCGAAATAAATCACTATTGAAAAAGCCTCATGTGAAGACACTGATTCCACTGGAGTTCTGAAATCTTTCATTGTGTAAATAATTTCCATGTCTCTCTTTTATAATAAACTAATGATATCCAAACTAACGTTAGCCAGTGTCTCTAAAATTTAGTTTTGCTTATTGATATAAAACTTACAAATAAAAATACATAAATGAAAGTAAAAGTTTGCAAGCCACAGAACTAGATGCATTCTTTAAGAGTGTGGAATAGAAGGAACAGTCTGTGACCCCAGGAGAGCTTGCAATGTAGTTAGGGAACTAGAATCTGGGGCCATTTCCCGCCTGCAGCTAGCTTAGGTCCTTAGCCTCCCAGCTTTATTAATGAGCTCCTCTGGTGCACCCTGCCTTCCTCTCTTATGACACTCATCACACCTATTCACTTGTGTCTTCCCTGCTTGCCTGGGCGTAGCCCCTGGCACAGAGTAAGCAATTAATAAGCATTTGTGGAATGAATGAAATTATTGAGTTAGCATCCCTTGCTTGAATCTGATTTCTAAAAAATGGAGTTGTAGTAGGTGGCCTCTGGCCCCTCTCCTAATTATCCTACTTTTTTTTCATTGTCATTTTTCTCTTAATTCCAAAGCTCTTGTTCTCCAGGAAGAAGAAGCAAATCAGATGCCTGTGCCCAAGGATTCTCTCTCTCTCTCTCTTTTTTTTTTAGGTGGGGTCTTGCTCTGTCACCCAGGCTCTGGAGTTGCAGTGGTATGATCACGGCTCACTGTAGCCTTGAACTCCTGGGCTCAAGTGATCCTTCTGCCTCAACTTCCCGAGTAGCTAGGTCCATAGGTGTGCATCACCATGCCTGGCTTTGTTTGTTTGTTTAAGTAGAGATGGGGTTTCCCTACGTTGCCCAGGCTGGTCTCAAACCCCTGGGCTCAAGTGATCCTCCTGTCTCAGCCTCTCCAAATTGCTGGTATTACAAAGGATTCTCTTTTTGCTTCCTTTTTCTGCCTTTGGTCTCTAATGCCATGCCTGAACACTTGTCCATGCAAGCATAGCCTTTTCCTGCTTAGAAGAGACACAGAGGGAACCACAAGGAGTCAATTTCAAGAGCTGAGGAATCCATGGAAACAGGCTAGGGCAATGTTAGAGATAGTCAGATATTCCCCCAGTGGCTAGTGGAGCAAGCTGTATTTTTTTTTTCTTCCAGCTAGAATGGGAATAGATCCAACCCCTAACAATTTTGCCTAGTGGACCGTGCTCCAACTTGCTTTATGTAAGTTGCCTCCACCAACATGGCAACTCCATTTTTTGTAGTCATCTATAATTTTCTCTACAAAGTTTACCCTTCAGTTGATAGTCTCTCTATGATTCTACCACTTCAATTCTTTTTTTCATAGTTCTTAATTTAAATACTATAGATGAAAATAATAATTAGATTAATGTCCTCTACTTTTGCTCTAGAATCAGCCATCCTTCTACTTATGTGGGGTGCCACAGTAGAGTGAGTGAGAAAACTCGGGCTTTCCTTTCACTCAGACCTGGGCTTAAATGTTGGCTTTACCTTTCCTGGCCATGTGGCATTGGGTTCCTTTACTTTCCTTCTCTGTAAAATGGGAGAGTAGTCATACAAACCTCAAAATATTGTAATGACTAACTAATCTACTGTGTATAGGGTGTCTAGCACATGGTGGTGCATTGAAAGGACTCAGAATGTTCAGTTGTTATTATTGCATTTTAAAAATAGAGTTTAATTCTTAATGTGCTGATAGATTTAAAGGGAGTTTGCTTCCTTACTGGTATTCTTTGGAGTAACTTTTTTATCGCTTTCAAAATAATTCCTTCCATAGATTTTAGAGTTCATAATATTTTCTTTTGCTTTCCTCCTATTGTGCATTTCTCCTGCTGGGCAGGAAGTTACTCTTCTCCCAGGGAAATAATTTGGATGAAAGGGTGGCTTATGCACTCTGTTCCCTTGTGATCTTTGCTTAACACTCTTTGGAAGGAACTCTGTGCACTTAAGACCTAGACTTGTGTCTTCCTTATACACCACCCTGCCTTTCATTGCTTAATCAACTTTGTGGTTGATTTGTACAGAGCATTACTGAAAAATCAGAAATGTCTTTCTACTTCTTTTCTTTTTCATGGGCCACTTAAAATGACTTATGTAATAAACATATGGTGGGTCAGCTGCTTGTACAATAGTCAGAAGGAAGAGCCTAGGAGGTGGAAAGCCAGAAGCAGGGGAAGTCGGGAGGGTGGGGGCAGGAGAGAGCAGGATTAAAACAGAAAGAAAAGTCAAGGAGAAAGCTGTCTTTTGTCTTGGCCTAATTAGCAAGGAGTCCTGTGACTTGTACCAAGGCCAGAACTAGGTCCTAGAATAAAAGAAAAACAATAAAAGAAGTTGAAGAAAGTTACCCCTGGTTCATTTTTTTAGTTGGGAGAGTCAGTGGGTTAAATATAAGAATGAGAGTTCTATAACTTTCCACTTCCTGTTTATGCTAAGCAGATGTTGGTGTCTAAGATGATGAACATAAAGTAGGGACTTTGAGATTTTCCATACTTCCTTTAGTACAAACTTGATGTGAAATTAGAGTTCATGGGAGGAATTCTGGAAAAGGGGAAAGAGAAAGGAATTAAAGAGGACCAGAAAGTGTTTATGGTGATATGGAGACAGCAGAAACCCTCAGGCTTGGTACATGTGGGCAGCTAGAGGGTATTCTCATCTTGGGGATGATGCTGTGCTGGTCTGAGGGAGGAGGCTCTGAGTACTTTGCCCACGTGGAATCATCTGGATCACCCACAGAGGGAATTCGTACAGAGGGAATACGTACAGTGTTTGGTGGTGACAGCGATTTTTGCTGCTGAGGGTCTTTGGCTAAACATGATCTCTTCTAGAAATTCTTTGACTTCTATAGATTATAACTTGAGTCTGACTTGATTTACTGTTTTATCCTCAGAGCTCATGGTCCATGTGGGTGGATTGATTCAGATGGGATGTGTTTTCCAGAGCACAGAAGTGAAACACGTGACCAAGGTAGAATGGATATTTTCAGGACGGCGCGCAAAGGTAACAAGGAGGAAACATCACTGTGTTAGAGAAGGCTCTGGCTGATGGTATCAGGACAAAGGTAGAATCAGGCACATGAGGAGGTGTTGCAAGAGCCTGGGCTTTGGTGCTTATCAGAACTGGACCTTCTCCTAGCAATTTCAGCTTTCTGGTGGGAAAGATAACTCCAATGAAGAACAAGAACAAGAAGATGATGATGATGCTTAACTTTTTGGATGCCGATATGAGATTGTACATGTAAAGCATTTTGTATAAGACTTGGCCCCTGCATTTTAGTTTCCTTCTTTCTCCCTTTTCCTTCGTATAGAGTCCATGGGAGAATGAGGGAGATGATTTTTGTGGCCCAGCCAAGAAAGCAATGGGCTAGACATTAAAGTGATTACACTTTTATTCTTACTGGGGTTAGTTCTGTGAGTTTTCATCTGTGCCCCATTGCCCCATTTATGTGATGGAGGGAATTTTCATGGGTACTTCACGTGTTGGGATTGATTGATCCTGGGGGCCAGGGTGAAGGGTATTTTACGGGAACTCTATAAAGCAGGAAGAAGCAAGTTTATTCTTTAGACCAGTAGCTCTCAACCATGATGTGGTCGTATATTTATGGGTCAACATGTGTTGTGGGGATATCCCAAGTAACTTGTTATTAATAAAAGTTAAGTTGCAAAATTTAGTAAAGACTAACTTTTATAAATTAAAACATATTCCAGGTCATCTCTCTAACAAAGTCATTTGCACTTGATTCCTCTATGCTATCTGAGTGGGTCACAGTGGGTGACATCATGATGGAGTATGGGGAATTACATCTGGTCCCAGGTTCACCTCTGAGAGCTTGCCATACATTTAAATGTCATCCATTGAGTGATTCACAGGAGAAAATAGGATGAGAATTGACATTTTGAGGTTGTGAATTTGAATCACGAGAGACAAAATGTTAGGGGCCAGGTCACTTCATTCATGTTTGTGTCTACACACCCATTAACTTTTCTTAAAAGCTTTAAAAAAGCAATCTACATGGCTTTTTTTAATGCCAATATTCATTTAACAAGTTATTTTTAAAGAATCTGCTATATGAAGAATACTTAAAGCCCCAGTCCTGATGGGAAACTTACAACCAAGATGGAGGAGATACATGTAAAATAATAAAGACGTATATAATACATCAGGCAATAGTAAGAGCCTACGGGGAACAATAAAGCAGGACTTTGTGGTTTTTGTTATGTGGGTGCTTGGGGAGCCCTCACTGAGATGACATTTGAGGAGAGGGAGTGAACCCTGCATATGTGTAGGGGGAAGAGTGTTCTTGCAGTCATAGACAGTAGCAAGTGCAAAGGCCTTGCAGCCAGTATGCAAGGAGCAGCCAAGAGGTCCATGTGGCTGGAGCGCAGTGACCCAAGTAGGTGAGGGAAGAGCAAGTAGAAGTTGAAGTCAGAGGTAAAGGGAGATGGGCTGGGTCATGCAGGGCCTTGCATTTTAGTAGAAATGGGAGTGGGGGCCATGAAGGGTTTTGAGCACAGGAGTAACATGATTTAACTTACATTTTTAAAGGCTCATCTGCTGAAAATAGATTGTCATAGAGAATAAGCAGGGAGACAAGTAAGAAAGCTGTTGCAGGAATCTAGGTGAGAGATGAGCTGGACCAGAATGGTATCAGTGGAGGAGGTGAGGACTGGCTGGATTGGGGATATATTTTGAAGGTAGAGGTGATAGGATTTGCTGAGGGATTCAATGTGATTTGTTCCAGAAAGACAGAAATTAAGGATGACTCCAGGATTTTTAGCCTGAGTATCTGGAGGAAAGCATTGCCATGTACCAAAATGGGATGGACTGGAAAGAACTGGTTTGGGGGAAAGATGAAGAGTTCAGTTTTAGACATGTTTCAGGTTCCTATTGGAAATCCAACTAGAAATGTCATCAAGAATAAAAGTATACTTTTGCTTTTTTTTTATTGGAAAGGTGCACAAAATGAAAGTCCTCCTTTTCTTATCCCTCCATTCAGATGGAAAAACTGTTCATGGTTTTGTGATGTCCTTCACAAGTACACACGCATGCACATGTGTGTGTACATGACTTTGTGTTATTTAATGCTTTCTGATAATACCCTTACTGCCTTCACCTAGCAGGGCCTTGGAGTCCTGAGATCTTCCCTCCCCCATTTTCTCTGCTCCCCGCTCCACTCCAGTCCTCACAATATCATACTTTTTGTCTTTCACTTCTAGGAGGAGATTGTATTTCGTTACTACCACAAACTCAGGATGTCTGTGGAGTACTCCCAGAGCTGGGGCCACTTCCAGAATCGTGTGAACCTGGTGGGGGACATTTTCCGCAATGACGGTTCCATCATGCTTCAAGGAGTGAGGGAGTCAGATGGAGGAAACTACACCTGCAGTATCCACCTAGGGAACCTGGTGTTCAAGAAAACCATTGTGCTGCATGTCAGCCCGGAAGAGCCTCGAAGTATCTAACATTTGGCTGGGGAGCATTGAGGGACCTCCTGGCTGGTGCATGGCGCCAGGACTAGAGTGAGGCCGGAGAGGTTCCTAGGATGCAAAATTGAAGGAGGCATCCCTCTCAGGTGCTGACTCTGGCCTTGCACAACCCTGAGAATGATGCCTCCTTAGAGGTGGCTCCTCAGGTGCCTGGCTTGCCTCACCCTAGTTCTGGCCCTGCTGCTAGGCCAAGGGGAGGGGAGCTAATTTAGTGAATACCAATCCTCTGCCAGACCCCACTCATTGCCAGGGTCATCTACTGATGTAAAGATACAGAAGCTCAGGGAAGGATCGGAGTTGATGTCCAAAGTCAGCATACTTGGTTTCAAGGGAGGTGCTGTATGTGTTAGAGTGGAGCGGGAAATGATCCTAAGCTAGTGAGAGACAGCCAGGAACAGAGAGGAACATGCAGGCACCAGAACCAAAAATGGAGGGTTTTCTGATCAGAGGTTCTGGATTCTGGCAAACAGTGTGCATCAAGGCCAGTGCTGTGTAGGAGAGGAAAGACTTGATTGTGTTGACAGAGAGAGGTTGATAAGTGAGGGGTTAAAGTTAAACCATAACCCAGTTAGCAATCAGGATGTGGCCTGTGGACTTTGCCTGTCGCTAGGGCCTTCAGGAGTTGGCTGTGGTTGGCTGGGGGTGGGGAAGATGGGGTGAGGATGGAACATACCTCATACCTCAGGCCAGAGACCTAAGTCTGTGGAGGCACCTTGTCTCCAGCTGGAGAGGGGAGCACGGCAGGTCTGTGTGCTTCCTTCTCAGAAGTCCAATTCACAGAGAAAATCGAGCCATTATGGGGGCTCATGCAGCTTCTCCACCCACAAACATATCTATGTCTCCCCCATTCTTATCTCTGCCCTGCCATCCTGAGGCAGAGGAAGGTCCCTTCTGCTCTGGGCTTATCTGGCCCCCTGTGCCCAGGTGGTATCCTTCTCAGGAACCTTACAACATGGCTCTTTGAGCTCACTTTCTGTTGGTTTCTACCATTCAATGGATACGTTTGCTCAATTCTACTACTTAATTACTCCAGCTCCATTCTATGTCTTTTTTTCTTCAGCTCCATTCTGTGTCTTTCTTTTTCTTAAGATTGTTTTCCTGAGATACAATTCACATACCATACAATTTGCCCATTTAAAGCGTTCAGCTCAATGGTTTTAGTACATTCAGAGTTGAACAACCACCACCACAATCACGTGTTTCTTTCTCAACATAGCCAAATAGCTTGCTAAAGGTCTGTGTTTGGTATCTTACTGTCTCATCTCCCATTAACTCCTCAGTGCACTGCATTCTGGCTTATTCTACCTCTACTCCAGCTTAGATCACCAATGGCACTGCAATTATCCATCCTCAGCCTTCTCTCCTTCAGTAGCATTTATATGCACTCTATGTTGGACACAGTTCCACACACACCCATGGATATACTTAGTCAACTCTACACAAGTTTTCCACAAATCCTTCATATGCAACATGTCTAACCTACCCCTGCACACCCCTCCTCAGCCCATCTCCCCAACCTCAGTTGTCTAACTAGATGCCTGGGGGTGTGCTTGATTCTTTCCCTTTCCTAGACCCCTAATCTAACAGGTCAGGTCAACAAGTCCTTGACTCCTACTACAGACTCTTGAAGTTGTCTTCCTTCCAGTCTGTCACTGCCGCCTTAGTTCTGGCTGTCTTCATCTCTGTCTTGAACTGTAGGCCTCTAACCAGTCTCTGCTTTCTCTCTCAGCCACTGCTCCTCATTCTTCACGCGGCTCTTGGTGCCATCTTTCTAAATCACATTAAGAACTTTCTCTTCCACTGCTAATAATCTTTCAATGTTGTTTTCATTGCCTGCAGAAAAATGCCAGATTCTTGGTTGAGATAGTCAAGGTCCTTCCTGACTTGGACCCTGTCATCTCTCCAGCGAAATTCTCCAGCACACCCACAAATGCCACTTTTGTGCCAGACCCGTTGAACTCTTTCTAGTTTCTAAAATCATCATCCTGTCAGGCCTCCAGATCTCATGCAGAACATCCCCTCTGTCCTTCTCCATATTGTCTTCCCAACAAACTGGATGTTTCCTGTAAGTCTTAGGTTAAACTTTAGAACTTTTGCTGGCAAATTCTCACTTGCTGCATATAGAATTGGACACCCTTTTTTCTGTGCCCCTCTGTTCCCCATACAGACTTCTGTTGTAGCGCCTACAGCAGCCTGTGGTTTTCTGTTGACGTGTTTGTCTTCTTCCTTGGAAGCAGGGACCACACATCATCATTCATCTCTGAATCCCCTGTACCTAGTGCTGTCTGGCCCTGAGGAGGTGTTTGCTTTATGTATTTAGAAAGAACCATGCAGATGAGTAGAAGGTTCCATATGGGCAGAAGTACCTCCGGAGGCTTTACTTGGTATCGTCACTGTGGGGCTGAGTCTTGCGGCATGAGTTCTTTTGAAGACAACCACTTGCCCTAAGGAAGATCAGCAGCCTCTCAAATGCCTGTTATTTCTGGGTCCTTGTTAAGCCAAATTTTAGAATAGAATTGTTGATGTGAAAGGAAACTTTACTAGAGGTGAACTGCTAGCCTCTTCTCCCACCCACCTTAATCTACATTTTAGGGTAAACGAGGGGGTTAGACTTTGGTTCTCAATCTCATGGAGACAGTGTCCCTAGTGTCCAGATATGGGGTGGAGTCTGGCCTTCCCCTCCGCTTCGTGGCCTGGCTGGTGCTACTTGGTATAGGGCTGTGGGGCTCTCAGCTCTTTGCTAAAGTATTGAGACCCTCTCCTTGCTTTTCTACTTTCCCAAGCACTGGTGACCCCGGCAGCCCTGAGGCCTCTGGTCTTGGGTGGTAATCAGTTGGTGATCATTGTGGGAATTGTCTGTGCCACAATCCTGCTGCTCCCTGTTCTGATATTGATCGTGAAGAAGACCTGTGGAAATAAGAGGTACAGGGCTACCCCCACCCCTTGGATTGGGAGGCTGGGGGTGCAAGGCTGCCTCTACCCCAAAGTAGAACAGGGTGATAGGGCCCTACTTATGCCATTCTCACAGAAGGGGGTATTTTTAAATGGAATCATCTGTGGTAACCCTGCCCACTTTGCTTACTGTGCCCGGGAAAAGAATTTAATATTCCTACGCTCTCCTCATTCACTTTGTTATTATGTAAAGACTACAAACTCCCTTAGAAATGGGGGCCTCAGTAGGGCATAATTCAGAGCATAAATCTTACACAAGAACTATCATGGTACCATTCACTGCCTAAAAGATGATTTTTAAATTATCCATACTGTACGTTCCGCATAGAAGCTAAGATCTTAAGGGTTGCCAGTGGTTTTATCTAAAAGACCACATTCTAATTATGAGATACGATCTTTGAATGGGTGCCCTCAGGTTCTAAATGAATTATTATTAAAAGATGCTTTTGGCCAGGCGCAGTGTCTCATGCCTGTAATCCCAGCACTTTGAGAGGCCAAGGCGGGCGGATCACGAGGTCAGGAGATCGAGACCATCCTTGCTAACACGGTGAAAAGCTGTCTTTACTAAAAATGCAAAAAATTAGCTGGACGTGGTGGCATGTGCTTGTACTCCCAGCTACTTGGGAGGCTGAGGCAGGAGAATGGCGTGAACCTGGGAGGTGGAGCTTGCAGTGAGCCGAGATCACGCCACTGCACTCCAGCCTGGGTGACAGAGCGAGACTCTGTCTCAAAAAAAAAAAAAAAAAAAAATAATAATAATAATAATGTGCTTTTAAAGGCCTGAATTTCATCGGTAGTTCTCCCAGGGTCTCAGAAGTGCCCAGATGCTCCAACAGGGACACTTGTGTTTCACTGGCTGTTGGCAGATCCATGTCCCTCAGTTTATCCAACTATCGATGGAGTATGCTTGTAGTGCAGATCGACTCCCTTGTTGAAATAGTGTCAGTGGGAAAGGGCCTCATGAATAGTCCTGACTTTTGAGTGTTCTTTCCCAGTGGGTCTTGGATCCTGCAGAAAACACTTGTGCCTGCTAAGTTTTCACTTGCACTCCCTAGGGCTTCCTGATTTGGTTTTGAACTTGGCTGGCCTCTCTAAAGGTCTTTGCTCTGGGCATGCTCGGAGCACTGAGCTAGACAACCTGGATTCCACTCTCAGCTTACTTCCCCTGTCGGGACCTCAGTTTCCCGCCAAAGGAAAGGTAGCACTTCCATGTCTAGTCGTTTATTCTAAAGAAATAATTAAATGGATATGCTGAGATTTGTGCAAAACTGCCGTCTTGCTTATAATTAAAAATAGGGATAATTGCCAGTGTCTGTCAGAAAGGCAACGATTCAGTGAACCAGTCAATGAAACACTCCAGATCCCTCTACATAATGACATGGAAAGATATCCAAGGAGTAAAAATACAGAATTTATGGTATGACCTCATTTTTATAAAAGAGAAAATAATATGATGCTCACTCCAGCAGCATATGTACTAAATACATTTTATGTGAGCTTATGCTTACACTGAGAGAGGCTTGGAAGGACAGTTGTAAAATGTGGGTAATTGTGTGGAATTTGAAGTGAAGGAGAAGGTGGATCCCATGGGGTGACGGGTTGCAGGGAACTTCCACTTCCAACTGTCTACATTTCTGTATTATCTGAATTATTTGACAGTGAGAAGATACAACTTTAAAAGCAGAAAATACAAGGAAAATATTTCCACTGAGACCAAAACATATGGTTTCTTTTCTAGCTTAAACCTTGAATTTTTTTTTTTTTTTTTTAGTTCTGACTTAGGCCAAAATAGAAAAAAAGAAAGTATGTTCAGAAGGCAAATGGTCATGAGATCAAAGGCCAAGGGACCCCGACAGGGCAGGCGCAGAGCTCCTGCTTGGGGCTTGGGTCGGGTGTTTGTGGGGGTTATTCTGCTCCGCCCCCCGGAAAGGCCAGGAGCCCTTCGGATTGGCGTCTTGCTGAGCTCCTGCTGCCCCCTGCTGGTTTCGCGGCACTCCCTGGTCCTCAGAAATGTAGACAGGATGGTCAAATGGAATCCCATCTCCCCTCTCTCTCTTCATTCACTTAAAATTACCTCTCCCATACGGACTGAAAGTGGCTTGAGTGATAATAGAGAAGTTGAAGCTGCTTTTCAGCCTAAATTATCTCCAGAACGGCTTCTTGTTCTTCATTAGAAGAGATGCGCTTCTCAGGTTTCCAGGTGAGCCGGGTAGCCCTGGCTGTAGGAGTCCAGAGAGAATAGTTCCTTCTCTGGTGTCTCTCTCTTCACGAAGCCAAGAGGGGATCTCATGTAGGGACCCTTGAATAAACCATGCCCGCTGGTTAATTCCACATGCTTTTCATGTCTTGCAGTTCAGTGAATTCTACAGTCTTGGTGAAGAACACGAAGAAGACTAATCCAGAGATAAAAGAAAAACCCTGCCATTTTGAAAGATGTGAAGGGGAGGTGAACACACGCTTCAGCCTAAAACACTAAGTAGATGCAGGCCTGGGCCGTTCTCATACCCCCGGGAACCATATCTTACCCATTGTATGTCGCAGCTTGCAGGCCAGTGCTTGGCACAGAGCAGGGACTCAGGAAGCCTTTGTCACTAAAGTAAGAGCCTCTGCGGAGTACAGTGCATGGGGTCGGCTGGGACAGCCCCAGGCAGCAGATCCTGGTATTGGGCTGAGGAAAGAGCACTGCGCTTGGAGTCAGTAAGATCTGCCACCTCCCTGAGTCTCATCAGCAAAATGAGGATAAAGATAAAGATACTATAGTTGCCCAGCCTGCTTGACAGGGTTGTTGTAAGGTTCACATAAGATGATGATATGCAAATGCTTTGTAATCTAGGAGGTGCTATTTGTCTAAAGTCTAATGGAGAATTATAATACATCCAGGAGTTAAGGAGTTCTAATGCTTAAAATGAAATAGTCTAAGATCTTAGCAAGAAAGGATTAAGAAGGACTTTTCTCTCCATATTGATTTTGTAATGGAGTTATAAATAATTGCTTCTAGAGACTGAGAAATTGATTGGTTTTCTTTAACTCCTATTCTTTCTTTTCTTTCTTTAATTTTAAAAAAACTCTTTGAATAGTTACCTTTCTCTATTTTGGGCTGTTTTTGTCCCAAGAGTAGGATTTTTTCCCAGTAGAGTGCAGTGGTCCAAGAATGGGCCACTGGATGATACTGCTTTACCAACGAGTGACAGGACCATGAACCTCACAGTTGTGAGGTTCAATGAGGGCTGGCCCTGCCACATAAATCCTCTGAGGGAGATGATGACAATTCACTGCTGATTAATGCCATTCTGCCTTTACTGTAATTAGAAGGAAATAACCCCAGAATACAAGGAATTTAGCAAGATAAGGAACCCCTGCTGCTACCTAAACATCCATCTAAACAAAGATGTTTGGCTTTTGAAGCAAAGAGTTTGGTTCTTAAGACTGTGTTCTTTGACAGTTAATTTTCAAGAAGACTGAAGACTGAATTATCATTGTTGAGAATTCTCTAGGTCTCAGTAACCCTCTGAACCAGCAGTTTGGGTGGTCGATGCCTAGCAAATAGGAGTGGGTGGCCTTTTCTCTGGTGTATAAGATTCATCTAATTTTTAGGAATTTTTGTACCATTTTCCCCCTCTAGAAACACATTTACTCCCCAATAATTGTACGGGAGGTGATCGAGGAAGAAGAACCAAGTGAAAAATCAGAGGCCACCTACATGACCATGGTGAGAATGATTCTGGCCTCAGCTGAGCCAGGTGTCAGAGGCTCAGGTGGTGGTGGTGGTGGGCGTGGCTGGGTTGCCCAAGGGAGGCTGCTGAGGGCGGTGATTTTTCTAAGTAGCAGAAAAGTCTGAGAAACTGAAGTTCTGCTGGATAGAAGAGTGATATCAAACTTTCTTACCCAAGCTCAAGGATTAAAGGTTATCACCAGAGATTATTTATATTAGTGGTGAAAAGAAGTGAAGAGTGGCTTTTACTGAGGGCAGGGAGGACGTCTTTTGCCTCATCAGTTCAATCTAATAAAGAAAACACGGCCGGGTGTGGTGGCTCATGCCTGAAATCCCAGCACTTTGGGAGGCCGAGGTGGGCGGATTGCTTGAGGCCAGGAGTTCAAGACCAGCCTGGCCAATGTGGCAAAACTCCCTCTCTACTAAAAATACAAAAATTGGCCAGGTGTGGAGATGCGTGCCTATAATCCCAGCTACTTGGGAGGCTGAGGCACGAGAATTGCTTGGACCTGGAAGGCGTTGGTTACATGAGCCGAGATCCACCACTACACTCCAGCCTGGGAGACAGAGTAAGACTCTGTTTCAAAAAAAAAAAAAAAGGCCGAGCATGGTGGCTCACACCTGTAAACCTAGCACTTTGGGAGGCTGAGGCAGGTGGATCACTTGAGGTCAGGAGTTTGAGACCAGCCTGGCCAACATGGTGAAACACTGTCTTACTAAAAATACAAAAAAATTAGCCAGGCATGGTGGCGGGCACCTGTAATCCCAGCTACTTGGGAGGCTGAGGCAGGAGAATTGCTTGAACCTGGGAGGTGGAGGTTGCAGTGAGCTAAGATCGCGCCACTGCACTCCAGCCTGGGAAACAGAGCGAGACTCCTGTCTCAAAACAACAACAACAACAAAGAAAATAGGATAAATAGGATAAGATCCTTGGGCAAGTATTGTGTTGCTGTGAGTCGTTTTCCTTGCTATCAAAAGGTCAAAGTAGGGTTCCTTCCAATGCTTAGATTTTGTTTCTTAACTTTGTGACTTATTATACCTTCTCATAACCTAACTGCCAGGCAGGCTGCATGCTGGATCTCATACAATATTTTGGAGTCTGATTCCTAATTTCCCTTTGCTTAGACTTCTGTAGCCCCTTAGAGAACTGCAGTGCCTGGAAAAGGCACCTCGGGGCGTGCAGTGAGTGGGGGTAGGGACAAAAGGAGTGAGCTGGCGATGAGCACGGTGCTATTTGTAGACTAATTATAGGCACCCAGCCTATTAAGGAGCAGTGTTCTGTGGGTTTGGGAAGGCTGGCCTCCTCTGCTTGTGGAATGATGGGCTTTGTTTGTTCCTATCGTACCAGCCCTGAGGACACATGACTCCCAGCTGATTGCAGCAGAGAGAGGTCTGCCAGGGAAGTGTGAGATCAGAGGCCTGGCCTGGATCCACCGAGTGAAACATTAACTCCACCCTGAAGTTGCAGCTGAATGGAATCATTTTCCCTCTGTATCTTTCTCCCATACTGTTATGTGATGCTGCAGTAACTTGCGAGGCCTCATCCTGGCTCCTGGAGACCTGCTGATACAGCTGCCTTGTGGCTACTGCTGAGTGGGTCACCAGCCAGGGTGGCACTGTTTGCAGAACGTCTCCGAGGTGGAGATGATGCAGGAGGAACAATTGTCTTCACAGCTAACTTCCCCAGGTTTAATGCTAGGCGATTATGGTTTTGATTCTGTTGAAAACACCATTCCTGTCCTCTTGATCTAGATCCAATAGAGTAAGAGAAGAGGCCTGGGCTGCAAACTCAAAGGCTGGCAGGGGCCAGTCAAGTTATTTTAAAATATGATGTGCCAAGTTAAATAAGGCTGTTGGTGAATTTGGGACTGCAGGCCACTTGTTTGAGACTGCATTTATAAAGGTGTTCTCTGATAGGGAGCAGGGGTAACAAAGAGCCTTTGTTTTTTGTTGTTGAATTGATGAAATTCATGTAAATGTAGTGGCACCTTGCTGTTTTCCCTTTCTGAGGCTGTACACACAGAGGTTAAGATCACAAGCTGTGGAGTTAGACAGACCTGGGTCCAAATTCTAACTCTGTGTTGCAGCCAGATGGTCTTGGGCAGTAACTTGGCCTGTCTGAGCCTCAGTTTCCTTATCCT
Organism: Homo sapiens; assembly: GCF_000001405.40. Classification (NCBI taxonomy): domain Eukaryota; kingdom Metazoa; phylum Chordata; class Mammalia; order Primates; family Hominidae; genus Homo; species Homo sapiens. The sequence continues at coordinate 118,194,590 of NC_000011.10, read as the reverse complement.
TAGAAAGGCAATAATAATACCTACCTCCTGGTGGTAAGGATCACATGAGATAATGCATATGAAATTCAGTACTGGGCCGGGCTCATGAGAAGAGCTCAATGAACAGCAGCTGCTATGATTATGGAACTACTTCTTACAAGCATGTTTTGTTTCTTTCTGCCCTTCCCCCACAGCACCCAGTTTGGCCTTCTCTGAGGTCAGATCGGAACAACTCACTTGAAAAAAAGTCAGGTGGGGGAATGCCAAAAACACAGCAAGCCTTTTGAGAAGAATGGAGAGTCCCTTCATCTCAGCAGCGGTGGAGACTCTCTCCTGTGTGTGTCCTGGGCCACTCTACCAGTGATTTCAGACTCCCGCTCTCCCAGCTGTCCTCCTGTCTCATTGTTTGGTCAATACACTGAAGATGGAGAATTTGGAGCCTGGCAGAGAGACTGGACAGCTCTGGAGGAACAGGCCTGCTGAGGGGAGGGGAGCATGGACTTGGCCTCTGGAGTGGGACACTGGCCCTGGGAACCAGGCTGAGCTGAGTGGCCTCAAACCCCCCGTTGGATCAGACCCTCCTGTGGGCAGGGTTCTTAGTGGATGAGTTACTGGGAAGAATCAGAGATAAAAACCAACCCAAATCATTCCTCTGGCACATTATTTCTAAATAAGTGTTGTTTGTGGAAATCGTCCTATTTTTATGCCTCGGTTGAGGGGGCAAGTAAAGTCCTGGTGAGGAATTTACAGTTAGAAACTTTTGGAAAAACTGAAGTTCCTGGAGGAAAGCCAAACCGTGCTAACACACTAGAGGCTGGTTTTGGTCCTGGGAAAGGTTTGGGGTGAATGGGTTGGAAGTAGGGTATGAATACAGTTTTGGGATTTAACTCAGTGGTTCTTCATTCCTGCTGGTGGCTCCTTGCGGGGCCTCACCACATGCCTCCTAATTTGAAATTTCTGGGTGAAGTTTAGGCATTTGTCTTTCCTGATACTCATGGGTTGCCACAGTGGACAGCCACTGATTTAATTCTTGGTCTGAAATGTGCGGTTCCTATACTTTTAGTTGCTATTGTAAGATTTGATAAGGTTAGTCTTAAAAATCCTTTGGCGGGGGGCATCCAAATTGGTAATGAGGAAGTCAAACTGTCTCTGTTTGCTGATGACATAATCATAAACCTTGAAAACCCTAAAGACTCATCCAAAAAGCTCCTAGAACTGGTAAATGAATTCAGCAAAGTTTCAGGATACATAATTAATGTATACAAATCAGTAGCTTTGCTGTACACCAATAGCAACCAAGCTGAGAATCAAATCAATAACTTAATCTCTTTTATAATAGCTGCAAAAAAAATTAAAATACTTAGGAATATACTTAACCAAGGAGGTGAAAGACCTCTACAATGAAAACTACAAAATACTGCTGAAAGGAATCATAGACAGCACAAATGGAAACACATCCCATGCTCACGCATGGGTAGAATCAATATTGTGAAAATGACCATACTGCCTGTATTTAGTTTGTTTTCATGCTCCTGATAAAGACATACCCGAGACTGGGAAGAAAAAGAGGTTTAATTGGACTTACAGTTCCACATGGCTGCAGAGGTCTCAGAATCATGGCGGGAAGTGAAAGGCACTTCTTATACGGCGGTGGCAAGAGAAAATGAGGAAGATGCAAAAGTAGAAACCCCTGATAAAACCATCAAATCTCATGAGACTTATTCACTACCATGAGAACAGTATGGGGGAAACCACCTCAATGATTCAAATTATCTCCCACTAGGCCCCTCCCACAATATGTGGGAATTATGGGAGTATAATTTAAGATGGGCTGGGTGCGGTGGCTCTCGCCTGTAATCCCAGCACTTTGGGAGGCCAAGGCAGGCAGATCACAAGGTCAGGAGATCGAGACTATGGTGAAACCCCATCTCTACTAAAAAAAATACAAAAAATTAGCCGGGCATGGTGGCGGGCGCCTGTAGTCCCAGCTACTCGGGAGGGTGAGGCAGGAGAATGGCATGAACCCGGAAGGCAGAGCTTGCAGTGAGCTGAGATTGCACCACTGCACTCCACACTGGGCAACAGAGCGAGACTCCATCTCAAAATAATAATAATAATAATACTTTAAGATGATATTTGGGTGGGTACACAGAACCAAACCATATCATTCCACCTCTGGCCCTTCCAAATCTCATGTCCTCACATTTCAAAACAAATCATGCCTTCCCAACAGCCCCCAAAAGTCTTAACTCATTTCAGCATTAACCCAAAGTCTACAGTCCAAAGTCTCATCTGAAATAAGGCAAGTCCCTTCCACCTATGAGCCTGTGAAATCAAAAGCAAGCTGGTTACTTCCAACATACAATGGGGGTAAAAGGTATTGGGTAAATACAGCCATTCCAAATGGGAGAAATTGGCCAAAACAAAGTGGTTACAGGGCCCATGCAAGTCTGAAATCCAGCAAGGCAGTCAAAATTTAGAGCTTCAAAAATGATCTCCTTTGACTCCAGGTCTCACATCCAGGTCACACTGATGCAAGAAGTGGGTTCCCATGGTCTTCGGCAGCTCTGCCCTGTGGCTTTGCAGGGTACAGCCTCCTTCCTGGCTGTTTTCATGGGCTGGCAGTGAGTGTCTGCAGCTTTTCCAGGTGAACGGTGCAAGCTGTTGGTGGATCTACCATTCTGGGGTCTGGAGGATGGTAGCCCTCTTCTCACAGCTCCACTAGGCAGTGCCCCAGTAGGGACTCTGTATGGGGGCTCTGATCTCACATTTCCCTTCTGCACTGCCCTAGCAGAGGTTCTCCATGAGGGCCCCGCCCCTGTAGCAAACTTTTGCCTGGGCATCCAGGCATTTCCACACATCTTCTAAAATCTAGGCAGAGGTTCCCAAACCCCAGTTCTTGACTTCTGCGCACTCGCAGGCTCAACACCACATGGAAGCTGCCAAAGCTTGGGACTTGCACCCTCTGAAGTCATGGCCTGAGCTCTATGGTGGCCCCTTTCAGCCATGGCTGGAGTGGCTGGGATGCAGGGCACCAAGTCCCTAGGCTGCACACAGCGCGGGGACACTGGGCCTGGCCCATGAAACCATTTTCTCCTAGGCCTTCTGGCCTGTGATGGGAGGGGCTGCTGTGAAGACCTCTGACATGCCCTGGAGACATTTTCCCCATTGTCTTAGGGATTAACACTCAGCAACTTGTTACTTATGCAAATTTCTGCAGCCAGCTTAAATTTCTTCTCAGAAAATGGGTTTTTCTTTTCTATCACATTATCAGGCTGCAAATTTTCTGAACTTTTATGCTCTGCTTCCCTTATAAAACTGAATGCCTTTAGCAGCACCCAAGTCACCTCTTGAATGCTTTGCTGCTTAGAAATTTCTTCTGCCAGATACCCTAAATCACCTCTCTTCAGTTCAAAGTTCCACAAATCTCTAGGGCAGGGGCAAAATGCCACCAGTCTGTTTGCTAAAACATAACAAGAGTCACCTTTGCTCCGGTTCCCAACAAGTTCCTCATCTCCATCTGAGACCGCCTCAGCCTGGACCTTATTGTCTATATTGTCATCAGGCTTTTGCTCAAAGCCATTCAGCAAGTCTCTAGGAAGTCCCAAACTTACCCACATTTTCCTGTCTTCTTCTGAGCCCTCCAAACTGTTGCCACCTCTGCCTGTTACCCAGTTCCAAAGTACCTTCCGCATTTTCAGGTATCTTTTCAGCAGTGCCCCACTCAATGGGTACCAGTTTACTGTATTAGTTGGTTTTCTTTTTTTTTTTTTTTTTTGAGACGGAGTCTTGCTCTGTCACCCAGGCTGGAGTGCAGTAGCGTGATCTCGGCTCACTGCAAACTCCGCCTCCTGGGTTCATGTCATTCTCCTGCCTCAGCCTCCCGAGTAGGTGGGACTACAGGTGTGCGCCACCATGCCTGGCTAATTTTTTGTATTTTTAGTAGAGACGGGCTTTCACCACGTAAGCCGGGTTGGACTTGATCTCCTGACCTTGTGATCCACTCTCCTTGGCCTCCCAAAGTACTGGGATTACAGGCGTGAGCCACCGTGCCCGGCCATTAGTTCGTTTTCACACTGCTGATAAAGACATACCCGAGACTGGGAAGAAAAATTGGACCTACAGTTCCACATGGCTGGGGAGGCCTCTGAATCATGATGGGAGGCAAAAGGCACTTCTTACATGGGGGCAGCAAGAGAAAATGAGGAAGATGCAAGAGCAGAAACCCCTGATAAAACCATCAGATCTCATGAAACTTATTCACTACCATGAGAAGAGTATGAGGGAAACTGCCCCCACGATTCAAATCGTCTTTCACTGGGTCCCTCATACAACATGTGGGAATTATGGGAGTACAATTCAAGATGAGATTTGGATGGGACACAGAGTCAAACAATACCACTGCCAAAAGCAATCTACAAATTCAATGCAACTCCCATCAAAATACCTCCACCATTCTTCACAGAAATAGAAAAAACTATCCCAAAATTCAAATGGAACCAAAAAACAGCTTGCATAGCCAAAGCAAGATTAAGCAAAAAGAGCAAATCTGGAGGCATTACATTCCCCAACTTCAAACTATACTATAAAGCCAGTCATCAAAACAGCATGGTACTGGTATAAAAATAGGCATATAGACCAATGGAACAGAATAGAGAACCCAGAAATATAGCCAAATACTTACAAGTCAACTGATGTGTGATAAAGCAAACAAAAATATGAAGTGGGGAAAGGACACCCTATTCAACAAATGGTGCCGGGATAAATGGCAAGCCACATGTAGAAGAATGAAGCTGGATCCTCATCTCTCTCCTATACAAAAATCAACTTCAGATAGATCAAAGACTTAAATCTAAGACCTGGCTCCATAAAAATTCTAGGAGATAACATTAGAAAAACCCTTCTAGACATTGGGTTAGGCAAAGACTTCATGACCAAGAACCCAAAAGCAAATGCAACAAAAACAAAGATAAATAGATGGGATTTAATTAAACTAAAAAGCTTTTGCACAGCAAAAGAAATAATCAGCAGAGTAAACAGACAACCCACAGAGTGGGAGAAAATCTTTGCAATCTGTATATCCAACAAAGGACTATTATAATATCCAGAATCTACAAGGAACTCAAATAAATCAGCAAGAATAAAACAAACAAACCCATAAATTAGTGGGCTAAGGACATGAATAGACAATTCTCAAAAGAAGATATACAAATGGCCAAGAAACATACGAAAAAATGCTCAACATCACTAATTATCAGGAAATGCAAATCAAAACCACTATGCCATACCACCTCACTCCTGCAAGAACAGTCATAATAAAAAAAAATTTTTTTTAATTTTAAATTTTAGATGTTGGCATGGATGTGGTGAAAAGGGAACACTTTTACAAGGTTGGTGGGAATGTCAACTAGTACAACCATGATGGAAAACAGTGTGGAGATTCCTTAAAGAACTAAAAATAGATCTACCATTTGATCCAGCAATCCCACTACTGGGTATTTGCCCAGAGGAAAAGAAGTCATTATATGAAAAAGATAGGCTGGGCATGGTGGCTCACGTCTGTAATCTCAGCATTTTGGGAGGCCAAGGCAGGTGGATCACGAGGTCAGGAGTTCAAGACCAGCCTTGCCAACATGGTGAAACCCTGTCTCTACCAAAAATACAAAAATTAGCTGGGTGTAGTGGCACATGTCTGTAATCCCAGCTGCTTGAGAGGCTGAGGCAGGAGAATTGCTTGAACCTGGGAGATGGAGGTTGTGATCTGAGATCACACCACTGCACTCCAGCCTGGGTGACAGAGCAAGACTCTGTCTTGAAAAAAGAAGAAAAAAGATGCCTCCCCATGCATGTTTATAGCAGCACAATTCGCAATTGCAAAAATATGGAATCAGCCCAATTGCCCATCAATCAATGAGTGGTTAAAGAAAATAAATATGGTATATATATATATATATATACACATCATGGAATACTACTCAGCCATAAAAAGGAATGAAATAATGCCATTTGCAGCAACCTGGATGGAACTGGAGAACATTATTCTAAGTCAAGTAACTCAGGAATGGAAAACCAAACCTCATATGTTTGGGAATGGGAGCTAAGTGGGAGCTAAGCTATGAGGATGCAAAGAAGAAAATAAATATGGTATATATATATACCATGGAATACTACTCAGCCATAAAAAGGAATGAAATAATGCCATTTGCAGCAATCTGGATGGAACTGGAGAACATTATTCTAAGTCAAGTAACTCACGAATGGAAAATCAAACATCGTATGTTCTCACCTATAAGTGGGAGCTAAGCTATGAGGATGCAAAGGCATAAGAATGATACAATAAACTCTGAGGACTCAGAAAGGGTGGGGAGGTAAGGGATAAAAGACTACACACTGGGTACAGTGTACACTGCTCAGGTGATGGGTGCATCAATATCTCAGAAATCACCACTGAAGAACTTACTCATGTAACCAAACACCACCTGTTCCCCAAAAACCTATTGAAAAAAAAATCCTTTGGGGTTGGGTGCAGTGTCTCATGCTTGTAATCCCAGCACTTTGGGAGGCTGAAGGGGAGGATCACTTGAGGCCAGGAGTTCAAGACCAGTCTGGGCAACATGGTGAGACCCTCATCTCAATAAAATAAAGTAAAATAAAATAAAATAAAATAAATAAAATTGATTAGCTAGGTGTGGAGGTGCATGCCTTTGGTCCCAGCTACTCAGGAGGCTAAGGTAGGAAGATCACTCAAGCCCAGGAGTTAGAAGCTGCAGTGAGATATGATTGCGCCACTGCACTCCACTCCAGCCTGGGCAACAGGCTAAGATCCTGTCTCAAAATAAGAAAGAGGAAAGGAAGGGAAAGGGAAGAGGAAGGAAAAGAAGAAACTAAAGAATATCCTTTGGTTCTGAACAACTTCCAGCCTCTGCGGACCAGCCTGGGTTCAGCTCTGGTCTCCTTTCCTTGACTGCTACAGACTCTTTCTTATTCTCTGCAACCCTTTCTTCATATTTAGCCATGCAGGGCCAGATAAAGAGGAGGTCTTTTCTGTTTTTCTGATTTCTGATCCAGTCTTAAATGGGGCTACATTTTTTTTTTCCTTTTTTGAGACGGAGTCTCGCTCTGTCACCCAGGCTGGAGTGCAATGGTGCTATTACGGCTCACTGCAACCTCTGCCTCCCAGGTTCAAGTGATTCTCTTGTCTCAGCCTCCCAAGTATTACAGGCGATTACAGGGATTACAGGCACACACTGCCATGCCCGGCTAATTTTTTGTATTTTTAGTAGAGACGGGGTTTCACCATGCTTCCCAGGCTGGTCTTGAACTCCCAAGCTCAGGCAATCCACCTGCCTCGGCCTCCCAAAGTGCTAGGATTACAGGTATGAACCACTGCGGCTGGTGGGGCTACATTTTTAATGATTTCCCCCAACTCTCCAAACATTAGGATCCTCTCATAACACACAGGTTATGTTCTAGTTTAGACATGGATAAGCATCATTAAATTCTTCCTTCCTATCTGCCAGCTCTTGATGAGGAGTTATGTCAGGGTTTTCCATATGGGTATTGAAGGCAGTATCCTGTCCCAGACATACCAGGGACACATATTGGTGAGACAAGTAGAGGGGGAAGAGGACTTTATTATATCTGGAGTGTTCATGGAGAGGAAGTGGTTTCATTTCTGGGCTATTAAGTAACTTCTCTCCTGGAATAAGGGACCCTTTTCCACTTCCTCAAATATTGTGTGCATTGGAAGATGGCCTTCAGGATACAGAGTTAGGTGGGTGGATGGTGATTTTACATCTGTTGCTCAGGGTCTAAGAAAATAATTAGGGTAAGAGCAGGAGGATGGGCTGGACAGGTTAGCCACATGATCCTCAGCAGGCACTTGGACCGTGAAAGTGTAGGTGTGCCCAAATTCAAATTTGATTCATTCAGAGATTGGCTTCCATTCTGGGTTCGGCAGTTGTGACTGAGGGGGAGGAAGAGGAAGCCCACATCTCTGCTCCAAGTCTTCTTCCCTACAAACCTTCTTATCCACAGGCATGGAGCCAAGGTTGAGGGTGGAAGTCCACAGTTGTCAAACACGAATTTCGCCTAAAGCCGAAGCAGCCCTACAGGGGACTGGGAAAGAGACCGGCTTCTCTCTCAGCCCTTCTGCTAGAGGTGGTTTGTCCATTACACCCAGGAACATGAAGGGAAATTGTGTAGGGAATGGGCTTCAAGATCAAATAGTCCTGGTTCAAATCCTGGCTGCCTCTTCCTCTTCAATATTGCAAAGTGTGTTTAAATCCTTTGAGGCTGTTTTCCTTATATGTAAAATGGAGACTCACAGAAGTTTGTTAGTTTGTTTGTTTTGCAAGGACTGAATGAGGTAGTATAGGGGATAGTGCCTGGCCTGAGCCCTCCCTTTCCTTCAAATGTGTTTTTCCAGGTAGATGTATCTTCTTAACGTCACTCAGAAATGAAGAACCCACTCAGAAATAGGTTATTTTATCTTCTATTTAATGCTAGTCAATCTTTGCTATTCAATCTTAATAACACAATTAACAATAGGGATGGACAATATCTTCTGGTGATTCAGTCCCCATCTCTTAATTTTGATTTCTACGGACAAAAAGCGCTTTACCAAAATCCGTAAATCCCTCTTCCTATCCGAAGAAAGACTGAGTTAGGAAGCTGAGCTTAGGCCAAGGCTTTGTATAGCTCTGAGGAGACAGATTTTGAAGGACTGGAAAGCTACTGAAGATCCCTGTAGTAGAGCCTTTGGAAAGCAGTTTTGTTACCTGAATTTGCAGTATTTTAGATCCCTGGAACATCAGATGCTCTCATATTTTAAGGTTTGCAGAAGTACACAGGCCTTTGCCAACAGAAAGCAGCCCCAAGGCTGGAGGGAGCGGAGCTACTCATGAATAATGGAGAACCTAGCAGCTTCAGAATTTGGCTATCGCAACTGAAAACAGTTCTGCTTGTCCACTGGGGATCGGTAGAAGATGAGCTGAGTCTCCTTCAAAAGGCTGCAGCCTTTTGTCGGCCAGGCGTGGTGGCTCACGCCTGTAATCCCAGCATTTTGGGAGGCCAAGTTGGGCGGATCACCTGAGGTTGGGAGTTTGAGACCAGCCTGACCAACATGGAGAAACCCTGTCTCTACTAAAAATACAAAATTAGCTGGGTGTGGTGGCGCATGCCTGTAATCCCAGCTACTCAGGAGGCTGAGGCAGAAGAATTGCTTTAACTCGGAAGGTGGAGGTTGCGGTGAGCCGAGATTGCGCCATTGCACTCCAGTCTGGGCAACAAGAGCGAAACTCAGTCACACACACACACACACACAAAAGGCTGCAGCCTTCTACCAGCCCTTTAGTTGTCTCTTCCTGGTTGCCCCCAACCAGTGTCCTTTTCTCCCTTTTGACTAGTCGGTATGCTCACCTGTCTGTTGGTAATTGGCCATTTTCCTTCATAAAACACTAGCTCTGTTTGTGTGTGGTTGGAGGGAGCCACTGAGTTAGCTCAGTTATTTAGAGCTGCAGAGCCCTAGGTTGCAGTTATCCTCTTAATTCAGCATAAACAAAGTTTCCCAGGACCACTGACCTTCTGTCCTGGCCAGCTAGTTTGCAGATGTGGTCTAGGGAGGTCAGGCAATCCGTGACCACTTCTGTAAAACCCAACTACCAGAACATCTCTTCTTCAAAAAATAAGGGAACTTAAAGTTTTCTCAGAAAGCTGAGAACTTTCTCATTTCGTAGATGGTGCAAGCCATAGTGATTTACCTGTCTGAGATCTTTCAAAGCTGTGTGAACTCTGTCTTGTATGTTCATGGCCTTCTGTGTGCTGGTGCCATCTTGTCTGCCCATCTATACTTCATTAAAAAAAAATAGTTTTAGGCCAGGTGCGGTGGCTCATGCCTGTAATCCCAGCACTTTGGGAAGTCCAGGCTGGTGGATCACCTGAGGTCAGGAGTTCGAGACCAGCCTGGCCAACATGGAGAAACCCCCCCATCTCTACTAAAAATACAACAAATTAGCCGGGCATGGTGGTGAGCCTCTGTAATCCCAGCTACTCGGGAGGCTGAGGCAGGAGAGTTGCTTGAACCTGGGAGGCAGAGGTTGCAGTGAGCCAAGGTCATGCCATTGCACTCCAGCCTGGGCAACAAGAGCGAAACTCCATCTCAAAAAAAAAAAAAAGTTTTAATGTTTTTTTTTTATTTCAATAGTTTTTGTAGAACCGGTGGTTTTTGGTTACATGGATAAGTTCTTTAGTGGTGATTTCTGAGATTTTAGGGCACCCATCACCTGAGCAGTGTACACTGTACTCAATATGTAGTCTTTTATCCTCAGCCTCCTCACAGCCTCCCTCCAGAGTGCCCAAAGTCCATTACATCACTCTTACACCTTTGAGTTCTCATAGCTTAGCTCACACTTATAAGTGAGAGCATACCATATTTGGTTTTCCATTCCTGAGTTACTTCACTTAGAATAACGGCCTCCAGCTCCATCCAAGTTGCTGCAAAAGACATTACTTCATCCCTTTCTATGGCCAAGTAGTATTCCATGGTGTGTATATACACCACATTTTCTTTATCCACTCATTGGTGGATGGGCACTTCTGTTGGTTCCATATCTTTGCAGTTGTGAATTGTGCTACTATAAACATGCACGTGCATGTGTCTTTTCCATATAATGACTTCCTTTCCTTTGGGTAGATACCCAGTAGTGGGATTGCTGGATTGAATGGTAGTTCTACTTTTAGTTCTCTTTTTTTTTTGAGATGGAGTTTCACTCTTGTCACCCAGACTGAAGTGCAGCGGCGTGATCTTGACTCACTGTAACCTCTGCCTCCCAGGTTCAAGCAATTCTCCTGCCTCACCCTCCTGAGTAGCTGGGATTACAGGTGCCTGCCACCACGCTCGGCTAATTTTTTGTATTTTTAGTAGAAACGGGATTTTGCCATGTTGGGCAGGCTGGTCTTGAACTCTTGACCCCAGGTGATCCGCATGCCTCGGCCTCCCAAAATGCTGGGATTACAGGTGTGAGCCACCACACCCGGCCTACTTTTAGTTCTTTAAGGAATCTCCACACTGTTTTCTATAGTGGTTGTACTAATTTACATTCCCATCAGCAGTGTAAAAGTGTTCCCTTTTCACTGCATCCACACCAATATCTACTGTTTTTTAAGTATTTAATTATGGCCATTCTTGCGGGAGTAAGATGGTATCTCATTGTGGTTTTAATTTGCATTTCCCTGGTGATTAGTGATGTTGCATGCCTCATTTTTTTTTCACAACAGGAACCCTCTGCTCCATGCATTGTTGTCTTTCCTGCTATTGGTGTACTCTTGCCTGGGATGACACTTTCCTTTCCTTCTTGCCTCCCCACATCAACATTCCTTCAATGCCCTGCTTTAGATCACCCGCCTGGGTGATCTCCTGCTTCTCACCTCTTCCTAGATGTCTCTGCACTTGATCTACTTTTGTCTTTCCTTGTCTTCTAATTGTTTCATGGGTGTGATACTTTATTTTCTCTTAGAGATCTCAAACTCTTAGAAATTCTGCTTTAGGCCAGGCACGGTGGCACATGCCTGTAATCCCAACACTTTGGGAGGCCGAGGCGGGTGGATCACTTGAGGTCAGGAGATTGAGAACAGCCTGGCCAACATGGTGAAACCCTGTCTCCACTAAAAATACAAAAATTAGCCAGGTGTGGTGGCACAGAGCTATAGTCTCAGCTACCCTGGAGGCTGAGGCACAAGAATCGCTTGAGCCTGGGAGGTGAAGGTTGCAGTGAACCCTGATCTTGCCACTGCACCCCAGCCTGGGCGAAGTTTGAGGACAAAAAAAAAATCTGCTTTAGGTCTTTTCTGTGACCCTTGTAGCATTTGACCCCAAGGGGGACAATCCCTTGTCGAGTAAAATTCCTAGGGAGTGGAGGGGAACAGCATGCACAGATTGCGGCTGGACCTGGCTCCCATTCCCAATTCTACCACATCTTGACTGGGGAAGTCAGGCTGATGGAATTTCTGCCCCTTCTCCAGATGCAAAGTAGATATTCACTCATTTTCATCTGCTCAAGGACCAGTAGAGGCCCAGTGCATGCTCAGAAGAATAAGACGCAATCTCAGTACTTAAAGAACTACAGTCTAGCTGGGGAGGTCAGATGGGTAAGTAACCAATAAAAATACTCGTTGACTCCTGTTAGTTCAATATAAGGTGTCCCTGGGTTCCTATGTCTCCAGTAGATGGGACTGCACTCACCGTGCTGTATTGTGAGTGTATGCATTTATCTCCCTCTCTAGAATGTGAGCTCTCCAAGGGTGAGCTGTATCTCATTCATTTCTTGGTCTCTAGCTCCTAGCTGACTGTCTAGCACATAGGGGCTGTTCCATAGATATTTGAGTTTGTTCTATGAGAGATCTGATTGATAAATGAGTGAATGTACCCAGGGTCACAGGAGCAGAGAGAAGAGGTATTTAGAGCAGAAGTAGGTGACTTTGGAGCACATTTTTGAAGAAAGACCATGAGCTTGATGAGCAGGCAAGAGACAAAGGGCATTCCTACAGGGAAAACGGCGAAGGCAAAGACAGAGATGTGAAGCTGCATGCGGGGTTAGAGAAACCTTGCCTGGTAAGGAAGGGCTTCAGAAGCGTGTGGGGCAGAGAAGAGAGGCATCCCTACCTCGCAGCTCATGAACAGACTGCTATGTGCTCTGCAGATCACCAGAGGCCAGCATTTCATCCGAGGTTTGTTCCTGCTTCCTACTCCCCTCTCCCTGAACCCCCAAACCTGGCTTCTAATGGCCCCTTGCTCAGGGTATGCAAACCTTTTGATATTGGCTGAAGGCAGTGCTTCTCAAGCTTTAATATGCTCAAGAATCACCTGGAGATCTTGTTAAAAATGCAGATTCGGGCCAGGCATAGTGGCTCACACCTGTAATCCCAGCACTTTGGGAGGCCGAGGCGGGTGGATCACAAGGTCAGGAGATCGAGACCATCCTGGTAACATGGTGAAACCCCGTCTCTACTAAAAATACAAAAAAATTAGCCGGGTGTGGTGGTGGGCGCCTGTAGTCCCAGCTACCCAGGAGGCTGAGGCAAGAGAATGGCATGAACCCAGAAGCCGGAGCTTGCAGTGAGCCAAGATTGCGCCACTGTGCTCCAGCCTGGGCGACAGAGTGAGACTCCGTCTCAAACAAAAACCAAAAAGAAAAAAAAAAAAAATGCAGATTTGGATTCCTTGGGACTGGGGTGGGGCCTGTAGCACTGCCTTTCTCACAGACTCCCAGGTGACACCCATGATGCTGGCCTGGGGACCACACTTTGAAAAGTGAGGCTGTAAGGTAAATAACTAGGGAGGCTCTCTATAGCCTCAACGAGGCATTCCAAAGGTAAAAGGAAACTACCTTCCTTTGAATTATCTGTAACACTGCTTCTCCCAGCAGGGTAGGTAATTGAGAGCTGTCTAATAAAACCTTCACTGATAAATAACCCTGGGCACAAATGCCAAAACCACAGGGCTTCACTCCTAAAAAAGCACATCTTTGACACTGGTGTCTTCATTCGGCAAAACACCTCTTAGAGCTGCTGCTTCCCAGACTTTCACTGGCTCCTGGGGAAGGCTTACTCTTTCGGAGCAGATGGGTGTCTGGAGGCCCAAGTGGGTTGTGGGGAAGTTCCGGGGTAGCTCTCCCCCTCTCTTGCCTTGGCTCTGCCTGCTACTGCCCCTCACCCTTGATCTAGCTCCTCCTGACCCTTGGTCCTGGGGGGCTGAGTTGGATGAAGACTGTTCTAAGTCTGGATACGTAGTTTCTCTTTGCTGAATTCTGGATAGAAACAGATCTTCTGGATCCACTTCTTGCCTCAGATGCCCCCAAAATAGGAGCTTCTGGACCTAATGTGAGACCAAGTGAGACAGGCAAGCAGCTTCCTTCAGTTTCTGGGCCTCACGGGCACCCTCTGCTGCATTAAGAAAAAAAGAGGAGGCCGGCTACGTCAAACCAAAAATCTCTGGCAACGGGGCAGAGCTGACATGTGTCTGCGGCAGCATGGATGGCTGTGCTGCAGAGTGGGACTTGGCAGTGCACGCCTAAGCGGGAGCTGAGGCCCGGCTTGTGCCAGTCCACCCCTCCGGGCACAGCTGTGAGCTGCTGACAGCGGGGTAGACCTCAGGGCCGGAGGGCACTGGGGATGGGGCCAGGCATGGCCACTGAAGGAGACTTTTCTTCCAGGCTGCCCCACCTCTCCTTCCCTGCAATTCTGCCCTGTGGGCCCTGTGTTTTGTGAATGGGCCAGCCAGAGCCAGACCCTAGGGATGGGACAGAGGCACTTGGGGACAGAATCTGTGTGTGATCTGGGCAGGGACAACCACAAAGGGCTCTTAGACTACCCACCCTTCTGCCTTCTGGCAACTCTGCCTCAAATCCCTGGCCCCCTTGCTCCTCCCCAGCCCAGAACAGCTTGAGAGGCCTTGGAAGGATTTCATTTCCTCCGCAGTGTCTACTTTCCTCCCTTAGCTCTCCAGATTCATTAATTCACTCAGGTGTGCCCCTGTACAGTCATTCACCGTCTGCTGACGAAGTTTCTGCCCTGAGCCAGGCACTGTGCTGGATTCTCACTGTTTCTCCATAGCCTGCCTCTTAGCCCTTGCTTTTATGTCACCTGCAGGGGCTAATTGCTTCATGTGTCTTGTTGGTCTTCTCTTCCCTGTGCCTTTCTAGACAACCTGGAGGTAGCTCCATTTATCCTTCCCTTGGTGCTAAGCAATGTGGAATGCTGGAGACACCCAGAGTTTCACGAAGACCTTGGTTTGAATCCTGACTCTGCCCTTAAACTCTCATATGTAAACTTGGGTGGGTTGAGCCCCATGAACCTCTGTTTCCTCATTTGCCACTAGAAAAAGAATAGGCCGGGCGCAGTGGCATATGCCTGTAATCCTAGCACCTTCGGAGGCCAAGGTGGGCAGAGCACCTGAGGTCAGGAGTTCGAGACCAGCCTGGACAACATGGTGAAACCCCGTCTCTACTAAAAATACAAAACTTAGCCAGGCATGATGATGGGTGCCTGTAATCCCAGCTACTTAAGAGGCTGAGAAGGGAAAATTGCTTGAACCTGGGAGACGCTGGTTGCAGTGAGCCGAGATCACACCACTGCACCTCAGCCTAAGCAGCTGAGTGAGACTCCGTCTTAAAAAAAAAAAAAAAAAAAAAAAAAAAAAAAAAAAAGAATAAAGGCCAGGTGCAGCGACTCATGCCTATAATCCCAGCACTTTGGGAGGCCAACGCGGGAAGATCACTTGAATCCAGGAGTTCGAGACCAGCTTGGCCAACATAGTGAAACCCTGTCTGCACTAAAAATACAAAAATTAGCTGGGCGTGGTGGCAGGAGCCTGTAATCCCAGCTACTTAGGAGGCTGAGGCAGGAGAATCACGTGAACTTGGGAGGTGGAGGTTGCAGTGAGCCAAGATTGTGCCACTGCACTCCAGCCTGGGCCACAGAGTAAGCCTCTGTCTGAACAACAACAACAAAAGAATAAAGAGAAAAAGAAAAAGAAAAAAGAAATTATGGTGGCGGGAACCTGTAAACCCAACTACTCAGGAGGCTGAGGCAGGAGAATCACTTGAACCCGGGAAGCGGAGGTTGCAGTGAGCCAAGATCATGCCACTGCACTTCAGCCTGGGCCACAGAGTGAGATTCCATCGCAAAAAAAAAAAAAAAAAAAAAAAAAAAAAAATAATAATAATAATAATAATAATAAAATAAATAAATTAAAAAAAAAGAAAAAGGAAAAAGAAATCACCTATCCCAGGGTTAAGATTAAACTGACAGGGTGGGGGCGCGGTGGCTCACACCTGTAATCCCAGCACTTTGGGAGGCTAAGGTCGGTGGATCACGAGGTCAGGAGTTCAAGACTAGCATGGACAAGATGGTGAAACTCTGTCTGTACTAAAAATACAAAAATTAGCCAAGCATGGTGGCAGGCATCTGTAATCCCAGCTACTTGGGAGGCTGAGGCAGGAGAATTGCTTGAACCTGGGAGGTGGAGGTTGCAGTGAGCCAAGATCGCGCCACTGCACTCCAGCCTGGGAGAGAGAGCGGGACTCCATCTCACACACAAAAAAAGAAAAGATTAAACTGAGATACCACAGGCTGAGCATGGTGGCTCACGCTTGTACTCCCAGCACTTTGGGAGGCTGATGCAGGTGGAACACTTGAGGTCAGGAGTTCGAGACCAGCCTGGCCAACATGGTGAAACCCTGCCTCTACTAAAAATACAAAAAAATTAGCTGGGGGTGGTGGCACGTGCATGTAGTTCCAGCTACTCTTGAGGCTGAGACACAGGAATTGCTTGAACCCAGAAGGCAGAGATTGCAGTGAGCTGAGATTGCACCACTGCACTGCAGCCTGGGTGACAGAGCGAGACCCTGTCTAAAAAAAAATAATAAAATAAAAAAATAAAAAATTGAGATATCACATGTAAAGTGCTTGGCACAGAGTTTATGCTCAAAAATATTAGTTGCTCCCTGTTTGGTACACAAAGGGCCCATCACAAATGCAGGTGACTGCTGCATGCGAATCTCTGCCCTACTTAACCATCTCCCCAGGAGTATGGGGGTCACCTCTGCTTAGGACCACCTTGGACTCCACCCACCAAGTTCTCCTACTTATGACGTTAGCTTATTTTTTCTTCCTTCTTCAAAAGAAAAGTTTTAAACATACACAAAAGAAGAGAGAACTATATGACAAACCCTTTACACCCATCACCAGCTAGTTTCAATTATCAAGCAAAACAACTAGTCTCGTGTCACCTATTCTCCCATCTCTTTTTTTCGTTGAATATATATATATGTATTTTTGAGATGGAGTCTCACTCTGTGGCCCAGGCTGGGATGTAGCGGAGTGATCTCGACTCACTGCAACCTCCGCCTCCCAGGTTCAAGCAATTCTCCTGCCTCAGTCCCCCCAAGTAGCTGGGATTACAGGCACACGCCACCACACCCGGCTAACTTTTGTATTTTTAGTAGAGACAGGGTTTCACCATGTTAGGGAGGCTGGTCTCGAACTCCTGACCTCAGGTGATCTGCCTGCCTCGGCCTCCCAAAGTGCTGGGATTACAGGTGTGAGCCACCCCGCCCGGCCACCCATGTGTGTCTTTAACAGATAGAGATGTTAAAGGACAAAACCACATTTTATCAGACCCAACAAAATTAAGAATGATTCATTAATACAATCTACTATGTAGTTCATATTTAACTTTTCCCAATTGTCTCAAAAACTTTTCTTTCCTGTTGATTTGTTTGAATCAGGTTTATCCAAAGGCCTGTGTTACATTCAATTGTAAGATCTCTTGGGTATTTTTCTATCAGCCTGCTTCAACATGTTCTGTTTTCAGAGGAAACGCTAGAATGAGGAAAGCATTACCCCTTGAAAGTCTCTCCAACTCACTTTCCTGAACCCTTTTCAATAACACAAAAACAAGCATCTCCTTTTTTTTTTTAGGTTTTTTTTTTTTTTTTCCCTCTGGAGGCAGGGCCCAGGCTGGAGTGCGGTGCAGTAGCTGGGACAAGAGGCATGCGACATTATGCCTGGCTAAATTTTGTATTTTTAGTAGAGATGGGTTTTGCCATGTTGCCCAGGCTGGTCTTGAACTCCTGGACTCAAGCAATCCATCCGGCCTCCCAAAGTGCTGGAATTACAGGTGTGAGCCACTGCGTCAGCCTGGGGGTGTTTTTAAATGATAAAAGGTGTTTCCCTTTCCAGAATCTTTAAAATAAATGGATTCCTCTAATAGCTTTCAAAATCCAACAATCATCCCAGTGAAGTCAAAAAGCAGGGTTTGTATTATTTCTTGTTTTAGAGGGTAAAAATTTCTGGGATTTTGTTCTTTTCAAAATGACTTTTTTATGCCCTCCCACCTGCTTTTTGAAATCCACCAACCACAATATTTACCCCATCCCCCTTTTCTCTCCCCCCCATCTCTCTCTCTCTCCTTTACACACTCCCTCTCTCTCTCTTTTTAGCAGCAACATACAAGCCGGCCATATTAGAGAGATGGAAATAAAGCTTCCTTAATGTTGTATATGTCTTTGAAGTACATCCGTGCATTTTTTTTTAGCATCCAACCATTCCTCCCTTGTAGTTCTCGCCCCCTCAAATCACCCTCTCCCGTAGCCCACCCGACTAACATCTCAGTCTCTGAAAATGCACAGAGATGCCTGGCTACCTCGCCCTGCCTTCAGCCTCACGGGGCTCAGTCTCTTTTTCTCTTTGGGTAAGTTAGACACATCTGCATGCTCCCGAGGGTTCAGAAGTGTAGCCGCAATGTGAAGAGGATGGGGGCAGGGGATAGGAAAGAAGACATTGCTAGCGCTTTCCCTCTGTGTCCTTGGGAGGGGAGGTGCTGGGGACTGGAAGGGACGTTGCTGGGGAGTGCAGAACCCTGGGACTACTTAGTCACAGAAATGTTGGGTCAGGGGATCTGAGTGTTGCTGGGGGCTGACAATTGTCAAGGGAGGTGAATCTTCTCTGGATTTCCCCTAAGTGGACCTACGTGGCGGTGGGGCAGAGAGTGGATTGACCTGCAGTCTCTTCAGGGATTATTTTTTGGAGTTGCTGCAAATGCGGGGTCCTGGGACTTAATGCTCCCTTAAGGGGCTTCTTTTCAGAAGCTTGATCCTGGTGGATTTAGGGTATTAGGAGAGTGTGCAGGGGAGCTGGTGGCAGAAAGTTGAGTCTGGGTCTGGCTTCTTGGCACTCGGTCTCACTGATCTGTTGGAACGTGTGTGGGAGTAGGTGGGAAGCGGGCTTGGGGAATGATGTCTGGGTTGGGAGGAGACCTGCTGAGGCACGCACTGATGGAGAAGGCACCTTTGGCTTGGGCCGGATGGAATGGAGGAAGGGCCAGGTGTAGAGATTCAGGAAAAAAATGGAACCCACAGGCTGAGCGAGGTTGCAGCCCTTTAAATCCAGCCTCAGAACTGCCCAGCCCAGTCTTGCAGACTGTCCTGTCAAGTGTTTGTATTTGACCACTCAGAGACTTCCTGGTGGGGAAGTGGGCTAGAAAGTTATTTGCAAGCCTGCTTTGTAGAGTTTCATTCTTGCTCCTAAACTTACTTATTGCTGGAGCAGCAACTGAGAGTCAAGTCCAAGGACTGTTGATGGAACTATTCCCCACCACAAAGGCTCTCTCTCTTTCTGTGGTGTGATGTGCTGGGTTTGGAGTAGGAGTGCTAAACACAGACAGTGCAGAGGCCCTGCCAGCCTGCTTTGCTGAGTTACTTGGCATATTAACATCAGAGCAGGAATGCTATGGAATCTCTGGCAGGACCTGGGTTTCAAGCCACCTTTGTCATTTACGTAATGATCACAGGCAAGTTACTCAACCCCTCTGAGCTTCAGTTCCCTCCCGGGTAAACTAAAGAATGCCTACTGCCTGACGTGTTTGTGATTTGGTGCATGGCAGGAACTCAACGATGGCTAACATAAGAATGCTTTTCGTGAGCCCAGGCACTGTGTATCTTGTTTAGCCCTCACAGCAATCGGAGGTAGATTCTATTATACTCAGGTTACAGGGAGGAAACAGATGACTATGGTAACGGGAGCTGAAATTTGAACTCCCTGTGTCTGACTTCAGCACATTCTCTTAAACGTTGGATTCCACTCCCCAATGTTCAAGAAATGGCACTGCTATATTAACAGTACCTAATTGATCAGAGTCTCAGGACAGGCTGAAAGAAGGGGAGTTGGGTGAGTGGCCTGTTGTAAGGAGGCCCAGCTGGAGGACAGGACCCTTTCCTCAGGAGTTAGGAAGCACTTCGTGCAGGAGAGAAGCCGCCTGGTGAGAGCCATGGCTAAGTAAAGATAGAAAGGGGGCTCAGTGACCAGGACCCAGAGCTCTGGGCTAGGGTGAGGAAGAGGGAGTCTGCGATGAAGAGGTCTGAGTGTTTGGGGTGGGGAGATGGTAGTGGGAGGAAGCTAAAGCTTCTGCAAAGCTGAGTGGGAGAGGATGCAGGAATGGGGACCTTGAACTTGAACTTGATTGGTGCTGTAATGAGGCATGTCCCTGGCACTCCAATGCTGAGGGCCGAGTTGACAGTGGAACTTTGGTGGTGTTGCAGTAGCATCGATCCCCAGGATGGAGGATGCCACAAGTGACGAGGGAGGGGACTCTGTCGGGGCTGGGCTTGTGGGGATGACTATGGAGGTGGCAAAGAGAAAGGGCAGGTGGGCAACCAGCTCTACCCACGGCAGAAGCATATGAGGCTAGTTTTAGCCAGAAACAATTCAAATGACTGGGCTTCCCTCAAGTTTTTCTTGAGACCGTTGACTCCACAGTCACTGGCCTGCTTACCAATGTATGGATTATGTTAGTGGAGGCATAGAAAGTGGAGTCTGGGCTGAGCATGGTGGCTCACGCCTGTATCCCAGTGCTTTGGGAGGCCGAGGTGGGAGGATCGCTTGAGGCCAGGAATTGGAGACCAGCCTGGACAACATAGCAAGACCCTGTCTCTACAAAAAAAAAAAAAAAAAAAAAAAAAAAAAGAAAAGAAAAATAAGCCAGGCATGGTGGCATGTACCTGTAGTCCTAACTGTTCCAGGAGGCTGAAGAAGGAGTATCAAGAGTTCCAGGCTGCAGTGAGCCGTGATCATGCCTCTGCACTCCAGCGTGGGCAGCAGAACCAAACCCTGTCTCTTAAAAAAAGAAAGAAAGAAAGAAAGAAAGAAAGTGAAGTCTAGTCCTCACTCTAGCCCACTGCACATATCTGCTGCTTGTGGTGGTGGGGACCCAGACATGGAGAGAAAGCTGTCTCTTCTTCCTTTAGTAGACTTTATTGAGTCCCCACTCTGCCACACACTGTCCTGGGTGCCAGGGATACCAAGATGAATAGGAGTCAGTTCCCCGGAGCCTCTAGAGGGAAACAGGCCCATGAACAAATAATAACAAGACAACATTGTATGTATGGCAACAATAATAGCAATAATGCTCATCATAGTCGCAGCTGACTTTTGTCCAGGCCATGTGCTAGGCACTGTGCTGAGCTTCATACAGGTAGTAAGTCATTTAATCCTTCGACAGCCCTATGAAGTTGGGCTTATTGTCCCCTATATTACAGATGAGGAAACTGAGGCACTGGGAGGTTAACTATCCTGCCATTCTGCCCTCAAGTCATGTGGAAGAGATAGGAACAGGGCTGGGGTGAGGACAAGGACAATGGGGAAACAGTCACCGAGGCTAATGCCCTGTAAGCTGGGACCTGAAGAATAAGTAGGAGGGGCCCAGGGGCAGGAGGGCAAATGAGCTTCTCAACCTGAAGCAAAAATACGTGCAAAGGCATGGAGAAGGGAAGGAAGGTGGTGTTTTCAGAAAAAATCAGAACTGGGGTCACTGGAGTGAAGGAGACCTGGGGGGATGGGGGCTGGCAGGGGATGAGGCTAGGGTATAGGTTGGTCCCAGATGCCAAAGGGCTTGGAAGCTGTGCCCAGGAGCCTGGACTTGATCCTGAAAGCAGTGGGTAGCCGTTGGAGGTCTGGAGGTGAGGAGTGATGAGGGTGGGTTGCTCCTGGCTGCACGGGGATGGACTGGAGTGGCCGGGGTTGGGGAGGCCCTTGAGCAGGAAGGGTCTGGATGGTAAGGCAGTGCAGGTGCGGAGATACGGGCTGGATGCCACACTCACCTGGGAGGCAGGGGCTGCCCCGGGAGACAGTTCATCTGTTTAGACACTTAAAAAAAAAAAAAAAAACCAAGAAGAAAATAATTACCTCATAGGTTGCTGTAGGGTGGAAAGAGGAGTGAAGAGATTAACTTCCAGTCTCTGCAAGAGACAGCATTTGGCAGATGAGCAAATTTTTATAGTCTCTGCAAGATGGGCTAGTTAGAACAGTGGATGACACGAGGCCTGAGGGCCCAGATGTGCCTTGGAGACAGCGGGTGGCCCGCCACTGCTGAGGTTTTGGATCTAAGATCAGAAGCCTCATCCCGTTGATGATCTTTTCCCTTCTGTGAGTTGAAAATCAGGAGACACAGGCCCCAGACCTGGTCTCAAATGGGACAACCAGGAAGATTGTGGGCCCCCCTTGTATGGAGGTTCCTTTAAATGGTACAATTCCCTGCTGGCGGGCCTGCCTGGAGTTGGACCTGCCATATAGTCGGCAAGAGATCGGATGCCTTGGAATGGGGCTCACTTCACCACTCAGCTTCAATGCCTCAACCCAGTCTGGAGCCAGGCAGGCTGGCTTCAGATTCTAGCTTCGCCTCTTACTAGCCGTGAACTTGGGCTCGTCTCTTAACTTCTTTGTGCTCCATCTTCCTCATCCGGAATGTGGGAGCGATAACAGGTTTTGTTAGTATTAAATGAGGTGATGTATGTAGAGTATGTAGACAGTGCCTGGCTCGTTGTAAGCATTTTGTAAGGGTTTGTGGCTGTGATGAAGTCCTTTCTGTGGCCTTGGCCATGCATTCGGGTGCTTTCCCGAAGCAGGAGAGTTAATCAAGAGACCAGAGTTTTGCTCACAGCTCTGACCTTGTTGAGCCATGGTCCCCTCGTCTTTAATGAGGGCCCGGACTGGCGGGAGGTCTGAGGCCAGCACCCTAGAGCTGCTGGGATTCTGGTGAGGCCACAGGCTTACGTGGAGATATTGGATTAGGGGCTAGGAACCATGATTCTGGCCTCAGCTTGTCCCTATTCTCTGTGTGTGGCTCTCATGGCCTTTCCTCACCGGTAAAACAATGGGGCTAGATCTACGGTTTCTGATCTCAGCTCCAGCTGTGGCTCCGGATCCCATGCTCGCTCCGCAGGATGGAACTTGACGTTTGACTCTGTGACCACTAGAGGGCACGCGTGTTCCGCCCGGTACCTTCTGCAGGGCCCCGCTGCAGGGTGGGGAGGGGGAGCCCGCATTGCACCTCTCCGGCTGCCCCCGTCCTGCCGGCCAGAAAAGGCGCCCCCGCACTCCTCTCTACCCTGCCCTCCCCCACGGCAGGGTGCTAGCTCCTTCGAGATGGTGAGGTTCAAGTTCTAATCTGGAGCACTGCCTTGGGCTTGGTGGGGGGCAGAGGCCCGCACAGAGTCCGCCGGGCTTCGCAGAACGCAGACTTTTTGGTCTGGGGAGCCCCTGGGAAGATGATCGACCTTCCAAGGGAAGAGCTAGAGGGATAGGACATTCCTGGGATGGGAGGTAAGCTCAGGACAAGCACTGTCAGTGCCTTCCCTCAGAGCTCTGGGCCTCTGCAGATGAAGATGCTGTTGGCATTTTCTGCACACCTCCTCCTTGGCTGGTGCGCTGCCAGATGCTTTCAGAACGGCGATGAAAGTACAGGAGATGGAATTGGGCTTTGTTCTTCCTGACAGGGGCCCACTCAGCCTCCCCAGTCCTTATTCCCCTAATGAGCACTTAAGCTCACACCTGGAATCCTCGGCCCTGGACTCCTCCTCTAGAAAACGCAGATGGTGACAGCTGTCTCCCAGCTTGGAGAACAGATGAGGTCCCCATGCCTACCCCTCCATCCAGGGCTGCTGCCAGTTCAGAGAATCTCTGGTTCTTAAGTCCTGCCATTTGCCCTGGTCACTCGGGCCAGGGGCGGGGCTGGCAGAAGGGTGCTCCAGGCAGATGTTGATTTCCCTGCAGGCTGCAGGGCGGCTGCTTCTACGGCTTTGTGAAGAAAAAAAAAAAGTTTGAAAAATAGGAGCCCTGCAGGCCTGGGCTGTTCGCCAATTCCTACGGACTGGTTGGAGTGGGGCAGTCTCCAAGGTGCCCTCAGGCCAGGCCAGAGGCTCCCCTAGAAGCCCTTCCTGTTTGCAAGGCAGAACTTGGGGAGAATTGAGGATAATAGCAGCTACCATTTGCTGAATACTTACTGCTTCTTTTCATTATCGAAACAACCCTGGGAGATCGGTGTCACCAACTGCGTTTTACAAAGGAGTAGCCCCCACTCTTCCAGCTTCTGATGCTGGAGCTGGGATTGAACCCAAGTCTAGTCTCATCCCCTTGTCTATGCGATTCCCACATCAGCCTCTATCGGGCTCATCTGGACAGCCTCCCAGCAGCCCCCATACTCCCCAACCCTGCAGGGACCTCCTATCACACTCCAAAGAGGAAACTCCTAATTCCATATCCTAGCCCACAAAGCCTTTGTGAGCTGGTCCCTGCCTAACTCTTGGACCTCAGGTCTCACCATGCACCCCCTCGGTCATTCTGCTCCCTCTGCCTCAGGCACACGAAACTCCTTCCAGCCACTGGGACTTGGCCCCTGGGAGTACACTTGCCTGGGAACTCGACTCGCTCAAAACTTCAACGGGCTCACTCTCTCACTTCAGGTGGGCGCTGCCTGTGTGTCCCCCTCAGAGCAGTCTTCCCTGCCCACCCGACATCAGACAATGCCCCTCTACCTTGCCGAGTGTCTCTACCTACAACTCCATGATTTTTTTCCTTGTTGATGTCTATCCTTCTCCCCAGAATATAAGCTTCATGATGCAGTGACTCTGCCTGTCCTGTTCACAGCAGTAACCCCCAGGGCCTAGACTAAGTGCCTGGCACACAGTAGGTGATTTATAAATATTTGGTAAATGAGTGAATGAATGATGCTGAACACTGCTGTTTATCCTCCATAAAGAAAAGGAATCTTCTGAGATAAGGTTCTTGAGGATACGGGCAGAGCATCTTGGAATGAAGGCCAGGGCTCAGGTGAGTCCAGTGAGGTGCCTAGGGCGTGACATTTAAGGAGGTATTTCCATGACCAGGCAGTGGATGCCCCTTAAGTGTCTTGCCCCAGGCCCCTCGCTCGCCTCCCTGTAGGCTCTGTCCTGCTTAGAATGTCGGAGTGGGACAGGCCTTTCTCAGCCCCAGCACCAAAGTCTCCTGGCCTCAGTCTGGTGTTCCTAATAGGACTCTGCAGAACCAGCAGCTCCCACCCTGCCTGCCTGTAGCAGCTCCTTGCTGTGGTGTCTCCAGGTTGACATCTTCAAGAGGGACTCCTGTCCCTGCAGACCCATCAGCTGGTCCTTGGAATGGTGCCTCACCTTCTGGGGCACCTCTTCCCTCCCACAGCTTGTCTGCCCTCTTTCTTGTCTGTTGCAAGCCTGAGGAAGGTAGGGGGCTGGGCTGGGCTGGGACACAGCTTTGCTCTGTCCCTGGGGTATGGAGAGCGAGGCCTTCCAAATCTCCAGCTGTTCTCAGTCTGCTGTCCTGAGAACAGAACGGCAGGGGAGCCCTGCAGTTTCAGCTGGAAGGGTTTTGGCCCAGCAAAGATGGTTAGAAGTGGTGAGAATAAGGGGGAAACTGAGGCAAGCATAGTGAAGCCCCTTGTCTGTGGTCTTCTGCTGGCATGTGACAGAACTGGGGCAAGTGTGGTGGGGGCAGGGGTGCCTAACAGTGGTTCTAGAAAAGGCTTGAGGCCGTTTGGCTGCCCCTGGCTTGACAGATATAGATGATGTGACGATTTGGTTTCTCTCCTCCCCTACCTGCTCTGTGGCCCCGCTTTGCCCCAAAGACCACATCTGGTGCCCCATATGTGCCTGCCCACTCCAGGAGTATGGACTGGGGAGGCTGAGTGGGCCCCTGCCAGGAAGAACGAAGTCCAATTCCATGCGGCTTGCACCTGTACTCCCAGCTACTTGGGAGGCTGAGGTGAGAGGATCACCTGAGCCCAGCAGGTCTAGGCTGCAGTGAGTCATGATTGCGCCACTGCACTCCAGCTTGGGCAACAGAGACCCTGTTGCAAATAACAGTAACTCCCACCTCCTGATTAACTGGAGCTGTCAGGGACCCAGTCCCCTCCCTGTGGCTCTGCTCTGCCTCATCCCCCAACACTCCCAGGCACAGAGGGCTTGCCCCTCCCCAGCCCTTTCAGCCAGACTCCTCACCAGCTTGTGGCTTCATCTGCAGTGCCACCAGGACGGAGCATGGAGGTCACAGTACCTGCCACCCTCAACGTCCTCAATGGCTCTGACGCCCGCCTGCCCTGCACCTTCAACTCCTGCTACACAGTGAACCACAAACAGTTCTCCCTGAACTGGACTTACCAGGAGTGCAACAACTGCTCTGAGGAGATGGTGAGTCCTGGGCTGAAGGCAGGGGCAGGGGAGGAGGTAGGAGCCCCATGGCATGAAGCCCCTGGTCCCACCACCGGCCCCGGCACTGCGCTAGGGCCCCAGAGGACCCTGGGTGGGCTGCGTGCTCTGGAGGCTCTTGAAACAAGGTGTGCTGCGCATCCAGGTGCCTCACAGAGGTAACTGCCTCTCTTCCCCAGGAAAAGGGTGGATGGGAAGAGGGGGCATCCTCACTGTCCTTGTAGTTCCTTGCTCATCCAGCCACCCATCCTGTCCCTTGCTCCAACCCCAGTTCCTCCAGTTCCGCATGAAGATCATTAACCTGAAGCTGGAGCGGTTTCAAGACCGCGTGGAGTTCTCAGGGAACCCCAGCAAGTACGATGTGTCGGTGATGCTGAGAAACGTGCAGCCGGAGGATGAGGGGATTTACAACTGCTACATCATGAACCCCCCTGACCGCCACCGTGGCCATGGCAAGATCCATCTGCAGGTCCTCATGGAAGGTGAAGGCTGGGGTGCCAGCTGCGGGGCCCTGACCTTTCCCACCCACCTACTCTCTGCGGCATTTGCTCAGGGCACTTTGGGGAGGCCAGGCCCTCCTGAGGATGGGAGCAACCATTTGTGCTGCATAGAAGGAATCCATTTTCTTCCCTCTAGTCCTCAAGAACCTGGGAACATGTCCCAGAGAGTCCTGGTAATGATACAGAATATAATCCCAGTCTTAATAATGGGGCTTGGTGTGATGGCTCACACCTGTAATCACAGCGCTTTGGGAGGCTGAGGCAGGCAGATAGCTTGAGCTCAGGAGCTCGAGACCAGCCTGGGCAACATGGCAAAACTCCATCTCTACAGAAAATGCAAAAATTAGCTGGGCATGGTGGCTTGCACCTATACTCCCAGCTACTTGGGAGGCTGAGGTGAGAGGATCATCTGAGCCCAGCAGGTAGAGGCTGCAGTGAATCATGATTGTGCCACTGCACTCCAGCTTGGGCAACAGAGCAAGACCCTGTTTCAAATGACAACAACAGCAATAATAATGATGGTGATGATGGCAGCTTTCATTTATTGGGCACCTCTATGTCTCAGTCATAGGGCTAAGCTCTGTTTATGCATTATCTCATCCTCATGAAAACCTTTGAGGGAGGTACTATTATTAAGCCCATTTTACATGTTAGAAAACTGAGGTTAGAGAGGATAAGTTACTTAAGGTCACGCAATTCGTAAGTTGTACAATTAGGACTCAAATTTGGGTCTGTTTGATCTTAAAGTTCATGCTCTTAAATACTTCATCACACTAGCTCCTCTGGGGGCTTTGGGTGTCCTGGGATTTGGAGGTGGCGGCGCTTCAGGGTCAGTCACTGGATTGCTTTTCGGCTTTGCTAAAGTCCTGTCTGTGGAGGAGAGTAAAGTCAGGATGGTTCCACGCATGCCACGGGTAGTGGGGTGATGGGGGAGGCCCCTTTCCCAGCCCTGGTGCTCAGTGGCTCTGCTTCCTTTCCAGAGCCCCCTGAGCGGGACTCCACGGTGGCCGTGATTGTGGGTGCCTCCGTCGGGGGCTTCCTGGCTGTGGTCATCTTGGTGCTGATGGTGGTCAAGTGTGTGAGGAGAAAAAAAGAGCAGAAGCTGAGCACAGATGACCTGAAGACCGAGGAGGAGGGCAAGACGGACGGTGAAGGCAACCCGGATGATGGCGCCAAGTAGTGGGTGGCCGGCCCTGCAGCCTCCCGTGTCCCGTCTCCTCCCCTCTCCGCCCTGTACAGTGACCCTGCCTGCTCGCTCTTGGTGTGCTTCCCGTGACCTAGGACCCCAGGGCCCACCTGGGGCCTCCTGAACCCCCGACTTCGTATCTCCCACCCTGCACCAAGAGTGACCCACTCTCTTCCATCCGAGAAACCTGCCATGCTCTGGGACGTGTGGGCCCTGGGGAGAGGAGAGAAAGGGCTCCCACCTGCCAGTCCCTGGGGGGAGGCAGGAGGCACATGTGAGGGTCCCCAGAGAGAAGGGAGTGGGTGGGCAGGGGTAGAGGAGGGGGCCGCTGTCCACCTGCCCAGTGCTTGGCCTGGCAGTGGCTTCAGAGAGGACCTGGTGGGGAGGGAGGGCTTTCCTGTGCTGACAGCGCTCCCTCAGGAGGGCCTTGGCCTGGCACGGCTGTGCTCCTCCCCTGCTCCCAGCCCAGAGCAGCCATCAGGCTGGAGGTGACGATGAGTTCCTGAAACTTGGAGGGGCATGTTAAAGGGATGACTGTGCATTCCAGGGCACTGACGGAAAGCCAGGGCTGCAGGCAAAGCTGGACATGTGCCCTGGCCCAGGAGGCCATGTTGGGCCCTCGTTTCCATTGCTAGTGGCCTCCTTGGGGCTCCCGTTGGCTCCTAATCCCTTAGGACTGTGGATGAGGCCAGACTGGAAGAGCAGCTCCAGGTAGGGGGCCATGTTTCCCAGCGGGGACCCACCAACAGAGGCCAGTTTCAAAGTCAGCTGAGGGGCTGAGGGGTGGGGCTCCATGGTGAATGCAGGTTGCTGCAGGCTCTGCCTTCTCCATGGGGTAACCACCCTCGCCTGGGCAGGGGCAGCCAAGGCTGGGAAATGAGGAGGCCATGCACAGGGTGGGGCAGCTTTCTTTGGGGCTTCAGTGAGAACTCTCCCAGTTGCCCTTGGTGGGGTTTCCACCTGGCTTTTGGCTACAGAGAGGGAAGGGAAAGCCTGAGGCCGGCATAAGGGGAGGCCTTGGAACCTGAGCTGCCAATGCCAGCCCTGTCCCATCTGCAGCCACACTACTCGCTCCTCTCCCAACAACTCCCTTCGTGGGGACAAAAGTGACAATTGTAGGCCAGGCACAGTGGCTCACGCCTGTAATCCCAGCACTTTGGGAGGCCAAGGCGGGTGGATTACCTCCATCTGTTTAGTAGAAATGGGCAAAACCCCATCTCTACTAAAAATACAAGAATTAGCTGGGCGTGGTGGCGTGTGCCTGTAATCCCAGCTATTTGGGAGGCTGAGGCAGGAGAATCGCTTGAGCCCGGGAAGCAGAGGTTGCAGTGAACTGAGATAGTGATAGTGCCACTGCAATTCAGCCTGGGTGACATAGAGAGACTCCATCTCAAAAAAAAAAAAAAAAAAAAAAAAAGGCAATTGTGCGGAGCCAACCATCACTGCCATTACACTCACATTCAATGGAAATTGATTAGGCCTGAGAGAAGGAGCAAGAGGCAGAAACACTGACTCTGAGACCATGACCTTGGAAGATCCTCAGAGATCAACTAGCCAAGTCACTCACTTAAAATGGGGAAACTGAGGTTCCAACTGACAGAAACTGAGGGTCCTGCCCTCTTCTCTGGCTCCTCAGTCTCCAGTTTGAAGCAACAGAGCCATCATTTTCCCAGTGGGAGGGGCCTCTGTGTCCTGGTCTATGATGGGGCGAGTTGGAGGGGTGGGCTTCTCTAGCCCTGCCCCCTCCCAGGAGCCCAGCCCCTCTGGCCAGGACTGAGGAGGAGTGGAGGGAAGCAGGGAGGGAGGGAGCAAGTGTGAAGGGCACAGCTGCTGGCAAATGCCCCATTCCCTGCCCCAGCACTTCCCAGCCTTTCCAGGAGCTCTGCCCCACCCCTACTCAAGGAGTCAGGTGCCCAGGGTAGGGAATAAGTCTAGGAAAGGGGGTGGAGACAGGACCGTGACAGTCTCAGGGACCAATCCCTGCCTCTGCCCATCAGATTGCCAATTTGGGGAGACAGCAATATCATCTGGGAGATTCAGCTTAATTTGCTTCAATTCAGCAACCATTTATTGAGCATCTATTATGTGCCAGGCACTGTGCCGGGCACTGGGGATATACACAAAGCCATAAGCACTGGGGACTGCCAGGTTGGCACTGTAGGGACCAAGATTAACTTTTTGGTGCATCTAATTCCACCTCTGCAAGACACTGCTTCCAAGGCTACAGTTGGGGAAGATGAAGAGATTCTAGAATCTGTGCCCTGGGAAGGGAGAAACAGCAGGGAAGAGGGGCAATACAACAGGGTCAAGGGTGCAGAGGCCAGGCAGAGTGGGTGCAGAGTGGGGGATGGGCAACCAGCCTGGTAACACCTGGGTGAGGTGAGCGAGTCAAGCCCATCTGGAAATGCTAAACTCATCAGCTCAGTACCTAACTGCCAATCAACACACTGCCAATGCGGGTGGGCTAAGCCGCCAGGATGCCTGCAGCAGATGGACGCTGCCCATCCTTGAGCCAGCCAGCTGGGGGCAGAGAGGTGGGTGGCGGGCACCTCATGCCAGCTGAGACCAAGAGTGGTTGTATACATTTCTGCAGCTTGCAGATTTCATTTTTTTGGTCACCCTTTAAGTGTCCTTCTCTCCCAGGATGAGTGAGGAGCTGTGCTGATGTTGGGAACTTATCTTTTTCCAGGATCCATAACATTTAGGGGAATTATTTGCGGGCTTTCCTAGTGTATTCTAAGAAGTTCTAACTCTCCATCAAGAAGCCCAAGATTCCTGGAGTCTTTTTTTCCTCTGCCCTGATCAACTGGGGCCCAGGAAAAGCAATGTCTCTTCACGGGCCTCAGGGCCCCAGCAGATGGGGCTGGGTCAGGAACCATCTCTGTCCCAGGTGCTCAGCCCTCATATGCATTTTCTTCTGGAGCCTCTTAGAATCTCCTCCAGAGGACTCATAGAGCTGCCTCCCCCAGGATGGTGAAGTTGGGAGCAAAATGGGGCTTCTGTAAGTAGAGGTGGAAAACCAGAGAGATGTTTCCACAGCAGCCATTTCCCTACCCTGTTTCCTAACTTATGCTGACAAGTTCTTCCTCTTCCTACCGTGGGGTTCGAGCCCCACTTCTGGTTGCATGTTCCCACCACCACGCTCTGCTGGTTTTAGTCGGCTGACTTTCTCAACTGCCCCAGCCTCTCCTGCTCTCTCAGAACCTCCCTCTGCCCCCACCCCCCATCTGTCTCTTCCTCCTAATTAAGGGCCACTGCAAAGAGAGACGGGCTGGCTAACCCATGGGATTTAGCTTATAAGAACAAAGCACAATTATTCAGGACTGAACTGCTTTGAGGTGCCTTGGAACTGGCTTTGGAAATAGCTATCTGCCCCCTAGCTATGGACTCTTCACAGTTATTTCCAGTTTATAAAAAGGAAAAGCTGATCGGATCCATGTTTCTCTCTGCGAGTCTCCTTGGGGAGGTTGGGCTGGTAAATATTTGCAAGGTCAGGTTAAGCAGACAGACAATTGAAAATACTGGGCAGGTCCAAAAGGATAGTTCCAGGCCATAGGAATGGCTTGGTGCAGTTAACGGGTGATGAAGCAAGAAATCTTCCTTCCTACTTATGTCTTAAAGATGGACAGCCTGTGTCTCTTGCTGTGCCTCTTGCTGGCGTCTTCCTTTATTGAAGCTTGCTGATGCACTGTACATAGTCTCTCTCTCTAGGTATAGATATATTATATATACAAATATCAAACATCTCACCACACCCACCCCAAAAGTTACACTGTGTGTGTGTGGGGAGGTGTAATAACTTCTCAGTGTTTTGAGTTGATTCACCAAAGGCAAATTTTGGAATGTTCTTGCGCTTTGTGCACTTGGAGGGGAAAACCCAACTACATATGCACTTTCTTGGTTGTGTGTGCTATAGAGAGGTTGGAAGGGGTGGTTGGAAGGGGAGAGAAACTGAGATGGCCCTCTGTGACTCGACTGCTGGGATGTATCTGCTTTTGGGAGCAGACTGAGTTTCTTTTGCAATTTGTCTTATTGTTTGGGTCTACTGGCAACAATAAACTATCTCCCCTGAAAATCCCTCGAGTGTGGCTTTATTCAGGGGTTCAGGGCAGGGTAGGCTGATGCTTCACCAGGATCTTAACTGGAACCCTAGGTGCTCCTTTCCTGGTAATCCCATTGGCGCTGCCAGATCTCCAGCATCTGAGGGCCTCAATGCCCCTGCCTCACAAGGGGAAGGTTGTCTACCCCACACTTGTGCCCCCACAGATGTTTCATCCCTTTGCCTTCCCCAACCCCCTGGGGACTCCGCTCACCCTGGAACAGAGTGGCTGAACACCTACTTCTTGGAGGGCTCTCGATTATTTTGGGGATGAAGACAACCCCGGAAGCTCCCAAGGCTGACTGTCATGCGGATGTTGCCTGTCCTTTGCATGGGCAGACAGGCCATCCTTCCTGCTCTGTTCCCCAAAGGTGTTGGATTAGACATTTCTTTTGCCTCCTCTGGACTCAGAAAGAATAGATGACAGCTGGTCAGAGTCTGCCCTCATGCAGTTCATGGAGAAGGGTGGCTGTGGGAAGGTTCAGGTGGCTCATGTCCCATCTACATACTGCTGGATCCTATATATATGTGCCAAAGCAGCCCTAAGAAGTTTAGGACCAAGGGCAACCTCCTGGCTAGGGGCTCCACTGTCCCAGACAGGCCTTTTTTTCTCCCTTGCTCTTCATTCTTCCGTCTCTTTGCATTTCTCCCTCTCTCCCTTGCACCGCTCTCTCTCTCTCTCTCTCTCTCTCTCTGTCTGTCTGTCTCTCTCTCTCTTGCCTAGGAGGCTTACCAGGCTTACCTTCCTCTTCCTACTCTGGGGTTCGAGCCCCACTTCTGGCTGCATGCTCCGGCCACCACGCTCTGGTGGTTTCAGTCTGCTGACTTTCTCAACTGCTCCAGCCTCTCCTGCTCTCTCAGAACCTCACCCTGCCACCACCCCCATCTGTGTCTTCCTCCTAACTAAGGACCACTGCAAAGAGAGACGGGCTGGCTAACCCTTTTCAGCAAGAAAAACCTCAACTTGCTGAATGGCAAGGACATACTTAGGTAGTTGGTTCCTACTTTTCTCTTGGTTTCTGTCTCATTCCTGTCTGCTCCCTGGAGACCCAGAGACCCTCACCAGTGGTTAGTAGTTAGGAATACGCCAAGAGGACCTTGATATTTGTGGTTCTAATGGCTTAAAGGATGACAGCTGCCACTTGGGAGAGAAGTCAGACTGGAGGTGGCAGTGTTAAACAAAGGTGGCTGGTATTCAACAGAGCCAAAGTTCCCTTGGTTTAAAAGGATGTCTATCCCTGGAGCCTGAGTCCTGCCAAGAATGGGGTATTGCGGGGGGATGCTTCTCTACTTAACAGATAGGAACATTTGGGCGAGGGACACGGACTGAGCAGCAGAAGGCACCAGGGATTCTGGCTGGTTCCTTCCAGGATGGACACAGGCCCCTGATATTCAGCCAGGCCAGCAGCATCTTCCTCA
The DNA here is from genome assembly GCF_000001405.40 of Homo sapiens. Taxonomy (NCBI): domain Eukaryota; kingdom Metazoa; phylum Chordata; class Mammalia; order Primates; family Hominidae; genus Homo; species Homo sapiens. Next base: position 118,161,362 of record NC_000011.10, on the reverse strand, counting down.
CTGGGCTTCTCCCCCAAACACTTGGTTTTGGGGACCAGGTGGCAAAGGGATTAAGGAACAGTTTGCCCCAACAGATTGAGAGTTCTTCCTACGGTCAAAGAAAAGGGAGCAAGGCCCTGGGGAAGAGGGTCTTGGTAGTCACGAACTGGGCCTGGTTTCTGGGAAGGCTGGATTTGGTTCAGGCATCTCCCCTAAATTTGGGTTCTATGGCCCAGCCTGCCTGGGGCGGGGTGGATGAATTTCGATTGCAGAACAAGCTGCCTTGGTGGGGGAAGGGATAGTTGCCACCCTGGTGCTCAAAATTATTGGTCTCCTGTGCCCCTCAATTGAGGTGGAGGTACCTGTACAAGAGCTTCCCAGTTCCCACTGGACACCCCATGCATGGGGTATCCCAGTGGGATAGCCATCGGCCTGCCCATGGATGGTTGCTAGGGAATAGGAATCTGGGCCAAAAGGATTAGGGGTGACGGAGTAGACCTTTACAACAGCAGAGATGGGAGGGCCCCCAGGAATACCTGTCAAGGCCCCTCGTTGTTCTAAAGGGGAAACTGAAGACCAGAACAGAGAAGTGACATGCTTAAGGCGACATGATGAGTCAAGTACAGACAGAGTCTGGCAGGCTCCAAGTCCGCTATTCTTCCTGCAGTCCACAGGTGCTGGGTCTAGTGCTTGACACAGCAGCATGCACCAGCCCAGACCCCTCCCCTTCCCTCCCCAGCTTGGCCTGAGTTGGTGCAGAAGAGGCACTCATGCTTCCTTAAGGGCCCAGTTTTCAAAGCTGAGGTTCAGAGAGGGAACGTGATTTGCCCAAAGTCATACAGTTGGCTAATGACAGAGCCTGGGATAGAACCCAAGTCTCTCTTCCCCCAGTCAAGGCCTTCCCTAGGCTGAGCTGATGTCCCTGGGCAAATAGGCTCATGTCCTTTGGCACTAGTTCCCAGAGTCCTGTTCCCACCCCCCATCAGCATGATGTGACTCATGTCAGTTTGCATATGGGCCCCTCTTAGGCTACTTATCTCCCTCCCATCTTGCAAGGGTGGAACGTAGTATCAAATCATCTTCAGGTGACAGCAGCCTGGGATAGTGTCTGATGGGTGCAGGCTGGGCAACTGGACACAGAACTGGACACAGAACAACTGGCAGGTCCCTACTAGGTCTCCTGGCCTTCTTCATTGGTTCTTTGGGGGCTCAGAAGGTCCGCACGGGAAGGGCTCTGCAGGAACTCTTCTCAGAAAGTCCTGGTAGCACTGCTGCCCCCGACTCTTCCTACAGAATCACACCCCAAAACCCACCATGTTTTAGTCACTCCTGGCTGCCTGCTACCAAGCTGATGTCCAGAGTGCCAGCTACTCCTTAGGACAGGCTCCAGCAGCCCAGTGGATGAGGGCTCCGGAGGGCCTGGGGAAGGAAGCCCCGCTGAGAACCACATCCTGGCATCCTGACACGGCACATGGATGTCGTGGGGGGCGGTCAGTGGAGCCTAGCCTAGGAGAAAAGGGAGCAAGGCCCTGGGGAAGAGGTGATGGGAATAGATGAGTTGGGATGGGGGAGTCGGTGGCCTGGTATGGCAACTTTGTCTTTTCTCTGGCAATAATGACCTTCAGGTCTAGGAGGTGCTGGGGAAGGAAGGGCAAGTGGGTGCCAGGCATTCAGCTTGGCTACTTTGGATCCCATGGGAGGGGCTTTCCCCTATGGCCCTGGCAAAGTCACCTCTATCCCAACCACAGTTGCCTCTGCTTCTCAAGTGGGACACATTCCCAGTAAACACGTGGCAAAGGGACTAGGAACGGTTAGCCCCAACAGATTCAGAGTTCTTCCTGTGGGCAAATGGGCAGAAGAGTAGGGTGTGTTCAGCCAGGAGGGGAAGTTGACCGATAGCGTGGCTGTTGACCGATAGAGTGGCCCAGGCTGTAGCCTCAGGGACAGGGATTAGACTTGTCCCATTCTGTCCCAAGGCAAGACATTAGGACTGGCAGGGAGAGACAGATATTCATCCAGTGTAAATCAGAGCTGTGCAGAGGGTCGAGTTTTTGAGGTAATGAAATCCCCATCCCAGAAGGTATTTAAGCATAACTTAGGGGTGTTGTTGAGAAAGTTCCTATATCAGGGCATACTTTTAGATAGCCTTTAAGTCTACTGATAATGGCCCTCTGCAGTCTTCTTTTTAGGACTCAAATCATAGAAGTGGGATAAAAGTCTTGCTTGCCTGAAGATAAGTATAACACATACACCGGCAAACATGCACACGTGTCTGGCCCTCTGCTTTCTTACTCAGTTGTGGTCTTCCCCAGGTCCCCTCTATACCCCTGTACCGCTTTACCTGGTTCTTCTGTATCTGATCTATCAGTGGTGGGGACGTGGGGGGTGTGGGTGAACCTCTATGTACAGTGAGAAATACGCTGGGAGAGGGTGGGAAATTTGAAGACAGGTGACCTTGGGGAGCTTCTTTCCAAAGATGAGGCCAAGTCTAGCTTGCCTTCCTAGGCCCACCAGCCAGGTCAGAAACTCCTGTCTTTCCAGTCAAGACTGTAGATGGAAGATACAAGTCCTCCCTGCCTCCCTATCCCTGAGTGCTCCCAGCTTTGCCAAATCTGTCAACATCTCCCTCAACTCCCCCCATAGCTTGCTCATACCCGTGCAGGCTGTCCACTGGAGCTGAGCCTGCTGGAAGGGCTAAGGGGTGGATTTCATGGCCATCTTGAACTTGAAGGGCATTGAAGGAGGAAGGTATGGGACTCTTGGCTAGATCAATAAGAAGAGCCACTGTTTACTGAGTACCTACTCTGTGCCTGGTGCTGATCTAGGTATTTGATGTATATCAGCTTACTTCATCCTTAGGGCAAGGCCCCGTCCAAATGCATTCTTTTCTCATTTTTACACATGAGGAAACAAAGTTCTGCAGTATTATAAGTATGTGTACAAACAAGGTGGCACAGCTAGGAAACAGCAGAGCCAAATTCACACTCAAGGCCTGATGAACCAAAGCCATTACATGACACCAGGAGAAAGGACAGTGAACTGGGCTCTCGCAGACCGAACACTTGTGGGTGAGGGAAGGGTGGCTTGGAACCAACCCTAAAATGACCATGGACAACAGCATAAGGGCAAAAGTGTGAGCAGAGGCCACGCTTTCCCGGCGGGCCCCTCCTGCCCACCCCTACATGGCCTGGCCCTTGGCCCCACAGCTCTGTGCAAACAGCTGCAGCATCTGCTGGCCACCTTCTCCTCCCCTGGCTTCTCGCTCCACTCCCTTCCTGCCAAAAGCCTGTGTATCCTCTGCTTCACCTACTAAACAATTGTCTCCCTGTCCCCACCCGTCCCCTTCAGCCTGAGCCACATTCCAACTTTAAGTTGCCCTCGACTCAGGAAGACTCTCCTCTGCTCCCAGGCCTCCTCTCTTCCTCTCCTCTGCCCCCCACCTTCTCTGCCGCATTTCCTCTCCAGGTCCACATCCTCCCTCTCCCCTCACTTTGCAAGACCCACTGCTCCCACATTAAAATGCTCCTAATGCATGAAACCAGAGCATCTGGGGAGTCCTGCCGGGTACTCCGCGCTGTGCTGTGCTTCTGGCTTGGCCAGTCTGTCTCAGGTGCCCATTTCAAAGCCAGGCCAGGAGGGCATCTGACTATTCAGCTGACAAGGCAGTCCTGTGAGCGGCAGGCTGCAATGAATGACAAACCTTCCCAAAGCCTCCAGTTCCCAGCCCTCCTGAGCCACCATCCTCCCTTGATGGGCAGGCAGGGGGCCATGGTGATCCATGAAGCAGAGAGAGAAATATAGCTCTGGGGTGCTGGGTAGGGTGGTTGACACCCTGTCCGGGGGCTTCAAACCCCACCCCAATGTGGCCTATAGTAAAGAGATGTCCAGGACTCACCCCATCTCGGAGCTACTGCAAGGGCAGCACATACCTTCTCCCGGAAGTGGGCACACACCCTCTCCAGCTCGGGACTGGCCGGTGAGCATCCCTCTGGTCAGGATATTTCGGCTCCCTCCTCCCTCTGCCCTCCTCCTTCCAATGAGCTCATCTGTCTGGGGCTCCCTACCCATCTCAGCCTGAAAGGATGTTTGGACAGAACCTGGCAGAAAACAGAAACAGAGGAAGGGAGGGATTGAGGAGGTGGCTGCCTACCTGCCTCTGCCCAGAGCCCCTAGAAAGCAGAGAGGAGTGAGAAGAAGCGATCGACTCTCCTTGGGAGAAGGATTCAGAAAGAGTTTATCTTTACTCCAACTCGCTGGTGTGAGGTGGACTCTGTGCGGTGTTCCTTGCTGGACCGCTAAGCCGCGTGCCTGCGGGTTGGTTTGGTACATGCTGTCCTGTTAACCCCCTCGGCACCTGCCAAACTTCAGTGGACGCTGAGACTCTGGCTAGGGGCAAGCCAGTGCTCTGAGCTGGAGGAAGGGAGTGGTGAGTAGGGAGGGGTAGAGAGAAGACCTCAGTGCAGCAGGAGGAAGCTCCTAAAAGTTTGTCCAGGTAGCGTCCACTCAATCCCTACCCAAGTGGCAGAAGGGTTTGTGGACATTTAACTTTAAGTTAGTGCAAGTAGAGAATCTCCTGCCTGCAGTTTCCCCATCCTGAGACCGGGGCTCTGGTTACCACCAGGGGGTAGCTCGGGGAAGGCGAGATGCACCTCTTGGTGTTGTTCTGGGGAGGAGCTGTGAGGTGGGTGTGTGTGGGGGGAGGCGGGCTCCCTGCAGAGCCCGTTGTCCTCCAGCTCCAAGAGCCGAGTCAGCGCTGCGCTGAGCTCCCTCTGTTACCTGCAGTGCCCCAGCAGGAGCGCGAGGGTTTATGGGGGAAGAGGAGGGAGAGGGAGGCAGGCGGGGAAGGGCAACAGGGGAGCCAGAGTGGGAGGAGGCTCCCTGCCAGGCTCTTGTTACTTAGGAGGAACTCCTCTCAAAATAGCGCTGGAGACCTCCTTGGAGCTCTCTATTGCCCTTCCTCCTCTGCACAGGGTCTCGATGCCTTCCTGAGAACTGACAGGGGAGGAAGCATTCCATGTACCCACTCTGATCATCTGTACAAGGTGATCCTGCTCCAGGGGGTGAATGCCTTCCAGTGTAAGAGCGGCTCTGGAGGCTGGCAGCTGGAGCTCAGCCCATTCCTGCCCATCCGACTTCCCCTGGGGCATGCTGATTCCTCTCTAGGCTGGCCCCTGCTGGAAAGCAGGCACCCACCCTCCTTCCTAGCTCAGATCCAGCTCCCTAGGAGGGCAGGGGAGAAGGAGACCAACTGAGTCAGTTGCTTGGTCCCTGGGGATTTTTGTTGGGCTGACTGCTTCAAAGAACCCTACACGAATCCCCAAGGAAACAATCTCCTTCCCCTTAAATCTAGGCCTTGTCTCCTGCAGCCTGAGAGCGGGCAGTTCTCTGACAACTCTGTGGCACAGGGCCCAATCGGCCTCTGCATCTTTGAAAACTGGCTCTTCAATGTATTTCTGAGCTAGGCCACCCAAGAGCTGCGTGTGCATTACCCCATCACCAGGAATCGGGCTTGTCCGACCGTGGCTGGGGACTGTGTACCCAGATACCACCCCTGCCCTCCCCCAAGGGACTTCCAGCAGAAGGGACAGGAGCCAAGGTGTGGTGTCTGTTTCTTCCTGTCCCTATCCAGTGTGACTGGGGACTCTTGAGCTGGGTGAAGAGGTGCTAAATCAGGGAGGGCCCCTGGAAAAGATAGTTTTGAAAAGGTAAGAGAGAAGGAGCTCTGACCTTTTGACACCCTCTCCCCTGGCATCCTCAGTAGCAGCCTCTGAGTTAGATCGATGGGCTAGGGTTTTGAGAATTTTTGAGGAAAGTGCTCTATAAATGTAAAATCCTCTAGCCCTTAAGCTAATGCATTTCCCAAGCACTCTTTCTGCCCAGCTGCGGAGCCCTCCTGGAGTTCTTTAGAGGAAAGCTGGGGGTGTGGATTGGGGAAATCAAGTAATGGGGGAGGTTCTAACGCTGACTTTAACAGTAACTGTGTAGCTGACCTCGGGTTACACATTCTACCTCTCTGAGCCTCTTTCTTCATCCCTAAGGCATGAGGGTTTCCTATGGACCCTTCAAACTCTATGAACTGGTGAGGTAGCAGTGAGGTAGCAGGGAAGGTGGGGAGAGGACACTGAGGACGTTGGCCATCTTTTCCTGTCACCAGGATCTAAAGATATCCCTGCAGCTCTGTCCCTCTCCTCCCCCTGCTCTGGGCAGGGGTCACTTTCCTTCCCTTTGGCTCACCTCCTCTCTCACCTCAGTCTAGGGTTCTGAGAAACATGACCCCTGCTGTAAAAATAAAGTGGTCAGTTTGTATGCCTGGCCCTGCGGATCTAGTGCAAGGACCTCCTGGGGAAGGACAGGGTAAGCCTGCGGACCTGGAGACAGATGGGGAGGCTTAGCCTCAGGGCCCACAGACCTCTTTAAGTTCAAATGTACTGAGTGTTTATCCTGTGCCTAGCTGTCTGCTGAGCACTTTTACATGCAATAATATCTCATTCCCTCTTTACAGCTAGGTCCACTTTTGATGTTGCAAGTCCTGGAGCAAAGGTACAAATGGAAATTATACATATGTCTAAATATTAATCAGGATAACAAAGTGTTAAGATTGATGTTTTATCCTCTGCCTTTAATTACTTTTCCTTCATGATAACCTGGAAAACCATGTCCAAAATGAAATTTTCAGGCCATTCTCTGGTACACACTCTTCTCTGGTCCTGTAGTGAGAGGGGCTCTTGTGCATGCCTAGGGTGTGTGTCAAGTTACATGCACTCCCCATCACCTGCATACAGCTGTCCCTTGCCCACTGCTCTAGCCCTTGAGTGCACACCTGATATGGCCAGCCCTTGAAAGGACAGATCTGGGGAATAGGGAATTCCAGAGTTCCTGATACCTGGAGTACAGTCTAGAAGGGGAGGAGGTGCATGCCCCCACCTGCCCTGCCCCCTTGGTCCCATGGACTCATTCTCCAGTGAGGGGCATGGCCAGAGGAGGGCCAGAATGAGGGCCTTTAAAACCAGAAATCAGGGCTGAGGCTTCTGTTGCCCAGGTCCAGGGGTAACATCGCTCTTAATAAGCCTAGGAGGCAAATATCATTGCATTCACCATTTTATAGGTGAGGAGCAGAGGCTCCCCCAGAAGACCATGTAACTTGCTCAAAGCCATACAGTCATAAATGGTGGCGCTGCCAGAGCCTCTGTGCCACTATAGGGAAGGCAGCGACCCTCTCTCCTGAAAAAGCAAACAGACATTCAGCACTTTGCCTGCAACCTCAAGGGGTCCGTGATCACGCCGAAGTCCACCCAGAGACCCCTCGTTAAGAAGGCGGTGCGTTGGTGTGCCTGCAGCAGAAGTCAGACCATGAAGTGGGAGCGGGCTTCCCAGTCCGGACCAGTCCTAGACAGTAAAGAGGGCCTGTGATGCAGGGAGGGTCTTGGATGGTTGGAAAGGTGCTGAGGAGGAGATCGACTCATTTACAGAACCACCAGCCCAAGTAGCACCGCTCAGGTGAAACTCTTTCACTTGGGCCTGTCTGGGAAAAGGCTTACTCGTTCACAGCCTCGCCTCAGCCCTCTGACCTGGTTGTCACCCTGGACTCCTCCACCCCTACCCCAAAAGGGAGGCCGAGGGAGTCTGCCGTTCCGAAGAAAACAGGAGAGTTGGAGGAGGGCGAAAAGGCAGCATCTGAGGGGGACGGCCTAGGTAGGAAAAATGAGAAGCAGGGGTGCAGCGGGAGGGTGAAATGGGGCGCAGGACACAGACCAGGCGCGGACCAACCTGCTCCCTAACCTGGAGCGTGGTGATTTCCAAGGGGTCCATGGAGAAATGTGGGGCGGGGTGGCGTGGGGGTGGGGGAAGGGAGGGCCGGGGCAGTTTGCAATGGGAAAGCTCTGTTCCGGGCTTCCTAAAACAACCGCCGGAGTTGCTGAGCGATGGGGCAGAAGGTGGCGGGAGCGGGTCCCGAGGCTGCACGCGCGCCATGTCGCACGCCACCGAGGAGGCGCAAGCTGCAGTGGGCAAGCCCGCACACGCCCACCCGTTGCGGCAGCGTCCGCTGCGGACTTTAAAGCGGTCCCTTGGCGGTCCTGGGAGAGGGAGCCGCTAACCTTCCCGTGTTCCCCCAAGCAAAGCAAAACAGTCTTCCAGCAACCGAAAAGCTCCACCTCTACTCCCCCCGAACTATGCTCCTAATTGGCAGCTCAGCGCATGGGATGATGCGGGTGGCTGCAGGCCGGCCCTGCAGTGCCAGCCGCAGCAGCCCAGCCCCACTGGAGAGGGAGTTGGGGGCACGGCGTGGTCCCGGGGCTCCGGGACCGCGAGGCGGGGTGCGGCAGGCAGGGTGCGCAGCGGGCGGGGGCTCCCCGGCCTACGCGGCGGCCACCGCCCCTCCTGCGGCTGGAGCGCTTCCAGAGCAGAGGCGCAGCCTCGCTCGCCGCTGCGCTCGCTCCGTCTTCCTCCCGCTCCTGCTCCGGCTCCTCCTACTCCTTCCCTCCCGCCGTTGCTCCAGCAGCCGGCTCCCAGCAGCGGGCGAGCGCGCCTCCCCCTCCGCTCCCTCCCTCCCCCTCCTCTCGCTCTCTGCCCGCTAACTTTCCCGAGCCCCGACCGGCGGCGCAGAGCTCCGGGGTAGCTTTGTGGCCGAACGCCGACCTCGGGCGGAGAGCGCGGCTGTGCCCAGTATCCCATCCCCGCGACCCCCGCGCGCTCCGGAGAGAACAGGACTATGCCCGGGGCTGGGGACGGAGGCAAAGCCCCGGCGAGATGGCTGGGCACTGGGCTTTTGGGTAAGGCAGCCCCAGCTTGGTCTCTTCTCTTGCCTCCCCCCACCCCCAAAGAAGGGGACACTCGAGAAGGAAGATGCCTTGGATGGGGTGGGCTTTGGAGTGCGGCACGGAATGAGGATGGTGGCCGCCGGCTTCCTGCCTGGTTCCTGCCTGGTTCATAGGCTGTGCTCCCTGGGGACCGTGTGCGTCCCTCTCTACCCCATCAGCCCGCCAGTCTCAGGATTAGTTTTTTTGCTGTCCTTGGCACCTTCGGCTCCAGGTATTTGGAGCTGGATCTTGGGGCTGCAGCGCGGGTCTCCAGAGTTCAGAGGTTCAGGATGCTGGAGGAGGGGGGTCCGTGCCTTGAGTGCAGGGGATACCAGGTGGGTTGCACGTGTGACTGTTGGAATGGTGGTTTCCATCCCGGCCCAGAGCCGTTTGCTTGTTTCCCAGGCACCAGGCATGCACCAGTTGGGGGTGGGGGAGTCCCCTTCTTCCTGGGCCCTTTTCCTGCTTTGCTCCTCTGCCCTGTACCTCCCTCAGGAGCCACTGCCTTCCCTACAGCAGCACCTGAAAGCTGGAAGGGGCTGGAGGGGCTTGCGGGATCATTCAAGGCCCTTTAGGAACGGCCTTGTCTCTCTTCCTACAAAGAGATTCCGTAGGGAAGACCTGTTTGACCTGCTCCTGGCTCTTCATTTTTGAAGTGAATATGGAGACAGAGAAGACATGTCCAGAGGACACGGAGGAAGAAGCATTATTAATATCTATTAATATGCACATGAGAGTTTTGAGTGTCAAACTCCAAGAGATTAGGGAATGATATTTATTCATCCAGGATGTAATCTCCTCATAAATCATAGCCAGACTTTAATGTAAGCCGACTCCATCTCTGGCAACGGCATCTCTTCCTGTTTATATTGGTCAGATTTGGCTTTTGGCAGCTCCCTGCATTGGGTAAGACACACGGTGTAGGTATTTCTGCTGAAAACAGGGAGACAGAACCCTATAAGGGAAGTGGCTACTGTTTCTGCGAATGTAAACTGTGTGCAGATCTAGCAGGTTGGTGCCTGGTGGTGAAGAGGGGAGAGAGTATTTCTTGTACTTGGGATGTTTATTTACCTCTGTACCGCTAGATGGAAGACACCCTTGTTTTCTCCTGTACCTTGGCACAGATGTCATGCTGGTTTCACAGTGACCTTAATGAAGTGGGCCTTAGTGACGCCTGAGGCTCCTTTTCACAGGGTGGGCACAGCGCCATTCCATGCTACTTCCCCTCATCCCATCTCAGATCAGCCCAGGTCCCCATGGTGGCAATGGCAGGGGTAAAGGATCACTGAGGAATTCAAACTCAGCCAGTCATTAAACTACCCCACTTCACACCTCTGGCTTACCTTCCTGGGTGGTGGGATGCCAGTCCCTTGTTTGTTAGAATACTCATAGAACCAGGCCTCTGTGGGCAACCAAGAGGGCCCTGAAAATGATGTGTGTGTGTGTGTGTGTGTGTGTGTGTGCACGTGTGTAAGGGGGATTGTAGGCACAGTCTTGGTACATTGCTCCAGGTGGAAGCCCCACCTTCTCCAAGGACTGTTCAGCTGTATAGACCAGGTAGGGGCTAAGGCCTATTGATATAGGTTTAGATGAATTTCTGAGCTACCCTTTGGGAGCCCAGGAGAAAGCAGAGTGACTTGTAGGTGGGAGACCTGCAGGCCCCAGGACTGGCCTCATCTGCTCTGTCCCCTGCCCCTCTGGTCTGCAGAGGGACTCCAACCAAAGTCCCTTTGGCCCTTGACCAGGTAATACTGACTGAGCCCTCACAGGGGCATTGGTCTGAGCTTGGGACATAGATGACATCCTTGCTTCTCAGTCCAGTGGGGGAGATACAGAGACGACTGGACAGCCAACTGGAGGTGTTCCCTGGGAACATCAGAGTTGGCAGCAACTCTGGGAAGCAGAGCACAGAACTCTCCTAGGGATGAGGAAGTCATGGTCCAGAGAGGGATGGTGACTTGTCTAGGGGCTCATGGCCAATTGATGGCCAAGTGGGACAGAATCTAAGTTTCTTGGGCTCTGTCACACCACGCTGCTTCCCACTTAACTCAAGTCTGGTGAGGGGGAAGGTAAATAGTGATTGTGCTTAGGGCTGAAGAATAAGTGAGGCTCTGGGGCATGAGTGTGGAAGGATAAAGACTTGAGGGGCCTAGAGCGGCTCTTTTCACAGCTTCGGAGACTGGGTACAGAGCAGTGAACTCCCAGGAGTCCTCTTCCCCTCTCCCCGTATCAAACCCAGTCTCACAGACTGAGACCAAAGTGATTTTTGATAACCTAACAAAATACCCTTTTCTTAAACTGAGAAGCAGTTTCCAAGGCTATATTATTGCCATTGAGGTTTATGTGCTTTCCAATCTCTTCCTAAGCATGTAACTGGTAATATCTCTGTCCTGCCCACTCCTTCCTTGTTCCCCCATTTACTTAATTGCTGTGATCTGTGTTTAATTATCACTTGTGAGGGTGCTCTATTGCACAACCCTGTTTCCCCTGGTGTGTATTTATTAAGGGCTTGTTTAATGAGAATGCAATTAAGGAGAGGGTGCTCAGTCCCACTCAGAGGAAGAAAAAGGAAAGAAGAAGCAAGGAGACTGTGGAGAAGAGAGGAAAGGGGAGAAGTGGAGGGAGTTTGAATCTGGAATCCTGGGTTTGAATCTGGAAAACATGCTTAGTTCTCCTTCTGAACCTGCTGGAGGTGCAAGCCTGTGGGGGCACCTGAGAGAGAAGGCTGGAGTTCCAAAGCTCTTATGACTGGCCCCCTTCTGGTGGGATCAGCATGAGAGGGAGACTGGGCACAGCAGACCACCTTGCCCTGCTGCCAGTCCTCAAGGAGGTGTAGGGATCTCTGCATAAGCCAGGGGTGGGCCGTGCCAACACAACCTGCTCTCTGGCCTGTAAGAGGAGGGACAGGCATGCTGCTGGGACTTGTTTGCAAAGCTGGTTTCACTGAGCATCCCATGCTGTCTCAGGGGCATGCTTTCATACCAGCAAAGCTCCTGGGGATGGGCAGGAAGCAGGTAGGTTGCCTAGGGAGAGAAAGCTGAAATCTTTCCTTTGTCTCTGGGCCCAGGGGCCTTACCTGGCCCATCCCTGCCTCCCAAAGCCCCCAGGGCCTGCACCCCAGGAGGGGTCCTGTCCTGCTGGCCTCAGCCCACTTTCTGCCCCCCAGCTCTAACTTTGAGCCTTTCTAACTCTCCCTGGGCCAGAGTGTATCAGCCTCCCTATTAAAGTCAGCCGTGTGTCCACTTGCCATGCCAGCAAGCCCTCAGAGCTATATTTAGAGTGGGTACCAGCCTGCCCCTCTTTCCTCCCCGCATCCTGGGGTGGCTGTGAGTGATCCCTGGATGTGGGAAAAGGTGGTGGAAAGTTTTCTGCCTCCACATTTGCCTTGGGATATATGGTAGCTGCCATAAGATTCCTGCTGGTGTGAATATTTAATAATATGATTTGCATGTGCTGAATACTTTTCCACTTTAACAAAAGTGATCCTGAGTCAGTCCTCAGACAAAACCCCAGATGAGGATGGCAGGGGGCCAGGACTTCAGAGAAGGCAAAGAAAATGGCTGCTCTGAGAGTGGCTTTTTAGTGAGGAAAAGCAAGATTTTGGGGTTCAGGATGGAATTCCACAGGATCAGGACTGGGAAGAGTTGTTCCTCAATTCCACAATGCCGGAAAGAGGCCCCCCACTCTCACACACACACACACGTACACTTTAACATTCTAGAATTAACTTTAGAAAACAGCAAAGCAAGGCTTTCTTTACTCCGGGGAAATGGCCACATGGAAATAAGCCAAGAAGTGGTAGAGGGTGAAAATACAGATCAATGTGGGAATGGCCTGGAGACATTCTTGGCTGACACTGGTTATTCAGGGAAGCTAGGGGTGCCCTGGTTACCTGTGATGAGGGACACCCTTGTCCCCTGCTCCCCTTTCAAATACCACCCTCCTCTACCTGCAGGGTGCCCACTCACGGCGGCCCCTCTTGTGTTTTATAATCTCCTGTTCTGGCTTCACACCAAGCTTGAGAAGTAGGAAAGAGGCATCCCTGCCCTGGCTTGGGGATATGCACACCGGATGTGGCACCTCTGACTTTCTCAAGGTCAGCTGGCAGAGTGGGGCCTGCCTTGCGCATGCTCACCAGTCCTCTCTGGACTTGGTCATCCTGAAGCAGCCCTCCGGCGGCCTTTGTGGACCAACACCTGCCCCTGGTTCCCCCCTCTCCCCCAGAGCAGCCTCATAGGAGACACTGAGTTCAATGGGAGGCAGGCCCCTCGGCTTTCTTGTGCATGACCCTCCCAGACATAACTGGCAGGACTGCATGACTCCCGACTGGGAGGGCTGTGCACTGAAGAAGCCAGGCTTGCCCACCCTCTCTGATGCTTTCACTCGGGCAGGGCTCTGGACTCTGTGAAACCATTTCTGCCGGTTTTCATTTTCCCCTCCCAGCTACTGAGGAAATGGCAATGCTTCACTTGCAGAGTCCTGAGTGTATTGGACTTAAGTCATCCACATAGGTGCACACAAACCAGGCAGAAACGTGTACTGTGTCATGAGCCAGACCTTAAAGATACAGTGTTCCCCTCTCTTCTGGACCCATCTTTTGCTCGTTTTTGCTTCTATTTAAAGCAATCAATAAGATTTCCTTTTCGCACGCATCTTTTGTGCTCTTGAATATCTCTTTCTGGCTAGGGTTGAGGTGGGGAGATTTGGGCACGGATTTGAGTTCCCCCATCTCCTCCAGGACCCTGATTCCTGGACCGGTATGCTGATGAGGAGGAGCTGCCACACTCCTTGGTGCCCTGAGGGAGGCCATTAGCTATCAGGAAGCTGCCTTGTCTGACAGCTTCCCTGTCCACTGCTCTGCATTCACTTCCTGTTTGTGGGGGCTGTGGAGGGTGGGAAGCAGAGTTGGTATCTCCCACCAAAAGGTTCTAGTGCTGGCTGCAGACTGGAGAGTGGGATCTTGTGTCTGGCTTCTGTCCCTAGACCTCTGGGGGAGATGGGGCGGAGGAGGGCAGAGGTAAACAGAAAGGCAGGAGTTCTATGGAGTGCTAAGCCCTGATAGCAGTGTTTTTCTTGGAGAGTGTGGTTGGTCACAGAGTGGTGGAAAGGGGCTAATATCTGAACGCTGCTTATTCCACTCACTGGGTGTGTGGCCATGAGCAAGGTAATCTTTTTAAGCCTGTTTCCTCATTTGTTTATTGGGAATAAAAATAGTAACTTATAGGATTATGATGAGGGTTAAATGAGACAGTGTATATAAAATACCTCTCCTATCCTATAGTAACTGCTCAGTCTCAAATTCACCATTTACTCTGTGGCCCTGGGCAAGTCAACTCTCTGAGCCTCAGTTTCATCATATATAAAATGGGAACATTATACCTGCCTTTGAGCATTCTAATAAAAGTCGTAGTTAGTATGCACAAATCCTCTCGCACCGTGGTTCTCAAAGTGTGGTCCCTGCGCACAGCATTCCCTGGGAACTTTCTCGAAATGTAAAAGCTCAGGCTCCACTCCAGACCTGAATCAGAACTCCAGGGGCTGGGCGGAGCCAGCCGTAACTGTTCTCCAGGGGATTCTGATGCGCTCTCAAGTTTGAAAACCATGGCTCTAGAACAAATCCTGGTTGGCCACAAATCCTAGGAGCTGGCCAAAAATAAAGGCTAATTGAAATAACTTCCCAGCACTAATTGGAGCCCTGGTGGGTAGATCTGGGTCTCTTAGGCAAGTTACATAACCTCTCTAGGCTCAGTTGTCTCACCTACAATGTGGACCTATAATAGTACGTGACTCATAGGACAGGCCGTGAGGATGAAATGTGCCTGGCACATAGTAGATGCTCAGTTAATATCAGCTAGTACTATTGTTAGCGACAATGGCCGAATCACGATGGGGTTACTGGACCACGGGGTGTGATTTTAGGGCTGGGGGATATAAGCACTTCACTTTGTCATCAGAAGCTAAGGGCACAGGAAGAAGCTGAGCAAGCAGGGCTGCCTGCTGTCCTTGGAGATCCTTTTCTGTCATTTGAAAAGCATTGCTCAGACGCATTATCATCCGGTGGGGGCAAAACAAGAGGTTTATGATGCAGAACAGGGAATTAAGTTAGACAACAGAGGGCCTTCCTGAGAGTGGGGTTGGAAGGTGCCAGTGTCCTCTAGGGAGGAGGTGAGGCAGGCATCCACTTCCAGACACCCTCCCCGCCCCCGCCTCCACCGACCTTGAGGCGAGTGGGGTTTCCTTGGGGCATCTGCAGGACTGGGGGTGGGTGTGTGTGTGGGGCGGGGTGGCGGGGAACCAGGCCCCCTTACAAGGACTCCGGAGCGGGAGTTTGGAGGCCGTGAGTGGAGAGGCCTAGTCCCAGCGGAGGGGGCCGCATCGGAGTGCTGGGGCGGAGGTTCGAAGCGTGAGAAAGAAGCCTGGGGGCGCTCGGGGACGAGGGGGCGGAGTGTGGCGAGAAGGCCGGGCTGCAGGGCTCAGGAGGGGACCGCGGGTCCAGCGCCCTCCCCGTCCCGCCCCCGCGCGCGTGCACTCGGGCTGGCCCGGAATCCCTCCCCAGGGTGTCTTCTGCCACTGACTTTCCCACCCTGGCTGCGCCCGCGCGCCCCCGCGGCTGCCAAGCTCCAAGCCCCGCGTCGGTCCCCACCCCCGCCGTGTTCCCCCCTGCCAGGCCGTCTTCCTGCGGTTCCCAGGGTCCCGTTTGGCGGCCAGAGGGCGTCGGACTCGGCTGGCCCAGCGAGGTCCAGCCCGAACGTGTCCTTCTGCCTCTCTGCCCCTGGGGACCAGGGAGGAGCCTCCAGGGCGGGGGAACGAGAGGCTACTGGACGGCGGCCCGGGACTGCGGCGGCCGCGTTTCTCTTCTTCACCTTACGGGACCCGGCTCTTCCCCCTCCTCGACCGCCCCGCCCGTCAGTCCTGAAAACCTGGCGAGAGGCGCGTACTGTCCTAGGGGAATTCCCCTGCAAACAGAAGGGAGCCCGCCCTGCGCGTCCTGGAGTGGGTGCGGCAGGAGCGCTTCCAGGCACTGCGTCCCCAGGTGAGGGGCGGAGCCGGGGCGCGGTTCGCGGCAGTGGCCAGGCCTTTGTTTCCTTGGGTTGGGGTGACCCCTGGTGGTCATCCAGAGCGCAACAAGGGCTACTCCCTGGTCCAGAATTCAGTCCTTTCCAGGGGAGAAATGGAGAATGATGGAGGGTGGCCCAGGCGGTGCTGATTGGAGTAGACAGCCATCCTCCCGAGGTTGGCACTGAGGGTGATAGAGACCTACCTGCCTGGCCAAGCTACTCCGCCCTGCCTAAGCATCCCCTTCCAGAGCTCCAGGCTGGTGGGGTTTTATTAAGGGAGGCGGTGCTCCTTACACAGGCCTCTTCCTGCTCCCCGTAACCCTGTCGCTGGAGGTGTCTGTGGGAAAGGCCACCGACATCTACGCTGTCAATGGCACGGAGATCCTGCTGCCCTGCACCTTCTCCAGCTGCTTTGGCTTCGAGGACCTCCACTTCCGGTGGACCTACAACAGCAGTGACGCATTCAAGATTGTAAGTATTTGGAGGAAGAACAGTACAGCCCAGCCTCCCTCACCCATGCCTCGCCTCCTACGCTCTGGTCCCTTCTGGACTGAGACCCACTGCGATGGTCCCCAGAACCCACCTTTTGCCACCCTTTCTCCCAGTATTCTTTTCAGAGCCTGCCAGGAAGGATGTAACTGGGAGAGATGCTTAGATCGTGTTGCCAGAATTCGGGGACTGTTGGAATTCTTGGCTAGAGTCCTCTGTCTGGTCTTAAGAAACACCCGGAGCTTGGATTGCTTGTCTAAAAATCAATAGTTTAGTCTAAGAAACAGGAGAGAGAAAGGCCTTGGAAAGCTTGGAGAGAAGGAATGAGAAGAGTCTGAATGAGGGAAGGGCTGAGAAGCTGGACTGGCAGGGAAAAGAGAGAGGAAGAGAGGGAGAGCTGCAGGAGCATTGGCGCGGCTGCGGTGGGGGTGGGAGTGAACTCACTAGATTGTACTCACTCTACAATCTAGTGGGGGATCCAACCTGAGACTTTCACAGGGAAGCCACAAGAGACCAACTCTGGTTATAATTAAATGCTGACCTCAGAGGGTGCTGACGGGCAGAGCTGTGGGATTGATCCAGGTCTTGACAGGGGGCCAAAATTCAGTTGGGCAGGTGACATGGTGTCAGCAAAGGCTGGGTGGGAGGTGACAGAGGGAGATGAGTGCGGTGCTTGCAGGAGTCATTAGGTAAAAGGCTTTTATGAAGAGAGCAGTAAGAGCTGTGCTGCATTCCAGGGAGACCTTAATAAAAGGAAATGGGTTTAGCCTGAAACAAGTAAAATTCAGGTTAGACAGGCAGAGCTATTGACGCTGGAAGAGGAAACCATGGGGGGAAGGAGCAGGGCGTGACTACAGGCTCTTCCTGGTCCTGGACAGGGGAGGCATCCAAGGAGTGGGCTGGTGTGATGTCATGACCCTTGAGGACCCCGATTCTTTCTCGGCTACTTTCTCACCCCAACTCCCTTCCTCCACCAGCTCATAGAGGGGACTGTGAAGAATGAGAAGTCTGACCCCAAGGTGACGTTGAAAGACGATGACCGCATCACTCTGGTAGGCTCTACTAAGGAGAAGATGAACAACATTTCCATTGTGCTGAGGGACCTGGAGTTCAGCGACACGGGCAAATACACCTGCCATGTGAAGAACCCCAAGGAGAATAATCTCCAGCACCACGCCACCATCTTCCTCCAAGTCGTTGATAGACGTATGCAGTAGGGGCTGGCACAGGGCAGTGGCGTGGGAAGGACTTGGGAGGCACCCAACTCAGCATCACAGTGAAATGGCAAAATGGACCGTGTTGGTGTTTTCTTTTGCTTTACACTTTCCAGAGCTGCTGGAGTTACATCTAAAAGCTAGAAGAGCTCAGCTTGAACACTTATTCTGCTACCAAATAGCTTATGAAATACTCTCTAAGCCTCGTTTTCCTCATCTGTAAAATGGGAATATGGCTTCATTTTCCTAGAGTTGTGGTTAGAGAAGCTACCTGGTAGTGTTTTGTGGCTAGTAGGGTTTTCTCCGTATATACTGATTATTAATACCATTGGGTATTCCATTAGCAAAAATTGATTGAATGTCAGGCATTGGACTAAAAAGTGCTATGAGTGATACATTACATTCTTCCTTGAGGAATTCACAGTACAAGGTAGGACAGAAGATAAATAAATAGCTAGAATGGGCAGAACATGATGCATACATCTGTCAGTAGAGGTGAAAACAACAGAGATGGAGTAAGACATGGCCCTTGTCCTCTGGGGGCTTACATCCTACCTAGGATTCCAGTCTGACACAGGAGGACCAATCATACAAGGAGGGTGCATATGAAAAGGAGCCAGGTGGTCCCTGACCAGACCTGGTGTGGTTAGAGAAGGAGGATATGATAACCAGGGCTGGAGAAGTGAGGCATGGCCCCACTGAGGGGAGGGGCCTGGAAGACTAGGGAAGTGCAGAAGCAGAGAGAAAAAGGGAAGGGGACTTGCGCAAGGATCCTGACTCTGCTGCATTTTGTGTGTACCGGGAGTTTGCTGCTCTCCTGGATGACACTGAGTCCCTGGAGAGGGAGACACCCGTGAGTTCAATCTCGAGTATGCAAGGGCGGAGCCAGAGGTTATCCAATCAGCTTTTCTGAGCCTGGAGTCATAGGTCTGCCTATGGTGTCACCTCTTCCTTTCTGTCTGGGCTTCTGTCACCCAGCTTGTACTCAGCCTTTTCAGAAGGAAGAGAACGGGCATTTGTGGAGCGTTTTCTGGGTGCCAGATCCCGAGTTAGTTGCTGTCATTGATTTTAGCTCCTTTGCTCCTCACCAGCTCCCTTGAGGTGGATCGTCTCTCCATCTGTATGGATTCATTCATCCATCTGTTCAACAAATATTTACTGAGCACCTTGTATGGGGCAGACGTTATTCTAGATTCCGAGGATGTGATATGAACAAGATAGACAAATTCCTGCCTTTATGGAGATTACCTTCCTCCTCTTCTGTGTATGGAGATACCAATAGAAAATAAAGAAGAAAAATGATATTGTAAAAGAGAACATGGCTAGTGTTAAGAAGAAAAAATAAAGCAGGAAAGAAAGATGGGGTGCCAGCAGGGTGAATAGGGAAGGGCTCTCTGGAAAAGGCGATAGAGTGGGGATATTTGAAGGAGGTGAGAGAGGAGCCATGAGGGCATCTTTGGGAAGATAGGGAGGGAACAGTGAGTGCAAAGGCCTTGAGGCAGATGCGTGAAGAATCACAGCAGGCTAGTGCTGGAGCAGGGCAAGGAGTGAGAGATGAGTCAGGTCAAGCCAGATTGTGTAATCACCCTGCTGGAAGGGTGAGTGAGGTGGGAGCCACTGGGAGCAGAGGAGTTAGGGCCTGAACAGGTTCACTCAGGCCCCTATGCCAAGAATAGATGATAGAGGGAGGAGATCAGTTAGGAAGCTATTGCAGACATCCATGCAAGAGGTGGCTTGGGCCAGGGCCAGGGAGATTGTGAGCCATCAGATTCTGGAATATTTTAAAGTTAGAGCTGTCAGGATTCTCAGGTAGCTTGGATAAAGCGTTTGAATAAAAGGCATCAAAGAAGACTCCAAGGATTGTGGTTATAGCAATTGGGAGGATAAAGTTGTTCTCAGTGGAGAGGAGGAAGACTGTGGGTGGAGCAGGTTCCGGAAGCAGTCAGGAGTTCAGTTTTCAGATGAAGAAACTGAGGCTAGGAGGGTTCAATGACCTGCCCAACATTGCCAGCTAGTTAGTGACAGTTAAATCCCATGCTTAAAATTCAGACTATCTGACTCCAAAATCTTCTCACCATCTAAGAGGTATCATAGGGAGGTTCTTAATTTTTTCTGTGTGAGCAAAGGGGTCTAGAAAGAGGCAATGAAATTTTCGCCTGGCAATTTGGGGATCAAGTCACCACTCAAACTTGAGTGTTATAGGCTCCAATTCTGATTTATTCCAGAACTCGTGTGAGTGCATCTGTGGGAGGGCATGTGCAGGGTGGGGGAGAGGGCCCCTTATGTGTGCCCTAGCCTGATAGATGCCATGCTCTGCCTCTCCAGCTTCCTGCTGCAGGCCTGGGGAGGGCTGGGGGTCTGGGAGTGGATGTGCCCCGGATGCCAGGGGGTGGAGGCTACATGGCCCTTGCACTGCCACAGTTCTCGGCTCCAGGTTGACTCTTGCTCCCTTTGTGCCTTCCCTTTCCTCCCTACTCGGGCCACACAGTGGAAGAAGTGGACAACACAGTGACACTCATCATCCTGGCTGTCGTGGGCGGGGTCATCGGGCTCCTCATCCTCATCCTGCTGATCAAGAAACTCATCATCTTCATCCTGAAGAAGACTCGGGAGAAGAAGTGAGTTGATCTGGAGCACACTCCTGTCCTCCCAGCAGCCCACCACCCTCTCATCTACCCCCACCAGCTTTCAGCCTTCCACCTGCCTCCTCCTTCCCCCCATTCCCATTCCTACCGCTCTCTGTTCTATCCCTGCCACCCCCTCCCCATCTCTCAGCCCCTTCCTCATCGCTTTCCCTCTTCCTCATCCTCCCAATATGTATTTATTGAATACGTTCATTGAATACACAAACGCCAGCCACTTGCTCTTCCTCAGCCCACTGTCTTCCTTCCCGTCCCATTAGCCTCTCTTTCCATTTGTACCACCCAACCGAGAGCCTTACCAAAGGACTTAAGGAGCCTTTGAAAAAATCAGTGAAAATGTAAGATTCCATGTACAGAGACTCTAAAATGAGAAAACTCTTCTAGGGAGATGGGAACAAAATTCTTCTGTTAGGAATTTCTGAAAATTCAGATGGAGGTGATGTTTTAAAAGTTTGAAAAGGCAGATATGGCCTCCCAGGGAGCCCTAGGATAAGTTCAGGTATAAAAATAGACATCTATAAGGGGAAGGGGAGGGAAGATGGGGGAGGTACGGAGGGTGCAACCCTCAGGCCCCAAATTTTTGGAACAGTATCAGACAGGCTCCAGAGCAGCATGTGGTGAATCTTGCAAAACTAGAGCAGGGAAAAGGCATTTGAAAGTTGTGTTCTGAGCAAGACAGATGCGACGAGATGGCTTCCCATTGGAACAGAGAGGGTGATGGTAACCACGAGATGCAGAGAATGGAGAACTCCTCTGCCCCTATTTGCTGAAACATTCTGCTCTGCTGAGAAGAGGGAATTCTGCTGTAAAGGGCAGAACTTACTCTAGAAAGAGGGGATGGAAGTTGGAGGTAGGGAGGGGCCATACAGGTAGCAGCGCTGGGGCTGGGGAGCAGGGGAGGACCCCAGAACTGGGTTGTCGATGAAGAGCTCAAGGGTTGTCTGCCTGCCTTGTGGCCAGAGGCTGTGAGGGTTTTGGTGATCGTGAGAGGGGCTAAAAGCGTGGAGCTTAATTAGGTTCTGTTTTTCATAACCAGTCTTACTATCAATGGATGGAGAACAAATTTGTCAATATATGGTTTAAAAGCACTTAGAAAAGACAACGGTGGTCCTTCAGAGCCACAGTGGGTTCATCAAAAACAAGACATGCTAAGCTGGATGTGTGTGCCTGAAGTCCCAGCTCCCTGGGGGGCTGAGGCAGGAGGATGCTTTGAGCCCAGGAGTTTGAGTCCAGCCTGGGCAACTTAGCAAGAGCTCGTCTCTTAAAAAAAAAAAGAAAAAAGAAAAAAAAAAAAGGAATGCTAGATGTCTCCTGATAAGGCACTGGCAGAACAGGAGATTGCTCTGGAAAATACCACTTCCTGTCATTCATCAAATGCCTACCATATGTTAGGAATTCCACCAGGCAATTTTATACACTACCCATAATTATTATTTTACAATTGAGCAAAGTGAGGCTCAGAGTAGTGAAGTGACTTGCCCAAGGCCACACAGCTAGTAAGTGATAGAGCTGGGATTTGAACTGTGACTAATTTGGCTTCAAAGCTTAAACCATTGCCAGGATGTTCTACTGACTCACTGGGCATATCTAGAGTTCATTCATTTATCTGTTCATTTTGTGGCTGTTTTTGAGGCACTGTGCCAGATGCTATAGGAAATTATGGAAGGAATGAGATTCTGCCTTTAACTAAAGAAGACAAGATACAAATAAATGTGTATACAAATAAATGTAATACAAGGTAGAGGGGATCAGTGCCAGCAAAGAGGTTTGATACGATGCTGCTGTGGGGGTTCAGGGCAGGGTGAAATTCTGGGAAGGATTTCTGGCTGAATGGGTGTTTGTGGCAGGCCTTGCAAGATTAATATAACTTAAGCCCTGGGGAGAGTAAAGGGAAGATTCTTCCAGATGGAGGCACCACTGAGAGCCAAGGCAGAGAGTCTGGGAAGTGGGCTTGTCTGGAGAACAAGCCTTTTGTTTGTTGAGAGAGCTGTATGGTGAGGTGGTGGGGAGGAGAATAAAAGCCTGCAGAAGGGGTTGGGGACAGACACTTGGGGACCTGGGAGTCGAGGCTGTGATTGACTTCCGACGGCAGGGGAGCTGGCGAGGGCTTGCAGGGCCCTGGCACGATCAGAGAGCACAGAAGAAAGGATCTGGCCATGGTGGGCGGAGGGATTGGGTGGAAGAGCCTGGGGGCAGGGGACAGACCGTAGGGAAGCCTGAGGGAGGTCCTTGGAGTGGCGGGGAATGCCTGCATTACAGCAGAGACAGTGGCTTCTCAAGAACAGGGAGGTACTGGACAACATCTCACCATTGATTCTGAAACGTGGGTGCTGTTTCCTCTGTCTGGAATTTACCCTCTCTCTTTTCCTGCTCATCTTTCTTGGTTTCAAAGAAGCTTGGAAGTTTAAGGTATACTTCCAAAAAGCTTCCCTGACTCCTATGAGGAGGCTTCCTAGGTTGGGTCCCTCCTTCCTACATCCCCCATCCTGTTATTTACCACAGTGTGTCACAATCACTTGTTTAATGTCACATGCCCTAGGAGAGTGCACGTTTCCGACACAGTGCCTGGTACCCAGTAGGTTCTCAGTAGAGAATTATGGACTGCGTGGAATACAGTTCGGTGGGTCGTAATTGGCTGGGTTAACTATGCCTTAGGTACAGAGACAGAAAGAAAGAAAGAGAGAGAGACAGAGAGAGAGAGATGGATCCATCCGAATAGAGGTCTTTAGTGTATTCCACAGGGCTCCACCTGTTCATTGTTATTACTAACATTTGAAGTACACTAGGGATGTCACATTTATCAACTTCCAGAAGCCTAGTAACTATGTTGGAAGAAAAAGGGATCTAGGAAGATCTTGATAGGCTGGAGCTAGGAACTAGGTATTGCAAGATGAAATTAATGAGGACAAAATATTCAGTCCTTCCCAAAGGCCTCAAACCCAGCTGCCCAAGCCCAGGGTGAGGGTAGGATGTAGTTTGGCTGTAGCAGCTGTGAAAAACTTGGCCATTTTCATGAGCAGAAAGCTCAGAGGGATGCAGGTGCTCCCTGGGGAGTTCTGTGTGCCCAGCCTGGGCGCTGCTGTGGAGGAGGGACACACTGAAGTTGGAGCATGTCCAGCTCAGAGCGGTCAGGGTGGAACGCCTCCCGGGAGGTGTCTTCCCATCTCACCATCTCTCCTTCCTCCTGTCTTCTGCTCCGTCCCACCAAACTCTGCCTAGACCTGTCACCCTTGAAGCCAAACCCACTGCCTGCTCTGCCCCTTCCATGGACTCTGTTCTTCCCTTAATACCTCTAGTCACGGAGAGCTCAGGGAGGAAGGCCTGGGGGGCCCTGGGGAGAGGGACTCTGTGTCCTCAGCATACTCCTTGCTGGCCTGGACCCCTCCCCCTGGCGTGGCACAGCCTGGGAACTGACCCCTGAGAACAGCACCTGGTGCCCTTTGCTTCCTGCCATGTTGAGACAACTAGGTGACAGCTAAGCTTTATTGAGAACTTTCTTTTTTTCTTTGTTTGAGACAGAGTCTCGCTCTGTTGCCCAGGCTGGAGTGCAGTGGCACGATCTCAGCTCACTGCAACCTCCGCCTCCCAGGTTCAAGCGATTCTCCTGCCTCAGCCTCCCTAGTAGCTGGGACTATAGGCGCCTGCCACCACGCCTGGCTAATTTTTGTATTTTTAGTAGAGATGGGGTTTTGCCATGTTGGCCAGGCTGGTCTCGAACTCCTGACCTCAAGTGATCTGCCTGCCTCGGCCTCCCAAAGTGCTGGGATTACAGGTGTGAGCCACCGCACCTGGCCAGTTGAGAACTTTCTACATGGCAGGCACTGTTCTAAGTGCTCATTTCTCCTTCCAGCAACCCCACGCAGAAGGTCATCCCTACCTCTATTTCACAAATGAGGGGACTGAGGTACAGAGAGGTTAGGTGACATGGCCTCTGGCTACCTTAGCTCTGTAGAAGGCCAGGGAGAGGCACAGGGCTGGGTGCAGGGCCCACGGCTCCTGCCACAATTCTCCCCCTACTCTTGCTCCTCTCCTCACCACTGTCCCTTCTCTCTCCCTCTCCAGGAAGGAGTGTCTCGTGAGCTCCTCGGGGAATGACAACACGGAGAACGGCTTGCCTGGCTCCAAGGCAGAGGAGAAACCACCTTCAAAAGTGTGAGCCCTGCTTCGGGCTGAGCAGCTGCAGGGAGCCCCCTTTCTGATGATGAAACTGATGCTTGAGCCCCGACCGTAGAACCCACGTGCCTGAGACATCTGCTGCTTGGCTCAAACTGTAGTCTTTCCGGGCACAAGAAACCAGAGTCCTGCCCAGCCTGCCCATCCCCTTCCCAGTCAGGGCTCCCCAGGGACAAGGGATGGCCAGGGGAGGGGGTCTGTGGAAGATTCAGGAGAAAGAAAGGAGAGGCTAGGGTGGTGTGGAGGGGCTGGTCCCCTGACACCTGGGCAGATGGGGTCTCCTTCAGTCTCCCTACCCTGCACAAGCAGGGCCTTGATTTTCCTCCAGGCTTCTCTTCACAAGAGACTGGGAGGATCCGTAAGGGATGTCCTAAGAGCTGCACCCTGGAGATGGGGTGTAGGAAGAAGTGGCTTCCTTTGGAGGTGGGAGTGGGCTGGAGGCCTCTGGAGAAGACCTGGGGTGGGGGCTGATGGGGGCAGGCCCACAGTGAGAGACTGCCTCTGCTTCATAGGATACCAGATCCCCCACAGTCTTCCAAGTAGGAAACTTCCTTTCCCCTGCCCCGGGACCCTATCTGCCTATCCCCTCCCCTGCTCAGAGTTTTTAAGCCCTCTCAACCAGGGCTGGCCACCCTGGTCTTGAGGGTTCCTGGCCACCTAGCCTGCTCCTCTGCTCTCTGGGTTACTGAGGGGCTCAGGAAGGGGCCCCTCGAGCCTTCCTGGAGTACCCGAGTGCTCCCTATGCCTTTCCAAGCATTTCTACTTGGGGAATTGGGCCACAGAGGTAGTGAGCCAGTGTCCTGGGCCTCTGGGATGCCCGCCCCATTGCTGCCAATGCTGGCAGCCCCTCCCCTGGCATGGCAGGACCATCGCCACTCTGGGCACTCCTGAGCCCAGCTCTCCCCTGCTTCTCCCCCTCCTACCTGAGAGGCTGCACCCTCCAACCTCCCATTGGCTCGCTCCCCCCCCCCCACCGTGCCCTCCATCACGCCCTGCCCCCAGGGTGGTTCATTTCCCAGCCCTGGGTCAAGGGCCTGCCTTCGCCTCAGGGACTCTCTTCCTTTGGATGAGGGGGTCCTTGGGTTTCCCAGCTGCTTCCTGCTCAGCTGGGCCACCCCCTCCCACCCTGGGGTTGGGGAGGAGCAGGGAGTGGGTGCCCACAGTTTTCCTTTGCTTCTCCCAGAGCTGGTTTGCACAGCCCTTGTGTGTGGGGCTAGAATGTGCCTTAGTCCTGAATCCTAGCCCTTACCCCCATCCTCTCTAGACGGTATGTCCTGACATAACAGCAGAGTCTGGTGTGGTGCTGGTGAGGGTTCGCCAGCCCTCCCCTCCCCAGGGTCATAGAGGGGGCCATGAGGCTGGAATTGGCCAGTGACTGAATCTTGGAGATGTCGGCCAGGTGCTCCCATTGGGGTTTCTAGCCTGCCCTAGGGGGAGGTGGTGATGTTGGGAGTGGGATCTCCTGAGTCCTTGTTGGGCAGAATTGGTGAGGCCAGGGATGGCAGGGAAAAGTGGTAACAAGCCTCTCTGCCCATCTACTTCCAATCCCTCTCTCCCTTACTGATTTTTTGATGCCCTGTCTTCTGGGCCCCTAGGAGGGATGAGAGAGGAGTAGCCCCCTTTTTCAGAGAGTTTGGGGTCTACCTCAGAGCTCTCCCTGTCAAAAAGCAGCTGCAAGCCTCGCAAGGGTGGAGTGGGGGGAGACTGAGGACCAGTAGTACCTGCAGGGTGCCCGTGGCTGTGGCCAGTGTCCCTTAGCCAACCTGCTGGGCTCACCAGTTCCCCGTCTGATCTGCCTGTGCGCCTCCCATTCTTCTCTACCCAGAACCTGTCATGGGCTGGGGCTCAGATTTTCCTGGCTTTGGGAGCAGACAGACCAGAGCCACCAGCCATTCAGAAAACTTCTTATAGCTACCTTCATGCAAAACTGTTTTCTTCTTCCTTCTCAATGGTGACATTTGAAGAGGCAGAGCACCTTGGGGCTCCTCCTTCTGTCTTAAGAGAAAGCCAAGGCACGTAGAGTAGGGAGAAGAAGGGCACCATCCTCTCTTTCCTCCCCAGGGTCTACTGCTGATTTCTAGATGGATCATGCAGCTTCTCTCAGCTCAGCTCTTTCCATCTACCAAATGGGTGTAATAATACTTACCTACCTCACAGGACTGTTGTGAGGCTTGGCAAGTTTTGTCTAAAAACATCTTTTTGGCTTGGAAAGGGATCTGGGAAGCCAGGTATTAATTGCAGGGATAGTTCCAAGTCTGTCCTGTCTTCATCTCTGTGTCCCATCTCTACAACCCACATACAGACACACACACTCTCTCTCTCTTTCTTTCCATCCCACCCCCCTTGGAATTATTTAGTCTTTGCAATATTAGAAACCTTGACTCTGATGCTTAAAGCTTCTTGTCCATGGCTTTTGTTTGATGGTTTTCAATAGAGGTGACTGAGATTGTAGGGGGGGCATTTTTGGTTGCCCCCATGCGTGGGGGCACTACTAAGAATGCTAAACTTAGTCCCCACAACAAAGAATCATCCTGTCCCATGTCAACATTATACCCATGGAGAAACACTGGCATGGATTTGCACTAGGATGTATATGGGCAAAGCTATCTTCCCCAAGTGGAACCTCAGTGCATGCAAATCTCTGATGGTGGCTTCCAGGGCTTGTGGGCTAGAGAGAGCCACTTACAAAGTCGATCTTGAGAGACCTGGCCACATGCAGCTGGGCTGAGTGATGTCAGCGAGACTAAAGACAAAGTTCTGAGCTCCTCATCAACTACAAAATATGAAATCAGCATTCCAGGTTCTGGGCTTCTCCCCATGTCGTAATTGAACAGAAGGCAGCCCGAATAAACCCCTGATGTTAGAGAGGCCTGGGGAGAGCAGCCGATGGGGCTCAGACTACATATGGCAGGCCGATCAGAGCTCTTGTGGAGCGAGGGCTTGAGAGCATGCTTGTGAGATGGCAGGAGGTGGGGTGTGCTTGTGTGGAGTGTGCGTGTGCAGGCAGTGTGGGTGCATGGCAGCGTAACTGTGGAGTGGATGGGCTCTGCATGTAAGGGGTGATGCATGATGGGCAGATGCTGGACATTTGAGGAGCCGTCTTTCTTGGCCTGAGCTATGCCTGTTGAGGCATCTGGAGACTGAGAAAGAATCAAAGGCAGAGAAGACCAGCCGTGCTCCTGCATTCCGTCACTCCATGACTTCATCTCAGTGTCACAGACAGCTGCCATCAGAGGGCTGGCAGTAGGGAGTTCCAGGAGCGGGGACTTCTCGGGAAAATCCTATAACTTGCTTTACTTTACTTTGTCCCAGGTTGGAGTCCCTACCCTCCCACCTCCCACCTGATATGCAGTGCTTTTGACTATCTTATGCATGGTTTATTCCTCTGGCTTGGATGACAACAATACCCATAGTCAATTTTCCTATGTAACTATAGATCAAATGATGCAACAACAGGCCTTGGGAGGCCTCAGGTGTGCGAGTGCCTCTGGGAGGCGCAGATGCCCACACAGCCAGCACTGACTTGTGTTCGAGCACAGAACGGATATAATCAGTCTGGCCTCTACAACAAGTTTTGCATTGTAGAATTGTATTTAGCTTTGCCTTGGATGAAATAAAAATTATGTTTAATAATTTGGGATTTGGGGGCTTCCATTTTTGACTGGTTGGGAGTTGGGTTCCAGTTTTATTTCTTGCCAGCTGTGCTTAGGACAAGTTTCTTTACCTTCTCTGAGCCTCAATCTGTTTGTGTCTAAAATGTTACCTGCCTAGGTGAAATAACACAGGCAAACTGCCTAAGAACATCTGGCACATTCACAGGTGTTTGGGTCGTTTTCATTCCTATACCTTCTCTGGAGAAGTTGGCAACGTGGCTCTTTAATACTGGAATCATTGCCAGGGCCCTCCTGGTATGGATGACCTTGGTCGTGACCCTGGCACCACAAATATCACAACAGCTCCTCCCCCAGGCTCACTCTCTCCTTCCCTTCCCCGGGTTAGTTAGGTCCAGGTAAAATCCGCTTCACATGAACGCCTACCTTCCAAAGAGTTTCCGGGTGCTGGGCATAAGGCCAGTGCCTGGGAAGGAACTGGGGATATGTACCAACGTGTAGGTGTTTGCTTATATTCTTGGACTTTCTCATACCACAATTTCTTACCATACCGTATTCCTCTCTTCAATGGATTCACCTCACACTGCATTTCAGTGTGAGGTACTCAGTACTTCAGTGTGAGGTACTCAGTATTTCAGTGTGAGGTACTCAGTACCTCAGTACTCAGAAGAGCTTGTTGAAAGACCCTCTCTTCTCCGTCAAGGACTCCAGGTACGCAGAATCAGTTTCGGCAGATGTCCCTGCCAGCTCTGCTTCCTCCAGCCCTCAGCTATAGAGACTGTGCGCTGCACTTCTGCCCTGAATGGATTCACCACCCGGGTTCCCCACGCAGCCACTTTCCTGTCTTCAGGTACTTCCTGTTGCCTGGGACCTCCTGCTACCTTCCCATCTGCAATACACCGGTTGGATATTGGGGTTTCCTGGGGCAAGCCTGGGTTTAGAACACTTGGGATGCTATGCATTGAACTTGCAGTTACCCCTGTAAGGATCAGTCCCCAGGTCTGATTAGGTCTCTGTCATTGCTCTGTTTCATCCCTACTTCCTTTCCCCACCCAATAGCCATTATAACTGACAGATGGCCCAATGTCTCAAAACCACATTAGGAACTGGGACTGTCCTGGGCAAACCTGGATATAGGGTCACTCCCTGTTAAGCTCCATGCCAGCCCCATGCTGACTCAATGGGGACTAACATACACACAAATTAAGGGTCCTTAATTTGGGCTGGTGGCAGGTACGCAGATCAGATTGACTTTAGGAGGTCTGTACACCTAAAAATAAAGGTGAAAGTGAACACATGTGCTTAGGGAACCTTTCAGAAGGGCCTTGGTACAAAAGCTGGGAATTACCTTCTACTCCCCCGCATTGGTGTTAGGAAAGAAGCTGGTTGCACTTTCCTCCCCTTCCTCTCCAAGCATGTCGTCTTCTCTGTTGCTTTCATAAGAGAGAGGGGAGCTTTGCTGACCCCAAGGGCTAGGCCTTTGCATTAAAGGAACAGAAAAGATTTCTTTTGATAGACCCTTTGGTCTTTTGGCCTTTGGGCCTTTGGGCCTAATTTCCTTCTAAATCCTGTCTTTGGCCAACTCTCCTCCCTCCCTTGCATTCTGCAACCCCCAGATTGGGTCGATTGACTCCCGGTGGAGAACAACCCTTTAACTCCCTATGTTCAGCTTTCCAGGAGGCTGGGGGGTATCCATGCCTCCTAACAGAGGAGGCAATAGCACAGGTGCATCTGCTCCAAAGTGGTAGACAGTTACCAAAAAGAAGTCTGGACCTTAGGAGTAAGAAATCTCTCAGATTGTGGGGAAGGTGGCTCATCTAGATCACGGGAAGGGGGAATGCTGGTCTCTGACATTCAGGGGCTAATTGGAGGAAAAGGAGGCCAAGAAGGGGACTGACGAGGAAGCACCCAAGGGCAAGGCAGAGTGATGTCTTTGAGGCCAATATAGAAACAGTGTTAAGAACAGGGTGACCATTGCTAAGTTAAGGATCAATCCTTGCCCCTTGGTCATTGGTGACCTCAGTGAACCCAGCGAAGTGAAATGGGTCAGCCAGATAGGGGGAGATGGCAGAAGCTTGATTCCAGTATGTGGAAGAGTCAGTGGGAGGCGGAAAATGGCCCTGGTGCATAGGTTACAATTTCAGTTAACTTAGCTGTGACAGGCATTGGCCCTGGTAAGGAAGGAGGGTAGATGGTTTTCTTTTAAAGATGGAAGAAATAAAAACAAGTTAAATGCACCTGAGGAAGAGACAGTGGAGCCAGACAGCCTGCAGTAGTTGAGAGAGAGGAAAGAAAGTGTCATTTGGGTGGACCCAAGGGGATAGGATCCAGTGGCCAGATAGAATGATTGGCCTTAAGACAGGTCAGGTCACACCTCTGGCACCAAGACAGGGGAAAGGGTGCCAAGGGGAAATGAATGCAGGAAAATCTGCAGAGGGGGCAGAGCAAGACATGGAGAGACTTTGCTTTACAATCTTTGGTTCCTATGGTGTTATCAAGTCATTTGGAGAGCAGACTTAAGGTTGAAGCCGGAGAAAGATGAAGACCCTCCCAATTCAGGAGCTCCAGGGCTCCCACTCCCTCAGGCAGATGGCCAGCCCTTCCACTGGCATTCTAATTGGACCTGTGCACACTGTAGCAGTAGAGCGCACACAGCAGGAGGGGAGATGTTCTCTCATAGCTCATTGCTTAAACAAAGCCACCCGCAGTGCTAACAGGAAAGATGTAGGGTCCCCTTCCATGGCCTGCAAGCAGATATAGAAAAGAACAATCCTGGACTTAGAATCCAGGAATCTGGGTTCAAGTTCTCACTCTGTTACCTACCAGTGAAACGGCCTTGGGAAAGCCACTTCATCTCTCCAAGCCTTAGTTCCCTAACCTGCAAAATGGGGATGATGACATCTACTGCATGGTACTCTTGTAAGATTAAATGAATCAACAGGTGTGAATTTTTTTTTTTTTTTTGAGACAGAGTCTGGCTCTGTTGCCCAGGCTGGAGTACAGTGGCACGATCTCAGCTCACTGCAACCTCCACCTCCTGGGTTCAAGCAATTCTCCTGCCTCAGCCTCCCAAGTAGCTGGGATTACAGGCATGTGCCACCATGCCCAGCTAATTTTTTGTATTTTTAGTAAGACGGGGTTTTGCCACGTTGGCCAGGCTGGTCTTGAACTCCTGACCTCAGGTGATCTGCTCGCTTTGGCCTCCCAAACTGCTGGGATTACAGGCATGAGCCACCATGCTTGGACTGAAATACTTAAAAACTACAAAGTGCAGGCCATGTAAATGTTAAGTAGTTTGTAAGCTGAGCCAGCATTACGGGAGGAAAACCCAGGTGTGGCCAGCACTGAGCTCACACCCTCCTGTTCCTGGTCAGGAGGGGCTGTCAGCTGAGTGGGTGAGGGCTGGGAGGCGAGTGACCAGCCCTTCCTGACTTCCTGGCAGACTTGGTTATGTCAACTGCCCAAAACCAAACTCATGATTTCACCTCAATCTGACCCCAAATCTGCTCCTCCCCACGTTTCCTCATTCATCCAGTCATCAGGCCAAAAATTTTGGAGTCTACCATGACTCCTTATTTTGTCTCCGACCTGAAACCTTTTTGTCAGCAAATCCCATTAACTCTTATGTTCAAAATATATCATCACCTCAACTACCTCTCGCTACCACCATCCCTACAGTCCTTGCCCAGGCCGCCCTGGCTCTCCCCTGGATTATTGCAGTAGCTTTCTCACTGGTCTTCCTGCTTTTACCCTTGGTCCTCTTTAATCTAATTTCCAGGGTGGTTCTTTTAAAACAGGATTAGATGATGTCATCTCTAGCTCTGGCCAAGGTGGAGGCATAGGGACCATTTACCCTTGCACCTCAAACAACTAAAAAAATTGGAAAGCACCTATGATACAATGGTTTTCAGACCCTGGACAATAGGCAGCAGAGAATTGTCATTCCTGAGAGGGAGAAACGCAGGAGATGAGCTTTACTGTTGCTCCAGTTTACTGCCTGGAGATCGTTTGTAGGCTGTAGTGCCTGGAAGGCTGGGGAGAGGGCCCCAGGCTAAGCCTAGCATTCTCTCTGAGTTGTGGAGAGGTGCCAAGAATCTGGGGGGAGGTTAGGATAGTAAGAGTTTGCAGGACCAGAGAACCTTGGAGGGTCCTCCCAAGTTTTCAGCTGAGCGCTGATAGTGCAGTTGTGTGAGGAAACTACCTAAGGCAAGGGAAGGAGCCTCTAGAAAGGATGAGGAAGGAAAATCCCTGGAGCTCACATAGGGCAGCCTTTAATCCAGGGCTGACCTCACCCCACTACTGAGGCAATGCCCTTTGAATACTCTTCCTCATCTCTCATGAATTAGGAAGTTTTGCCATTTTAGTTGGCTGTAATGTGAACTACTCTTCGCCCTGCATGAGCTCCGGGGATTGCTTCCTCTAATCTTTTCTGGTGGTTCTTTCTCAGCCTCGGGTGTGCCTGGATCAGCAGCTGAAGGCTCACGGGGACCGTTTGCAGATCTCTGGAGCGCTGTCTCTGTGAAGCTGTCTCTTCTCTGAGATACTGCCCAGTGAGCCCTATCCACAGGACTCCTGACTCCATCTCCTTGATTCTGAGAGGTTGCCAGACTCTGCCCGAGTCCCCTTTCCTGGTGCTGTAGCAATTGGAGGGCTCCCTCATTTGGTTCTCCGCTCTCAGGAATCACTGACCTGTGCTGCCTGATGCCCTGTGTCTGAAAGCCATTTCGTGCATTTTCCCCCCAGCGTTTTAGTTGTTTCAGATGGGAAAGTAATTGCATTTTTTGTTACTGCATTCTTGTCAGAAGAAATTCATGAAAATTTATGTTCACTGAAAAACCCGTACAGAGTTGCTTCTAGAGGTTTTGCCATTGCCAAAACAAATAAATAACCTAAATCTCTGACTGGTGAGTAGATAAAACAAACTGTGTCTAGCCATACAATACAATGGAATATTCCACAAAATCCCATGCACTATGGGATTCTCAAATGCAGTATGCTAAGTGAAAGCACTGGATGAATCTCAAATGCAGTATGCTAGGTGAAATAATTCAGACTCAGAAAGGTACCTGCGTTATCATCTGTGACCCATGTACCACTCTGGTGGGGGTGTTGATGATAATGAGGGACACTCCTGCATGTGTGGAGGCAGGGAGTATATATGAAATCTCTTTACCTTCTGCTCAGTTTTGCTGTGAAACTAAAACTGCTCTAAAAAAAATATTAAGTGTTGGGTTGGTTGCGGTGGCTCATGCCTGTAATTTCAGCTTTGGGAGGCTGAGTTGTAAGGATCCCTTGAGGCCAGGAGTTCAAGACCAGCCTGGGCAACATAGCGAGACCTTGTCTCTCCCAAAACATAAATAAATAAATAAAATAAAAATTAACAATAAAATAAAAAGTGAAGTATTAAGAAAGCCTAAGTCCAGGCGTGGTGGCTTACGCCTGTAATCCCAGCATTTTGGGAGGCTGAGGATGGTGGATCACTTGAGGTCAGGAGTTTGAGACCAGCCTGGCCAACATGGTGAAACCCCGTCTCTACTAAAAATACAAAAATTATCCGGGCATGGTGGCAGGTGCCTGTAATCCCAGCTACTCGGGAGGCTGAGATGCGAGAATTGCTTGAAATCAGGAAGCAGAGGGTATAGTAAGCCAAGATCGTACCACTGCACTCCAGCCTGGGCTGGACTCAGTCTCAAAAAAAAAAAAAAAAAAGAAAGCCTAAAGCCTCAAAAACAAACAAAAAGATACTTACTATATGGTTCCATTTATATTACATTCTGGAAAAAGCAAACTATAGGGACAGCAAACAATAGGGACAGCAAACAAAACAGTGGTTGTAAGGCGCTATAGGTTGGGGACGGGTTGGCTATAAAGGGCAAGCGAGGCTTTTTGTGGGTGATGGAGCTATGGTGGTAGTTGCTTACTTGTGTACATTTGTCAAAATTGGCAGAATTCTACACTAAAAATGAATTTTACTGTATGTAAATTACACTTTAAAAAAATTACAATGAGATGATGTCACTCTTTCTTGCTCAGAACGAGTGTCTATCTTATTCAGTCCTCATAGCAGCCCAGAAGGCCCTATTGTTCCGGCCCCCATGGACTCTTGGATATCTTCTTTTTTTTTTTTTTTTTGATACGAGGTCTTGCTCTGTTGCCCAGGTTGGACTGCAGTGGTGCAAGCTTGGCTCATTGCAGCCTTGATCTCCTGGGTCCAAGCGATCCTTCTACCTCAGCCTCTTGAGTAGTTGGGACTACAGGTACATGCCACCACACCAGGCTAATTTTCATATTTTTAGTAGAGATGGGGTTTCACCACGTCGCTTAGGCTGGTCTCAAACTCCCGCGCTTAGGCCATCCGCCTGCCTCAGCCTCCCAAAGTGCCACCATGCCCAGTCTAACTTTTTAAACCTTTAGTATTGTTTGAATTTTTATAACTATGCAATACATTTGTAATCAACACACACACACACACACACACACACACACGGGCCCACCATTTTGAGTCAGTCTCCCTGCCTCTAATGCCCAGATTTTTTTCTCTTCTCTACAGCGTGCTCCCACATCGCTCCTTTCAAATTCCCTTTCTGTTTTTCTCTCCCACACTAAACTCTCCCTGTTCTCTGGACATAGGGCTTCTTGGTACTTGTTCCTTTGTACGTGCCGAACCCAGCTTCTTGGTACTTGTTCCTTTGTATGTGCTGAGCCCTCTAGCTGGAAACACCTCCCTGGAATGGGTATGCGCCTGTTTGCTGCAGTGACACATGCCTCTATTGCAGTTCTTTCCCACTTTGTATGAAAAGTCTTTGCTCTGCTTGCCCCTAAACACTAACGGGCTGGGGCTGGAGTTTTCTTTACTTCCTGCTCCAGCACCTGGCCAAGGTTTGCACTCACCCTCCATCATGGTCCTGTAATGGCTTGCAGGTGAGGGTGGGGGCACCTTCTTGTGGAGGCAGCTCTGGGCCACAGTTGGGAGAACCAGGCCCATGCTCTGTTTTCGGGCCTCACCTCTCTAGGATTTAGTCTTCTTCCTTCCTTGTGAAAAAGGGGAGGATCTTCTCTACCCATCATCCTCCTCTCCACATCCTCCCTTCCAAAGACAGTGAGGATTTGCCATGTTAGTCAAGTCATAACTTCCTGGTTCCCTCTTGACCTCCCCAGCAGAATCACTTGTGCTCTGAGTGTAACGTGCAAAGGTAGGTGCATCTCAGTCCAAGTCCAGATCAGGAAAGAGCACAAGCATTTCAAGGTTAGCTGCTAAATGTCACACTGAGACATTCCATGAATGTACATATGTGTGTGTGTGTGTGTGTGTGTGTGTGTGTGTGTGTGTGTGTGTGTCTGCATATGTATATAATATATATTTTTTTCATTATCATTCTAGTTAGGTACATTTTTGTTTATGATTTCTCCTTTGACCTATGAATAATTTAGAAGTTTTTTTTTAAAGCATGTATGTATTTTATATTTTAAAAATTATTGTTTGCGGGCTGGGTGTGGTGGCTCACTCGAACTGGAGTTGGAGAACAGCCTGGGCCACATAGTGAGACCTCATCTCTACAAAAAGTAAAAAAAAAATTAGCTGGGCATAGTGGTGTGTGCTTGTAGTGCCAGCTACTTGGGAGGCTGAGGGAGGAGGATTGCTTG
Source organism: Homo sapiens (assembly GCF_000001405.40). Taxonomy (NCBI): domain Eukaryota; kingdom Metazoa; phylum Chordata; class Mammalia; order Primates; family Hominidae; genus Homo; species Homo sapiens. The sequence goes on along the minus strand of NC_000011.10, from coordinate 118,125,754 downwards.
AGCCTGGGAGGTTGAGACTACAGTGAACCGAGATTGTGCCACTGCACTCCAGCCAGGGTGACGGAGTGAGATCCTGTGTCTAAAAACAACAACAACAACAACAACAACAACACAATTAAAAAACAAGCAAACAAACAAAATTATTGTTTGCTATTGCCTTAGAACTTAATAACGTTATAATCAAAGAGCTACATCTGTTTGATAGTCTTAGCCCAGGTTTCTCAGAAAACTTAAGTTTTCTACATTAAATTCATATCTTAACACTTTATTTGGGGGTTCAATCCCAGGGAAATGGGCATAAGGGGGACAGGGGCTGTAAGGCAGGGAATGAGAGAAAGCAAACACAGGTGGTCAGGCGATGTGTGTGCCGAGCTGACCGTAGCTCCATCAGCGGTACAGCTGGTTGCTGAATCACAAGACCTGTCCCTGGGGAGTTACAGCTTCTCTGAATAGTTCTATCCTAGGGAAGAAGGAGAAGCCATTTATCTGCTGGCTCCTTCCTGTCTCCCATCTTCCATTATTCAACATTTACCCCACAGACAATCATTTCCATGTTTTGTTACTCAGCCTTTCCCGGAAGCCCTGGGGAAGTCAGAGCTCTCTGGGTGCAGTCAGCCAGTCTGAGAGCTGGGGCTGCTGTGGCTGTCACCGTGGTGCATGCAACGAAGGCCACCCAACCCAAAGCCCAGCTCTGGTCCTGGCCCAGGGCAGGGGAAGACCAGTGGTAGTGTTAGGAGAGGAGGTGGTGGCAGTGGCCAGAGCTTTACAACTGTGGGAATGGAAGGGGCCAGAGCTGGGCCCATTCAAAGAAGTAAGCGGGCAAGTGACTAAAGCCTAGAGGCGGGAAGATGGGGGATGCTGGGGAGGCTGAGCGGAAATTGAAGGGAGCAAAGCTAGGCCTGGTGCTCACGTTACTTTTGAAATTTGTTGATATTACTTCTTGGACTAGTATGTAGTCAATTTTCACAAAAGTGCTTGAGAAGAATGCTTTTTTGCTAAGTATGGATAGTATATGTCTATTTATCAGGCATGTAAATGGTATTGTTTAATCTTCCATTCTTTACTATTCACCTGCTCGACATATCAATAATTGAGAGAAGTGTGCTTAATCTTCCACTTCATAAGATGGTGGATTTGTCAATTTCTCCTTATAGTTCTATCAGCTTTCGAGTCTATTTTATATTGTGTTTATATAAGTTTTAAAAAAATTGAGAAAATTTTCAAATATACAGAAAAGTAAAAAGAATAATAAAAATCTATTCCCTAGATTTCACACTCATTGACATTTTACCATATCTGCTTTAACAGTTTTTTTTCCTCCTGAAGTGTTTTTGTTTGTTTGTTTTGTTTTGTTTTGTTTTGTTTTTTGTTGAGATGGAGTCTCGCTCTGTTGCCAGGCTGGAGTGCAGCGGCGCCATCTCAGCTCACTGCAACCTCCGCCTCCCGGGTTCAAGCAATTCTCCTGCCTCAGCCTCCCAAGTAGGTGGGACTACAGGCACGCACCACCACACCCAGCTAATATTTGTATTTTTAGTAGAGACAGGGTTTCAACATGTTGGCCAGGATGGTCTTGATTTCTTGACCTGGTGATCTGCCCCACTCGGCCTCCCAAAGTGCTGGGATTACAGGCATGAGCCACCATGCCTGGCCCCTCCTGAAGTATTTTTAATTACAACTTTGCATCATTTTACCCCAAATACTTCTGTATGCATCTCTAAAAGTTAAGAATATCTTTCTTACTTAACTATATCATTGTCACACATAATGAAATTAACAATTCCTTATTATCATCTAATACTGAGATCATATTCACATTTCCCAATTACCCCTTTGCCCAAATGCCTTTTGTTGCTAACTTGTTCAACTCAGGATCTGGTCAAAGCCCATGCCTTACATTTGATTGTTATGCCTCTTAAGACATAACAGTAATTGGCCGGGCACGGTGGCTCACCCCTGTAATCCCAGCACTTTGGGAGGCTGAGGCGGGCGGATCACGAGGTCAGGAGATCAAGACCATCCTGGCTAACAAGGTGAAACCCCGTCTCTACTAAAAACACACAAAAAATTAGCCAGGCGTAGTGGCGGGCGCCTGTAGTCCCAGCTACTTGGGAGGCTAAGGCAAGAGAATGGCATGAACCCAGGAGACGGAGCTCGCAGTGAGCCGAGATGGTGCCACTGCACTGCACTCCAGCCTGGGTGACAGTGCAAGACTCCGTCTCAAAAAAAAAGACATAACAGTAATTACATGACATTGATTTGTTGAAGAGATGGGAATGTCCTGTGGTGGAATGTCCCACCTTCTGGATTTGTCTTTTAGTGGTGTCATTTAATTTGTTCCTCTAATTCTTATGTTTTGTTCCTCTAATTCTTGTATTTCCTGTACACTGGAAATTAGATCTAAAAGATTTATGTTAAACATTTTTGGGAAGATGCCTTTAGATGATGCAACATGAAGGTGTACTTCATATTCACGTTGGGAGGAACATAGTATCTGCTGATTCCACTGTTAGTGGGTAAGGTGATGATAGCCTGATCCCTTCATTTTGAAGTTAGGTTTCTTATTGAGATTAGCAAGGGATCCGTGGGATGATATGAGGGTATTATGTGACTGTGCAGTTCTCTGTGGTCTTAGTCCATTCATGCTGCTCTAAATACCTTAGACTGGGTAATTTATAAACAACAGAAATTTATTGCTCACAGTTCTGGAGACTGGGAGGTCCAAGATCAAGGTTGCCAGCAGATTCGGTGTCTGGTGAGGGCTCATTCTCTGCTTCCATAGATAGTATCTTGTTGCTATGTCCTCACATGGCAGAAGGGGCAAAGAGGCTCCTTCAAGCCTCTTTTGTAAGGGGCACTAATCCCATTCATGAACAGGGAGCTCTCCTGACCTAATCAGCCCCCAAAGTCCCACCTCTTACTACCATCACCTTGGGGGTTAGGATTTAACATACAAATTTTGGGGGACACAAGCATTCAGACAATAGCATCCATTGATGATCCTTGCCTGAATCAATGATTTCATTAGAAATTGCCAATGATGGCTTCCTGTCATTCATCTATATTGATTAGCTATACTTTCCCTCACCACCTGGAGCCACCCTGTTACCTGGAAGTAGATTTCTATGGCAAAGCAGAATAGTGCTAACTTTTCCTCTTTAAATATTATTTCAGAGTAAGAGCCTGGTGTGATTGCCAACTCCAGTGGTGACAAAGGATGATTTTTTTAATTTTCTATTTTCTTCTCTTTGTTTGCAAGTTTTCACTTATTATAGCTTACTGGTGAATTGAAACTTTCGTGATTATGTAGTGACCCTCTTTATCCTAAAGTCAGTTTTGTCTTTTTGTCCTAAATCCTTATTTAGAAAAATATTATATAGCTACCCCAGCTTAAATTTGATTAAATGCTTGCTGTCTGTACCTTTCTCCACTTTTTCAGTTTTAATGGTTCTGTAACCTGGTGTTTTGTGTATGTCTGTTACAAATAACATATAGCTTGATCTTACATTTTTATCCAATTTGCCTATCTCTGTATATTATTTGGTGAGTTTAATATTTATTGCGATTATTAGTACTTTTTTCACTATCCTACTTTGTATATTCTATTTGTTCCATTTTTCTGTGCTTTTCCCTCCTTAGTGCTCTTCCTTTCCCTCCTTTCTCTTTTGTACTTGCTTGATGTATTTGTTTTTTATTCATCAATTGCTACTTTCAATTGTTTTGGAAGTGACACACTTTTATTTCCATTCTTTTGGTGATTACTCTTTTAACTAACCATCTAGAACATAGTACAAACATTTTATGTAACATAACATTAATATTTAACCCTCCTTTTGGACAATTTAAGAACTTCAGAATATTTTAACTCCAGCTATCCCCTTTAATTTACATGCTGCATGCTGTGGTTACTCCATATTTCAGTTAGGCCTTTAAAAATTAACCCACAATGGAAACTTCTTGGTCAAATTTTAACTAGCTAGTATTATATTTATATACAGGGTCTTTTTTCTTTACTGATGTATTTTTCTACTCATAGCCAACCAATAAATTCAATATCTGTTTCAAAAAAAATTAACCCACAAAATAAATATTATTGTTATTTTAATAATATGTAGACACGCCTGTAATCCCAGCACTTTGGGAGGCCGAGGCGGGGGGATCACTTGAGGTCGGGAGTTTGAGACCGGCCTGGCCAACACAGTGAAACCCCATCTCTACTAAAAATTCAAAAATTAGCCGGATATGGTGGCATGTGCATGTAATCCCAGCTACTCGGGAGGCTGAGGCAGAAGAATCACTTGAACCTGGGAGGTGGAGATAGCAGTGAGCCAAGATCCTGCCACTGCACTCCAGTCTGGGTGACAGGGCAAGACTCAGTCTCAAAATAAGAAGAAGAAGAAGAAGAAGAAGAAGAAGAAGTAGACAGAGTGTGTTTAGACTTACCTACATTTTCACAATTGCCTCACTATTGCTACTTGCTTCTTGGTTCTTCCTTTTAGGATCATTTTCCTTCTTCCTAAAGTAAATGCTTTATATATTCTTTTAGAGAAGGTTTGTTGATGGTAAAGTCTGTTTTTGTTTTCTTGAAAATGCCTTTATTCTTGAAAGATAGTTTTGTAGGGTTCACAATCCCTGATTGATTGTTATCTTTTGGCATGCTGGAGATATACTTCCACTGACTTCTAGCTCCTTTATTGCTGTGGGAAAGCCTGTTGTCAGTCTAATTGTGGTAGATTTGTGGTACTGTGGGTGGTCTGGGTTTTCTCTCTGCTGCTATAAGGAGTTTCTTTTTGTCTTTGGTGTTCTGCAGTTTCATTATAATGTACATAGGTGTGGATTTATTCTAATTTTTCCACCTTGGTTGTATGCGTGTACACTATGGTGGTGTATGTTCTGTGGATTCACACCTTTTATCAATTCTGGAACATTCTCAGCTCTTATCTCTTTGGTACTGTCTCTCTCTCATTGTCTTGATTCTCTCTTTCTGGGATTCTGGATATGTTAGAATTTACCATTCTAGGCTTCATTGCTCCTGGCCTTGTTTTCATATTTTTAATCTCCTTATCTCTCTCTGCTGTTAAGCCTAGTCACTTCTTCAATTTATCTTCCAGTTCATTTGTTCTCTCTTAATTGGTGTTTTAATTGTTATTTACCCCATCCACTTAGTTTTTTATTTTTATAATTATAGTTTTTATTTCTAAAAGCTGTATTCAGTTCTTTTTCAAATCTGCCTGTTATTTTTGCTTGATTATTAAGATATCCATTTTTAACAGAAAATAGCAAGTGTTAGGGGGGATATGGAGAAATAGTAACTCCTGCAAACTGTTGATGGGAATGTAAAATGGTGCAGTCTCTATGGAAAGCAATATATCAGTTCCTCAAAAAATTCAAAATAGAATTACCATATGATCCAGCAATTCCACTTCTGGGAATATACCCAAGAGAATTGAAAGCAGGGCCTCAAAGAGATACTTGTACACCCATGTTCACAGCAGCATAATTCACAATAGCCAAAAGATAGAAGTAACCTGAATGTTCGTATAAACAATAGAATATTATTTAGTCTAAAAAGGGAAGAAATTCTGACACATGCTACAACATGGGTGAAACTTGAAGACACAATGTGAAGTGAAATAAAACAAGTACAAAAAGACCAATACTGCATGACTTCACTTAAATGAGGTACCCAGAGTAATCCAGTTCACAGAGACTGAAAGCACAATGGTGGTTGCCAGAGATTGGGAGGAGGGGGAAATGGAGAGTTGTTTGATGGGTACTGAGTTTCTGTTCTGGAGATGGATGGTGGTGATGACTGCACAATAGTGTGAATGTACATAACACCACTGAACTATACACCTAAAAATGGTGAAGATGGCAACTTGTGTTATGTGCATTTGACCACAGTTAAACATGATTTTAAAATGTGGAACTAGTATTCATTTTTTATTCAAATATTTTATAAATTATCATATTGGAGGCCCTATAGTGTGGTAGTTTACAGCATGAACTCTGTATTCCAAGTGCTCACGTTCAACTTACAGTCTATAATCTCAGGCAAGGAGCTTAACCACTTTGTGCCTTAGTTTTTTTAATCCATAGAGTGAGGATAAGAATAATACCCATCTCACAGATTTCTGTGAGTATTAAATGAATCAGTACATGATGAAGCACTTACAATAGTGTCTGGCACATACAAATACTCTGCAAATATTGCTTATTATCATAAGTCTCTAATATTCTGACATCTGAAGCCTTTGGGGTTCTAAATTAGCTGTTTTTTATGCTGCCCACTTAAGGTGTTTTTTATTTTTCAACGTCTCTGATCTTTGATTGTGAGCTCATATTTGGAGGATCTTTGGGAATCCTGAGGCTCTAAATTTGGGAAATTTTCCTCCAGACCATCTGCAATTTGAGACCACATTTACTGCCATCAGTTATCCCTGCTTCATGTAGGAGCCCTGGTTCAGCTCCCTTGTCTTCAGTGTGTCCAGGTTTAGCTCCACTGCCAGCCTTCATATAGGTCTCGACCCAAGATTTTAGTGTATTGCTCCCAGATCATCACCTTAGTTTCCACTCACAGTTCTGATGGTTTTGTTTTATTTTGTTTTGTTTTCTGGGTTTCTATTTTCTTTGTTTTTGGCATTTGAGGAATTCTGTTGTTTCCTAAGAACCTAGTACAGTATGAACAAGTATATTTCATCTAGGATCTGACTTAACTATAGCAAGACAGTCCTCAGAAAACCCAAGCTTTCATACAGATGCCAAAAAAGTCCATGGGGTTTAATTCTTTGACCATTTTGAGTGCAGGGACTTATTCATGCTTACATCCTCACAACTCAGCTTGGGGACTGCCTCACACCTGGCAGCTGATCCTTTTTGTTTTTTAAATGTAAGAAGCCACACTGAGGGCTCTCCAGGCGGAAAAAGTTAGGACACAGGACCAGCATTTCTTTCCAGCCACTTGTGGATCCCTGATTGAATGTCACCCTTGACTGCCTAACTCATCTCTTTCCCAAGTCATAGGTTATCCCTGGCTCCTGGCTGATTATCACAGGCAGGGAGGGAGGGAAAGAGGCAAAGGGAGAAGGCCCTGTGTGGGACTCAAACTTGCTCACCCTGGTTTCTGTAATCTGCAGCTCACTCTTGCTGCCACTCAGCAGATCTGGTCTCCCTAACTCTTTTTTCCCCTGCCTCTACTTTGAGACTCAATTGCTTCCCCAGGACTTCTTTTCTCCCCAAGCCAAAGAATGAAAGTTCAATCATCCCAGCTCAGTTCTTATCAAGCATTCCAGCTAGCCTATGCCAGAGATGTTACACAGCTCTTTAATAATAGTGGCCATAGCTGTAATAACAATGACAACAGTAGGTAACGGTAGTCATACCAACAGTAGGGCAGTGCATTTTATATTACAACTGGTTTCTTGCTCTAGTAGGCTTGGGGATGGGTGAAGACGGACAGGGCTGGCGCAGACCCTTTCCTTCTCCTCTCCAGCCCACAGTGATCTGGGCTTTTACAAGACAGCCTGCTTCCATTCAGTAGTGTGGGAAAGTTCCTTCTTGGCTTAGCAATACCCCTGAGACCTTGTTCAGTGGGCTGTGTCTCTCCCTGGGATGCTGGGAGCACCAAGTGTGGCCGAGCTAGGGCTGCTGACTTCCTCTGGGCGCCTCTGGGCTGCGAGGGTCTCTTATAGGAATTGAGGCCCTTTGCTGCTCCAAGAAATGCTGAGGCTGTGGGCAGAGGGGTGTACCCAAGGGGACTCTTGCTCTGTGTCTGACTTTGGGGGATCCCCAGGTGGGCAGGGCAGGAAGGAAGCGGCTCCCAGCACTGCAAAGGGGCAGCAGCATTACAGCTCAGCCTAGAATAAGAGAGACCGATGAAGAGAAAGTCAGATTATCTGAAACTGGACAAAGTGGTGACATGTGTAACGTGAGTCTTCCTTTTCTGAAACACTTTGCTTCTCTCCCTACCCTGCAGAGGGCCAGGAGGTCTCATGAGCCTTTCCACTCTCTTCCTTATCAGAATCTTCTCTCTAGAAAGGATCTGATAGTCTCATTCTGTCAGAAAAGAGAAAGAAAGGCTTGGTGTGTTCTATTCCCTAAGGTATTTGCATTTATCAGAAATCTCTGACCTAAGGAATTTCAGCCTTAATAGTGCAATCTCAGGCTGTCCCTTGCTTGGAGGGAAAGTTATTTGGGATGTAAAGAGTTGTCAGAACCATTTAAATCAAACCTGAGGATGGATTGGCACCCCCCAGGTAGAGGACTGGAGGGAAGGCACAGTGGGTAGGGCAAAGGTACCTTACCTTCCAGACATTGTAGATCCAGTTGAGATAGGCTGAGACCTTGGTGTATACTCCTGGGGTGCTCGGGCCCCCGCAGCCATAGCCCCAACTAACGATGCCCACCACATGCCACTGGTCAGATTGGTACATCAGGGGCCCACCACTGTCACCCTGTGAGAGACCAGAACAGAGACTGCTGGGGAGGGCAGGTGAGGTGGGGGGGCTTCTCCTTCTCTGCTCCCTGAACTGGCCTATCTGTTCCCCTGCACTCCCTGCTGCTCTCCGATATTCCACCCTCACCCTCTTTGCTCATTAGCACCCTAGAATGGTCTTCTCTTCTGGGGCAGAAAGGCTTGTCTGTGGACAAGTAAGTTGCAAGCATGCCGTTAGCCTTCTCTCAGAGATTCACAACTCACATTAGCAAATTAAAGGCTCTGAGTGATGTCTTAAAAAAGCCTGGTTGTTGGCCAGGAGCGGTGGCTCACACCTGTAATCCCAGCACCTTGGGAGGCTGAGGCGGGTGAATCACTTGAGGTCAGGAGTTCAAGACCAGCCTGGCCAACATGGTGAAACCCGTCTCTACTACAAATACAAAAATTAGCTGGGCATAGTGGCAGGCACCTGTAATCCCAGCTACTCAGGAGGCTGAGGTGGAGAATCATTCGAACCCAGAGGCGGAGGCTGCAGTGAGCCGAGATCAAACCACTTCACTCTAGCCTGGGCAACAGAGTGAGACTCAGTCTCAAAAAAAAAAAAAAAAGCCTGGTTATCATTGTTTAACCTAGTCGTTCCAAAATTTGTGTAATCACTTATAGAGTGCCTATTTTGTGCCAGGTAGTGTTCTAAGCAATTGGGATCCAACTGATGAAAAAAAACAAAGATCCCTGCCCTCAGAAAGCTTAGGATCAAATGGGGTGAGAGACAGTGAACAAGCAAATAACAAAACAAGAAAATGCCAGATAGTGAAAAGTGCACTTATCTGGGAGTCCTTATCAGCTGTTTTAGCCCCTGGGGCTTCCTCCCTCTGAACCCAAAACTATAGCTTAAATGTCTGTTTAATGCCCCCCTTTCCCCCAACCACTGTGAGCTCCCTGAGGGGTCTCCAAAGACTACCATGTTCATGGCACACATGCGATGACTAAGAGATGCCTCTTAAATGAAGGAATTTAATGACTGGAAATGGAGGTGAGAGTAGGGTAGGGGTTTTAATGAAAATGGTTCAGGCCAAGCACGATGGCTCATGCCTGTAATCCCAGCATTTTGGAAAGCTGAGGTGGGAGAATCCCTTGAACCCAGGAGTTTGAGACCAGACTGGGCAACATAGTGACCCTGTCTCTGTTAAAAAACATAAAAGAAAAAATAAAAAAAGAAAATAGTTCAGAAGATCCTCTGGAAGTATGGGGGAGGAAGAAGGTCTACAGGGATTGCTAAGCAGTCCTGATGGCCAATGAGGCCGGGGTGAGGGCACACACAGATGTGCTTCCAGCATTCTGCAGGCGGTAATTCTTTCCTAGTGTAGTTCAGCAGCTTGGGGAGAGTCACAGAGAAAATAGACCTGGGATTCCTGACCTCAAGGGGCTAATCATTCTGTAGCTAGTGAGAAGGGTGGGTGGGGTGGATGAGTAATGTCATCTTTGTTGTTGTTGTTGTTTTCAGATGGAGTCTTGCTGGGTCACCCAGGCTGGAGTGCAGTGGCGCAATCTCAGCTTACTGCAACCTCTGCCTCCTGGGTTCAAGCAATTCTCCTGCCTCAGCCTCCCAAGTAGCTGGGATTACAGGCACGTGCCACCACGCCCAGCTAATTTTTGTATTCTTTTTAGTAGAGATGGGATTTCACCATGTTGGCCAGGCTGGTCTTGAATTCCTGACCTCAAATCACCTGCCCGCCTCAGCCTCCCAAAGTGCTGGGATTACAAGCGTGAGCCACCATGCCAGGCCAGTAACATCATCTTCGAATGTGAAAGAGACATTTGAAATCTCTCTGCTTGTCTGCATCCATCCATCCACCCACTCATCTATTGGTACACTTTTATCTGACTATCCTTTCCTTCCCTCCCTCTCTTCCTCCCATCATCACACATTGAGTGCCCATGATATGCAAGGCTTCCTGTAGGGCATGCAGCCTCTGGGTTTTCTCATCTCTCTAGGACCTAAACCCTATTCTTAGAACTCCCCATGATTCTTGGAGGCCCCACCTGGCAGGTGTCCACACCCCCTTCCGGGATGCCTGCACACATCATCTTCTCGGTGACTTCCCCCTGGTACGCATCGTCTGCATTGCACCGTGTGCTGTCAATGACCTGGACTGACGCCTGCAGCAGTATGTCAGACATCTTCCCTGGGAGGGTAAAAACACTCACATTCCCATCCTTGCCTTCTATCCCCCAGCCCTGGATTGCCAAACCACTTTGCTTTCTGCCTGGCGCCTTGGTGCTTGGTCCTCCAGGATGGGTTTCTCTGAAGGGTGGTCCTCCTTCCCATTACTTCTGGAAGCTGCTCCCTCATACAAGGGCATCTCCTGCCCTGTGGTCCTGCACCCAGGACTTACCTCCATTCTGCTTCGTAAAGCCCCATCCAATGATCCAGAGTGGGGTGGCTGGAGTGAGCTCCTCATCAAAGAAGGGCAGACAGATGGGCCTGACTGTGCCTGCCAGGAGCACAGAGGAAGAAGGAGATCTTTTATTCATCATAAGTGTTAATTTTCTGTAAATTATGATGCTTTATGATTATGGGGATCTTGCTGGTCTGGGAGAGACTGGGTTAGCTAATTCCTGCAGATAGTAAACAACTTGGCTTTGGGCACGCCTTTAATAGGCAAACCAGCCAACCCAAAGCCCATATCCCCAACCACTTCCTTTATCTGACTCTCAGACACCAAGCCAATATTTTCCCTGCCCTAAATCACCCCAGGGACAGATACTAGACAACCAGAGGCTGACATCTATAGCCTAGAGAATTGTCCACACTATCCAATCCTGAGCATGCTCAATCTTGCCTACCCTACCTTGGCCAGACCTGCCCATGGAAGCCACAGGTGGCTCTGGGCCATGCCTTCCCCTCACTCCTGCCTCCTGGTGGACCCAGCTGCTTCCCCGGGTGTCCCTGTGTTGGGGGGTGGGGTATGTCCCTTTCTCTCAGGAATTATAAATAATAAACTCTTCTTTCAAAGATAGCTGTGTCTGTATCTGTCACCTTGCCATACCTGATTAAAACAATTCCCAGGCACAAATCTTGAAACACACACCAGGGCTCAGGAGAGCCTGGCAGTTAAGCTCTCTGAAAGGGGTCACACCAGGGTCTCTAGAACACTTGTTCTATGGGATGCTAATAGAAGTAGCATGAAAAAAGGATTCTGTGGTCAAATAAATTTAAAAAATGTAGGTTAAACGCAATAAAACAGATTATTTTAAAAACTTCTCCTACCTTTAATAAACTAATGTGTTCCAAGAAGGGAGCTGTAGTATGAAAATGTTCCCCAAACTTATTTGACAATGGAATCCTCTCTTCTCCAAGGGGCCAGTGTCTTGTGGACCCCACAGTTGGGAATCCTGATCTAAATACATTTCAGTATAAGCACAAGGCATCCAACAGAGCTGTTCAAAGACTCTGTGGGCTGCCTCACAGGTAATGGGTTCCCTGCCCCTGGAGGAGAGCAAACAGGGGCACAATGACTCCTTGGCAGGGATACTGAGCAGGCTCTTGCGTGTTGGTCAGTGGTGGGGAATTAGCTCGATAATCTTTTTAAAAGGTCTCCTAAAACTCCAAGATTGGATGAAACTCCAGTTCTCACTCGAGGGGCTCCACATAGGGAAGACAGGCCTTGGAAGAATCTCTGGCAGGGAATGGAGTGGAGGTGTTAGCTGACAGCTTGAGGAGGCCTCATGGCATCAGTGATGTTAGGCTGACGTATTAGAGACAAATGGGCAAGCTGAGGACTTGAGAGGAGACATTATGTGCCAAGGGCGGTCAGTGAGCTAATAGCAGAGTGGGCGTGAAAACTGATGTAAGAGGCTTGAGTGGCCTTGGGCCCTGCTTCTCACCTGAGAAAGTGAGTGGGAACTGCAGCTTCATGAGGGCGATGTCATTGTCTTTGGGGTACATGGGGTTGAATTCAATGATGATGATCTTGGCCACAGCCAGGGATGGGAAGCTGCCCAGTTTGTCTGAGCCTGCCCGCACCTTCCAGTTGAACACATCGGTATGTTTCCTGGGGGTAGAGACAGCTGGGTTCAGGCCTGATCCAAGCCTGAGGAGACTTTGCCAAAGGCTGGGTCCCCAGGGCCCTAGGGATCGGGGTGCTGGATGTCACTGCCTTGGGAGGAAAGATGATGGTGAGGCAGGGATGGTGGAGAAGGGGCAGTCTTCTGGCACTTACAAGAAGTCAAATTCGAAAAAGGGATTTGACCCTTTTTCCTCAGTGAAACCTGCCCAACGAAACCTCAAGGAGGGCTGGGGAAGGGGCTCCTCTAATGCCTGAGTTCTGAGGTCCTGGCGCTCTCTCCTCCAACCTTTCTCACTGTGTTACTCATGCTGTCAGTTACATTACGTGCTTTCTTTTTCCCAATGCCAGGCACAGCTTAGTGTGCAGAGATGTTTTTCCAGGAAAGAATTTATAGCTCTCACCAGAATCTCAAAAAAAAAAAAAAAAAAAGTGGTTAAAAAACGCTGGCCTAGATCATGAGTGCCTTGAAGACAGCGGTGGGGTCTAATGAACTTGGGCGCATCATCTGGTGTTTGGTACCTGGTAGGTGCTCATTAGATATTGAATGAATGAATAAATAAAAGCCGGATGCCCTGGCTCATGCCTGTAATCCCAGCAGTTTGGGAGGCTGAGGTGGGCAGATCACTTGAGGTCAGGAGTTAGAGATCAGCCTGGCCAACATGGTGAAACCCTGTCTCTACCAAAAATACAAAAATTAGCCGGGCATGGTGGCCCATGCCTATAGTCCCAGCTACTTGGGAAGCTGAGGCAGGAGAATTGCTTGAACTCAGGAGGCGGAGGTTGCAGTGAGCCAAGATCATGCTGCTGCGCTCCAGCCTAAGCAACAGAGCAAGACTCTGTCTCAAAAAAAAAAAAAAAAAAAAAAAAAAAAAAAGTGAAGGGGGTCTGGGAGTAGCCCTTCCCTGAGGTAAGGCCAGGCTTCTCTGTGGACTGAAAGGAACCTATGCTCTTTAATTTTTTTAAAGTTTCCAGACATAATGAGGACGTGGCTATGACTCTAGACCCTGGAACAACTTCCTGGAAACAAGCAAAAAGAGAGTGAGTTCTTGGAAGTTGAGGCAGGTGGGAAGAGCTTTTGTAGCTTGAACGATATGGGGGTGGGGTGAGGACTCTGGGTATCTGCTGGTGTCCCACCAGGAAGAGGCCATGCTTGGTGACCAGCACCCTCTGCTCAGACACCCAAAAGCCTAACAAAGGGCATCATGGCCATTGTCTCATTGGGGCCACCACAACCTGGAAAACGTCTCTAGTGGGAGAGTGAAGAGAAGGACGGTGCCAGGAGACAGGACCCCAAGCTCTCTGGTCCCTGACTGGCCTTGGTCCCCAGAGACCTCCTTACAGCTGGGGTCTTACCTGAAGCAGTGGGCTGCCGTGAGGACCCAGTGGGGGTCCAGGATGCTCCCTCCACAGACGTGCTGTTTGTCGTACTGGATGCTGACCTGCCAAGGCCAAGAATCCACAGAGGCCTCCTCCACACCCACCACACGGGGGGTCTTCAGGCTCTTCCCACAGGCTGGACACAGGCAGAGGCAGGGAGGAGGCAGGAAGTCAGGCTGTTGGGGATGAGGCTGCCTCCACTCAGCACCCAAAATCTGCTCTAAGCAGGGCCCTTATGGCTGGGGCCAGAGTGGAGAGAGGACCAGCCCAATATGAGATATTCATGGGAGGTATTGAGTGTCCCAGACCATAGGCTTTCCTCAAACCTCCCTCTCCTTTTTCTTTCTTTCTTTCTTTTTTTTTTATTTTGGTTTAAGATGTGTTTAGGAGTTCAGACTATGAACATGGGTGTGTCCGTTGTGCTGGGAATCTGTGACCTTCACAAGTGATGCAGAATTACGAAAGCCCTGCCCAGGTGGCGTGTCCCCAGCCACTCCCACTGAGTAACAGTAAACAGACACCCACAAGCTATTTTGTGACTCGGAAGTGGACTGTCTCATCCAAAACTCCCCCTTCTCCAAGTCTGTTTCCCCGGCCAGGGGAGTCTCTCAATCTGACATCCTGTCTTCCTACTGACTGACCTGGCTTTCACACCCTCACCACCCCCGGAACTCCTGTAAAGCCCTCAGGTCCCCCCTCTCCACCCATGCTCTGCCTTTCCAATTCTTCTGGCAGCCACCACCACGGTTGTGGAGCCATGCACAGATGGTAGAAGGGCCATTCTAAGGGGAAGGGCTGGGCTTTTCAAATACCACCTGATTTCAAACACTGCTTTCTTCATGCCACCTTGCCCGCTCCTGCAAAGCCCTTCGGGATCTCCCTTGAGGGCAAAGTAGAGTTTCCACTCCTCCTAGCAGCCTCCTGCTGTTTCATATAAAGTCTCTGTCTAGCCAAATTGATCTGCTTGTAGTTCTCTAAAAAGTAATTCTGTTTTTGATCCAAAAAGATGCCCTTCCCACTGGTTCGTGGCCTGTTAGGAACCTGGCTGTACATTAGGAAGTGAGTGGCAGGGACAAGCGAGCATGACCACCTGAGCTTCACCTCCTGTCAGATCAGAGGTGGCGTTAGATTCTTGTAGGAGCACAACCTTATTGTGAACTGCACATGTGAGGGATCTATGCTGTACGTTCCTTATGAGACTTTAGGCTGGGTGAGGCAGCTCATGCCTGTAATCCCAGCACTTTGGGAGGCTCAGGCGGGCAGATCACCTGAGGTCAGGAGTTCGAGACTAGCCTGGCCAACATGGTGAAACGCCGTCTCTACTAAAAATACAAAAATTAGCCGGGCATGGTGGCACATGCCTATAGTCCCAGCTGGGCTGGTGACGGGTGCCTGTAATCCCAGCTATTTAGGGGGCTGAGGCAGGAGAATCGCTTGAATCCAGGAGGCGGAGGTTGCAGTGAGCCGAGATCGCAACACTTTACTCCAGGCTGAGTGACAAGAGCCAGACTTGGTCTCAAAAAAAAAAAAAAGAGAGAATCTAATGCTCTCTATCCCCCTCTTGGTTTGCGGAAAAATTGTCTTCCATGCAACCAGTCTCTTGTGCCAAAAAGGTTGGGGACCACTGAACTCTAAATCATTCATTAATCTAACCAACTTGTGTCAAGTGCTCTCTGTCCTGGGGCAGTGCTGGGTGCTGGGAGAGAGTGGTGGGCAAGACAGACAGACATGGGCTTTTCCTCCTTGAGCCTACAGATGCATTTTTCAGTGTTTAGCCTGGGCCCCCAGTCCCTGGGAATCTCCCTTTCTCTGGAATTCCCACAGGCTGTCCTGGGTATTGGCCACCCTTTCAGTGTTGTTGAGCTTAGGTCTTGGCTTATTGGTAAAACAGAGGCCCCTCAAGGGAGGACCTGTCACTTATGCTGCTTCAAGCCTTCAGGGCTACTCAGTGCAGAACCTCAGATGGTGTGACCATTCATTCATTCATTCATTGACCAGCCACCACGTGTCAGATCCCACGCACTAGGTATTGTGGGGCCGGGGTAGGGGGCATACGATAATGAATGAAACTCTCAACATCCTGCAGGAAAGCATATACACTCCTAAATTGCAGAGGCAGCGTTGTGACCTTCTTCCCTTAGGCGTTCTAATTTCTGGCTATGCTTCCAGGCCAGTCTCAGTTCTCTATGAAGCTTGTAGGATGAGCTGAGCCACATTGCTTGTTTTCTTTTCTGATCTCCTCTGTTAGAGCTAGAAGGGTCCCTAAAGATCCTTGATGGGCAGTTGGACTAAACAACTTCTTGGGAAAATGAACTTCAGGGAGGTCAGGTGAATGACTCGAGGCCACACTGGAAATGAACAGGACTGGTGCCCAGGTCTTCTGACCCCCGGCCAGCTCTCTCTGCAGCATGTCAACTGTGACTGCTACTCAGTTTGGCATTTTCCACATGTTGTCTTGCATCTCTCTCTTACTTAGTCATCAGCTACCAAGGATAGTGGCCAATTATTTCACTCATCTGGTACTTTCTACTTCTAGCCAGCAACTGACAGAGTGAGACATATTCTAACTGTTCAATGAATAGTTGCTCAAATAATGAATGTGGGTAATCTGATCTTGGATACCTGAGCTGATTGTGACAAAGAAGGCTATGTGGGCCCGGACCAGGGATGGGAGGCAGTGGAGGCCCCGTCCTGCCCTTTTCGGTCTTCCTAACACTCTCTCCCAGGTCTCCACTTAGGTCATGGAGCCATGCACAGATGGTAGAAGGGGGAAACTGGGGCTTGGAAAGACCCAGAAAAAGAATGTGACCTGCCCAAGGCCACCAACAACTCGAGGGGGCATTGACCGACAAGCCCAAGGGCTGTAGACCAAGGCAGAATGAAACTTGGAGTCCCAGAAATTTAGGAGTGAAGATGAAGGTCTTCCTCCCTGCTCATTGCTGGCCCAGGCCCCAAACCCTCAGAGATTGGGGGTACTCACCAAGACAGTGCAGGGAGACCAGGGAGCCTGAGAGACAGGGCCTGGAAGACAGACACAGCGCCCTGTGATTTAAGCTTCTTCCTCAGCTGGGAGGCAGGGACTCAGGCCTCCCGAAGCTGTTAATTCAAGTCCCCTCCCAATACCTCGGGAATGTGGAAGCTGCACAGTGGGGAACATTTGGAGACTGCATTGACATCCATTGCATTTCCTGCATTGACACTTCCGTTTGATTGGATTCAACACCCCCACTGCTGAGTACCTACTGTGTGCTGGGCCCTGCCTGCTTCAAAGCCCAGCCTGGGCTCCTGGGACCCAAGAGGGAAGAGGACAGAGCCCGGAACAGAGTCTGTGACACTGTGGGCTTTCCAAATGGAAGAATGGGATTTTGATAGAATTTTAGGTAAAGGATCATTCTGCTACCAGCCCTGTCCTTTTCAAGATTTATTTTCGGTGAATAAGCGGCCCTCAGCAACGTCCCTGAATGCTAGGAAGCCAGCCTCCTCTCTGAGCCACTTTGCCACAGTGTGACAGATTTCATCTGGATGCTCTGCTCTAACACAGGGTGGCGAGGCTCAGGAACAGGCCACCCACAAGGGCCATGGAGCCTCTTCCCTGGAGCATCAAGAAGGTGGGGAGCTCTGGCTGGGTAAGTGGTAGGGAAGGACAAAGTGACTTTGGAATCTTGCCTATTGGGCAATTTATTAGAAAACCTACAGCAGTAGCAAAAACTATTTACTATCCAGATTGATGGAAAGGTCACATTATCCATCCCTCTGGCTCTGAGTAGGACAACACACTTTGTCCAGCTGTCCATTGTATTAAAAACAAGTCAACACAGAAAACCTCTCCAAAATGTGAGTCTATAGCTCTTGGCATTGAATGATCCATCTGGCTAGGAGTTCTTCCTGATGTCTGCTTACATTCCCCTGGCTGCTTGGGGTTCCAGGTGAGCTGGTTGCAACCTGAAGAGCAGCGTCCATGTGGGGGCCTTCTGTAGGCCAGAAGGTGTCCCCTCACTTACCCACTTGAGTTCCGCATGCGAAGCTCCTGGCTGTTTTCTGTGATTTCAACAACATCCAGATCCTGGTCTGGGCCAATCTCCACAGCTCTGAAAGTGGGTTTGCTGCTCACATCAAGAGGGAGAGAGAGTTGTGAGCTGGGGCAGGGGGTTAGAACAAGATGGTAGAGTTGGCCCCCACTTTCAGGAGAAAGAGTGGCAGAGAATGCTTGGTGGGGAGTGGCCAGGGAGTGGAGATGGTCTTAGTCAGTGAAGATGGGGCCTGCTTTGCTATACAATAAAGAACCGACCCTTGGCATCCCAGGACTCAACCCTCAGTGCATTGCTGATGTAACTTGCTTTCTTGGGTGGGGAATCCAAATCCAGAACCCAGAGCCCTGGAGAAATGTTAGGGGTCTCCTTTCCATATTCCCAGCTCTGTCCCTATTTCAAATATCCCAGCAATGTCTTCTGGTTCACAGCAGGGAAACAAAGAGGCATAGGGGCTCAGGTTAGCTCCCTTCTCACCTGGGAGGGAGTTGGAATGTGGATATTTCGTTCTCCAAACAAAGCATCTGGTCTGACTTTGATAGCGGGGGTATGTTTTTGGCCCCCTTAGAGATATTTAATAGAACAGGACTAGATCTGTCTTCATATGAATCCAGACAAACGTTTCTCTCAACTGGACCACTCTCCCTCTTTCTCCCTGCTAATCCATGCTTGCTACTTTCAAACCTTGGGTTGAAGTTTTTCCTCCTCCAGGAAGCCTTCCTTGATTAATTCCATCTCTCTGATTGTTCCTTTACTGAATCTGCCTCTTCTAAATCTTTTCCTTCCATCCCTAACTATGCTAGTAATGTTAGTAGAAGCTCTCCATGGAGGGCTGAGTCATTGGCAATACTGGTGGATTGGCACATTCTCAGGCAGGAATGCTGGCACTTCCTGGAAGGACCCAAGTCTCAGACCTGGGAGGACTAGAGTGCATTTTAAGAGTCCTCATGATCTAGGTTCTGTCCCTGGCTCTGGCACTAGTTTGATGTGTGGCCTTGGGCAGGTCATATTCTTTTTCTGGGTCTCTCCAAGCCTCAGTTTCCCCCTCTATAAAAAGATGCACGGGGCTGGGTGCAGTGGCTCACGCCTGTAATCCCAGCACTTTGGGAGGCCGAGGTGGGTGGATCACCTGAGGTCAGGAGTTCAAGACCAGCCTGGCCAACATGGTGAAACTCGGTCTCTACAAAAATATAAAAATTAGCTGGGCATGATGGTGCGTGCCTGTAATCCCAGCTACTTGGGAGGCTGAGGCGAAAGAATCACTTGAACCTGGGAGGTGGAGGTTGCAGTAAGCAGAGATGGTGCCATTGCACTCCAGCCTGGGTGACAGAGTGAGACTCTGTCAAAAAAAAAAAAAAAAGATGCGTGGACTAGATGATCCCTAGGGTCTCCCACATCTTGAAATGCCTATGGTTCTAGGACAAGAAGGGCCTCCGATCTAGAGAGAGGAAAGAAAGTAGAGAAGTCTGAGACCTAGAAGGACGGAATATGGTGGAAATGGACATTCCCAGGAAAGTTAACTTCTGTTCACCAATTCCATCCCAATGAATGATTCTGATGAACTTTGATTTTGTGAAGCACAAGACTCAGGTGGTTTGGTGCCTTACTGAGCTCCAAAAGGACAGAAATTCCAGGAGCCTATCATCTTAAGAACCCCTGGAGACACCCAGGTTTCATAATCAAGGCTCAGCCTGCTGTGCCAGGAACGGCTGATGCAGCAGTTGACTGGACTACAGTGGGGAGGCAGGGCTGGCTGCAGCGAGGCTGGGCTCCGTGGCTGCAGGAAGAGGGGAGAATAGCAGGTGCTGGGCATGAGTTCCTCACTCTCCTTGAAATGAAGGTGGTGGGGTGTGCTTTCTAGAGGGTAATGGAAGTTGCCCCCTATGGAAAGTAGAGAGCAGCAGAAGCCCGTTGAGCAGAGAAGAGAAAGGCAAATAATTCTGATTGATTTGTAATGGCTGCCTGGAGCATTTACTGAAAAGGACTTTGAGGCTGTATTAGGGATCCATGGGAGAGAGTTCTGTGATTGGTTGGTGATGTCTGCCTAGTAGAGTTTTTGTTTGTTTGTTTGTTTGGCCTAGTCTCTGGGTCCAGTCTGTTAGAATCCTGAAGAAATCTGAGGCCTGCCAGAGATAGGCTATCTCAATCTGCAACTGAATGTATGGGTTCTTTTCCATCCTCTCCAGCTAAACTCTCTGAGTGATCAACCATCTCATTAGCCCCTTCCCTTAGAGATGATGTCCTACATGAGAATAAAGAATTACTCAGTCTAGAAACAGAAACAATGTGGGAACTCCTAATGCGCAAGAATTAGGGGTCTTGGGCTCAAATTCTAGCCCTCTACCTCCCAGCTAGTACCCTAGCAAGTTACTTACTTTGTTTGAGCCTATTTATGAAATAGATATAATATATATCTATATATAAGATATAATAACTATCTTTTTGGTTTTCTGCCAAAATCAAGTGAATATAAATATATAGAATGCAAATTACTCTTACTATCATCTTACACCTTTTCATCCACTCCAGATTTGGAACTGCTTTTGAAATTTGCAGAGAGAGCTGGGATTGCTGAAGATGGGGCCCCACTGAAACTAGGCTCACTTAAGCTAAATCTTAACTAACGAAACTTTGAATAAGTTAACTTAGCTTTTGTATTACTGGGCAGGAACAGTTTCTTGCAAAGCCAGCACAAAGGAGTGAAGGTTGAGGAGTAAAGGAAAGGAGAGGACTGCATAGACGCTAGAAGTGTGTGTGTGTGTGTTGGAGGGCAGCACACATTCTCTCACTGGCATTGCAAAACTATCCTATGAGGTTGGCATTAGTTCCCCCAATTAACTCCTGAGGAACCTGAGGCTTAGGAAATTTAACTTCATGTTGCTTATAAGTGAAATGCTGGGATTCAAAAGCCATTCTGCCTGGCTCCAATGCCCGTAATTTTTAGGAAAGAGAGAAGAAGGGAGGAAGGAAAGGAGGAAGAGGAGGAAGGAGGAAGGAGGGAAAAAGGAGAGAGGCCCAGGTTGGTTACCTGCTGTAGCCCATCTGCCTACAGGCTGTCTCAGCGAGAGCTTCTGTGAAGTTGTCGAAACAGGCAGAGAACCAGTTCCCTGTGGCCGAGTCCAGCACCTGCAGTGTGGATCGGTCCTTGGAGAGGCGGACTGGGAGGAAAGGAACCTGAGTTAGATGGAACGGGGGGCCCAACTGGCCCATCCCCCTCAGAACTCATCATGAGACCAGCCCAAGCTCCCCCAACCTAGAACTGGGGGTGCCACAGAGCCCCAACACTTTCAATGTCAAGGGAATTTCTTCCATTTGGCTTTGTCTATTTGGGCCCCATTTTGACAGTAGCTAGTGTGACCAGAAGTCCCAGGGTAGGTCTCCATTTTGACCTGTTGCCCTGACCCAATGGTTAATAGTGCCCCCTTTTGCTCTTACAGGTATCAGTTTTGATGATCAATTATGTGGTCACTCTACCCAGCGACCATATACAGCTTGTTTAAATTGTATGGACCACATACCCATCCATGGTCCACACAACTTGCCCAGCCTGGGGAAATGTCTGAGAGAGGGACCTAAGTCCTTCTCCAAGTAAGGTCAGAGGGGAAGGTTGAGTGAGAAGTCCTACTGGCAGTAGGATGACAGGTGCCTGTGGGCATTTGACTTCTGATAAAGAAAGAGCAAATACACAGAAAGTCACTCAGCCCTGCCCTCAGAAGCCCCATCACTCATCTCCTACCTATCTTTTTTTCTTCAGAGCCCAAGCACCAGGGGGAAGAAGGTAGAAGAGCCCAGCCCAAGAGAGAACGTGGATTTTATGCTCAAAACATCTCCTATCCATTGAAAGGACCTGGCTCAGTCCTGTCACATAGCATGTCTCAGCAAACACTAATGAATAGAAGGACCAATAGCTGGCGAAGTGGCTGAGAAGTCTCTTTTCTAGTCTCCTTGAAATAACAAATTTCATAGAAAGGAGGAATGCCCCAAGGTCACCCAGTCTAGCCCTCTGCCTGAAATCCACCAGGCGCAGCACGCATGGGGCAGCCTCAGTTACAATTTCCTGTCCTTTCTGGCTCACATTTGGTCATCAAATAGTTACTGTTTGCTGTGTGTTAAGTACTAGGATTTAAAGGTAGACAAGACAGGGTCCTGCTCTCAAGAAACTTACACAGCTGGGCACGGTGGCTCACGCCTGTAATCCCAGCACTTTGGGAGGCTGAGGCGGGCAGATCACCTGAGGTCAGGAGTTCAAGATCAGCCTGACCAATGTGGCAAAACCCCGTCTCTACTAAAAATATAAAAATTAGCCAGGCGTGGTGGCTGGCACCTGTAATCCCAGCTACTCATGAGGCTGAGGCAGAAGAATCACTTGAAACTGGGAGGCAGAGGTTGCAGTGAGCCGAGACCAAGACACTGCACTCCATCTTGGGCCACAGAGCACTCTGCCTCAAAACAACAACAAACAAACAAACAAAGAACCTTATACAACAAGGATGAAAAGTGACAAGTAGGGGGCAGATACTATGCAGTGGGCCGTGGGGGCCTGAGCAGACCTCCTGCTGGGCCCACTTCTCTTGTGCCTCAGACCCTGCACTCACCTGCCACTGCAGGCCCTTCGGGGAAGCTCTTGACACAGTGCTCCTCGTCCTCCCCCAAGGGACAGTCCAGCTCTCCGTCACACAGCTGCTTCCTCGGGATGAAGTGGAGAGGCTGCCCGCAGAGGAAGTAGTATTTATCCAGAATCACCTTGACTGGAAGGCAAGTGCAGGGAGAGGCAGAGAGGGCTGAGGGTCAGGCTTGAGCAGGGAGACGCTGGGTTTTCCTGGCGATAGTGCTGGGCTCTCAGACACGCATGTGTGAGTTCCAGGCTCAGTTTTGCTACTTGGTAGCACACAGACTTGGGCCTGAGCCTCAGCTTCCTTGTCTGTAAAGTGGAGATAGTAACACCGGCCCCACCCCCACAAGATGTCTGCGGAGTCAAGAGAGGTCACGTGTGTGGGAGAAACAGGCTGGTAACTGCCTCTTACCCTCCAGTGCTCGCTCAGTATGTACTGGTAAAAGAGGAGGAACCCGGAGTCTGAAGACCCAGTTCTGAGTCCTAGCCCTGCCACCCACTGTGGAACTTAACTTTTTTCTTTTTTTTGAGACCGAGTCTCACTCTGTCATCCAGGCTGGAGTGCAGTGGCGGGATCTTGGCTCACTGTAGCCTCTGCCTCCCAAGTTTAAGTGAGTCTCCTGCCTCAGCCTCCTGAGTAGCTGGGATTACAGGCACATGCCACCACACTTGGCTAATTTTTTGTATTTTTAGTAGTGACGGGGTTTCACCATGTTGGCTGGGCTGCTCTCGACCTCCTGACCTCAGGTGATCCACCCGCCTCGGCCTCCCAAAGTGCTGGGATTACAGGCGTGAGCCACCGCACTCGGCCTTACTGTGCAACTTTATATGGATCGCTTTCCCTTCTTAGTTCTCAGTTTCCTCATCTGTACAATGGGATGATGATATCTATAATATCTGCCTCGCAGGGCTGTTGAGAGCATGTGGTATGATGGTAGTCATGAAAATGTCTCGTAACTATCAAGTATAGTTCTAGAATTGGGTGCTTTTACCTGGGTGAAAGAACTGTTAAATGGTAAGAACACATGGACACGTGCAGGGGGATCAACACACACTGGGGCCTGTCGGGGGGAGGCGGGAGGAGGGAGAGCATCAGGAAATATAGCTAATGGTTGCTGGGCTTTATACCTCAGTGAAGGGTTGATCAGTGCAGCAAACCGCCATGGCACACGCTTACCTACGTAACAAACCTGCACATCCTGCACGTGTACCCCAGAACT
The DNA here is from genome assembly GCF_000001405.40 of Homo sapiens. NCBI lineage: Eukaryota > Metazoa > Chordata > Mammalia > Primates > Hominidae > Homo > Homo sapiens. The sequence goes on along the minus strand of NC_000011.10, from coordinate 118,102,016 downwards.
TGGAATAAAATTTGAAGAAAAAAATAATTAAAATATATAAGTAAAAAGAACTAAAATTAAGAAAAAAAGAGAAAGATCTGTGAAGGGGTTGGTCCTCGGTTTTGTTTTGTTTCTGCTCGCCGTCTTTAGATTCTGCCAGCTGCTTTCAAATTCTGTTGCTCTTTTGCCATTTTGGGATGATGGAAAGATGTTGAGTGTGTTTAATCCTTCAGGGAACTGATATTTTAACACTTTTTCTGGCCATGCATGGTAGTTCACACCTGTAATCCCAGCACTTTGGGATGCCAAGGCAGGAGGATTGTTTGAGCCCAGGAATTCAAGATCAGTCTCGGCAACATAGTGAGACCCTCGTCTATACGAAAAATTAAAAAAAGAATTAGCCAGGCATGGTGGTGTGCCCCTGTGGTCCTAGCTACTTGGGAGGCTGAGGCAGGAGGATTGCTTGAGCCTAGAAGTTTGAGGCTGCAGTGAGGTGATCACACGATTACACTCTAGCCTGGGAAAGAGAGCAAGACCTTGTCTCAAACAAACAAGCAGACAGACATACAAACAAACTTTTCCTTAGTGAAGACCCACAGCCAAACACCCTGGCAGGAGGGAACTCCTCCTTCCTAACTGAATTCTGTCTTGGCCTGATGGGACCCTCTCCAGTCCAGTATCACCCTGGGCTGGTCTTAAGAGTAGTGGCGTTAAATCTAATAATGGTCCCTGCTTGTCACCGTGTCAGGAGCTTTCCATACATTTCCTCACGTAATCCTGACAACAGTCTTGGGAGGGAAGTGTTATTACTAACTCACATTACAAACAGGGACGTGGAGAATTGAAGGTCAGGCTTTATTTTCCCAGGGCACACAGTGCTTCCAGTGTAGAGCCAGGGCCCATCTAATTCTCTGGGGAAGCTTGAGATGTGATCTGCTGGCCCTGACACTCCTGGCTTGAGTGAAGCAAGGGAGAAGGAGGAGCTAGATATTACTTAGCTCTTTGGAGTTTGGTTTATAATCAGGAGCCAGGGTAAGGCAGAGTCACTCCAGCCTCCTGGGACAAATCCAGGAGACAGCATTGCCAGTTGAGACTCCAGAAGCCATAAGGTTGAGGGAACCCGGCCCAGGATGGAGGACTGGGTAACAACCTCTGATTGCAGAATCTGGGGGCCCAGGATATGGAAGCCACATAGGACCTTCTGGGACAGGGAGTGTCCAGCTCTGAATTATGCTTTAGTGCCTGCTTGGCTTTCGCTGGATAACTTTGGTCCCCTTTATCTCCACTGTGGCAGGGTGTATGCTTATGGAAAGCAAGCTCACTTTAACATTAGCCTGAATAGAACAGGATGGCAAGTCTGCTGATGTCACTGCAAACCTCCATCATGTGGGCAACCAAGGTCAAGGAGAGAGGGTTTGGGGTCATCTGCATCTCACACCATCCAGGGCTCCCAGGGCTTTTAGTGGGGTTTATGTTGTGGCTCTGCATTTCCACCGCCACGAGATGGAAATGGACCTGTTCAATCAGGGGACCGGGGTTCTGTCGCAGCTTTGTCCCTGACTGCCACTCCTCCTCTCCGAGCCTCAGTGCTCATGTAGAATGAGGACCAGAGTCTCTCTCAGTGTCCTCTAACCAGGCAGTTGGCTGCTACTGCTGGAAATGTCACCACAGTTACAAGTACAAATTCCTGAAAGGCCAGCTATTCCCTGGCTGCACAGGCAGTCCTGCCCCAATTAGCAAATGCATGTCCTGGGTCACATTTTGTCTGCTGCTGTGTGATGACACACTCTTTTGCAAAACTTGGTTTTTAGCTTGGTCCTTTACATGTGTTATCTCACTGGTGCTCATGATATCGCTCTGAGGGAGGAAGGACATTTTACAGGTGCGGAGACTGAGGGTATGAGGCAGTGAAGGACTTACTCAAGGTCACGCAGCAGCAAGAGGCAGAGCCAGAATCCCTGTCTCGGGTGTCCTGATTCCTAGTCTGGTCCCCAGTGCCCTACTTCTTGCTGTGAAAAGTTGTGGTCAGTAACCTGCTGTGCTCATGTGGATAACAAAGGCAACGACTCCATCATAGGATGTGGGAGCCAAAAAGGACCCACATCCCTGCTCCTTCAGTTGAATCTTCTTTATCACAGATAAGGGCCTGAGGCAGAGAGGCCTGCTCAAGACCACACTGGGCCTCAGGTACTGGCCATGGTGAAGGCCAAGCTGAAGGGGGCCAGGTGCCAACTGCCTGGGGGGTCTTCCCTGCTGCCTCCTCTTTCTCCCCTCCTCACAAGCAGAAACTCGCCCTGTTCTTCCAGCCGCTGCTCAGAGCCACTCAGCTTGCAATCTGCAGAAGATGGGAAGGAGGGGGCAGGGGGCGTGGCAGCCCTGCAAATTGCATGTGTGGGTTAGGAACATATGCCACTGTGCTCTCCCTCTAGAAGAAGTCACCTGGGATAGAAGCCGTCTGGAACAGATGGGGGCTGAGTTCATCTCCCCTTTCACTTTTAGAAGAAGGCTCTCTTCAAAGCAGGGGGTGGATACATGTCTTTCTTTCTTTCTTTCTTTTTCTTTCTTTCTTTCTTTCTTTCTCTCTTTCTCTCTTCTTTCTTTTTCTCTCTCTGTTTTTTTCTCCTCAAATTCCTTTTATTATACCAATGATTTTTTCTGCAAAGCTTTATGCAGATCACCTGCCCCTGACTGTGGGGGTGGGGGCTGCCACTTACTGAGGGGGTGAAGGACAAGTAGGGGCTGCCACTTACTGAGGTGATAATGGGAGGGGCGGGGCTGCCACTTACTGAGTGGGTGAGGGCAGGGGTGGGACTGCCTCTTACTGAGGGGGTGAGGGCAGGGGTGGGGGACTGTCACTTATTCAGGGGTGAGTGCGGGGGTGGGGGTTGGGCCCTGTCATTTACTTAGAGGGTGAAAGTCGGGTACGGGCTGTCACTTACTGAGGACAACCACAATGATGATACTCGCCAGGCTCAGTAGTGCTATGATGATGGGGATCCCCACCTTTCTGAAGGTCTCCATGGGGATACGGGGTTTGCGCAGGGGTTTGACATCTGCAAGAAAATGGGAGGCAGAGGGGAAGAGCATGCAGTCAGCACTTGGTGATCCCTGAGCCAAACTCCACAGCCTCCTGCCTTCTGGCCGGTGACAGGTATGCCTTGAGCACAGTTTTGGTTAATGCTGGGGGGTTATTCCTGCAGACTAGGCTTAGCTTCAACAGCACGTGGTTACCCTGCCTCTTCTTACTTATCCAGGCTCACCTATCTTTCCTGAGTGCCGCTCAAAGGAGCCCCCAGGTCAGGCCACCTCCCCCGTGTCTTGCCTGAGCCTGTCCTAGGACATTTCTGGGTTTTGTCTGACCCTCGCCTGCCCGAGAGAGGCCTGAGCCCCTGGGGCACGTACCCATTCACTGTGCCACCATTTATCCTTTTCCTGACCTCCTGACTTAGCTTTTGATTAAACATTAAGCATCAGGGAGGCAGGGGCCTCCAGCACAGTGTGTGCTTAGTAGAGGCTTAATAAATACTTGTGAATCAATGCATCCTCAATCCCACAAACAGCAAGTCCCTAGCCTGGTCCTTGTCTTTAAAGAGATTACCATCTGGGGGAAGAGGCAGACACAGATGCCAGCCCAGCCAGGTGGAAGATAATATATGTTATAATAGAGACATCTTCAAAGGTAAGCTGGTGAAAGCCTCCCTCAGCAGGTGGCACTTAAATGCAGTTTGGGAGGGAGGCACTGGCTCAGCTCTGTCGGAGGCACGGAGGGTGCCTGTAGGCTGCCTGGTGTGCCTGGGGTACCAGGGGAATAAAGGCAAGTTGGAAGGCAGGATGGGTGAAGGCAGCTGTGGAGACTCTTGAACATTATGCTAAGGAGCCTGGGTTTTATCCTGAAGGCAGTGAGGAGCCATTGAAAGTTTTTGAACAGTGGAGAGACAGGATCAAATTAATTTTAGGAAGATGGATCTGGTCCAGTGCGGTGGCTCACGCCTGTAATCCCAGCACTTTGGGAGGCCGAGGTGGGTGGATCACCTGAGGTCAGGAGTTCAAGACCAGCCTGGCCAACATGGTGAAACCCTGTCTCTACTAAACATACAAAAATTAGCCAGCATGGTGGTGCATGCCTGTAATCCCAGCTACTTGGAAGACGGAGGCAGGAGAATCACTTGAACCCAGGAGACGGAGGTTGCAGTGAGCTGAGATTGTGCCATTGTACTACAGCCTGGGCGACAAGAGCAAGACTCCACCTCAAAAAACAAAAAGAAAGATGGATCTTTCATCAGGGAGGAGGTGGATTGGAACAAAAGAGTCTGGGGTTAGGGAGACCAGGTAGGAGCTTATCACTGCCTAGAACAGAGGTGATAATAACTACATTGTCAATTGCACATGGTTATCCAAGGAGAAGGAACCTGGGAAAGGGAAAACATAGGCAAAGTTAATATCAGTAAGTATCAGAGATACATTCTTTTAAGTCCCCCACTCCTTGTGGGAAATAAGCTGGGGAGGTGCCATGGGGACTTCTGCCCTGGGGGAGATGGGGCAAGAATTCTGGAAACCCTGGAAAGCAACGGACCGGCTCTCCTACCCTCACCTCCACATGACTGGCTCCCTGTCCTCCTCCCAGTCTTTCTTCACTGTCACCTTCACAGTGAGGCCTTCCTGGATCTCCCTATTTAAAATGCAGCCTTCCAACCTTTCCTATCCTCCTTTCTTGCTTTTTTTTTCTTCCAAAGCACGCATCACCTCTAACAAACTCTATATTTGACTTATTTTGTATATTTTCTGTCTCCTCCCGCCCCTCCATGAAATGAAGACTCGTTGAAGACAGAACTTGTCTGTTTTGTTCACTGCTAAGTCCCTGGTGCCTAGAACAGTGCTTGGTCCACAGCAATTGCTCAACAAATATTTGTCACCTGAACAGATGAATTGTTCTTGGCTCTGCTCTCTTAAGTACGTCCCTTCTACTACCTCCTTTCCTTTCCTTTCCTTTCCTTTCTTTCCTTTTCTTTCTTTCTTTCTTTCTTTCTTTCTTTCTTTCTTTCTTTCTTTCTTTCTTTCTTTCTTTCTTTCCTTTCTTTCTTTCCTTCCTTTCTTTCTTTCTCTTTCTTTCTTTCCTTTCTCTCTCCCTTTCTTTCTTTCTTTCTTTCTTTCTTTCTTTCTTTCTTTCTTTCTTTCTTTCTTTCTTTCTTTCCTTCTTTCCTTCTTTCTTTCTCTCTTTCTTTCTTTTTTCTCTCCTCTCTCTCTCCCTTTCATTCATGGAATCTGCTGCCCAGGCTGGAGTGCAGTGGCAGTGGCATGATCTTGGTTCACTGCAACTTCCACCTCCTGGGCTCAAGCCATCCTTTTACCTTATCCTCCCAAGTAGCTGGGACTACAGGCATGTGCCACAACACCCAGTTAACGTTGGTATTTTTTGTAGAGATGGGGTTTTGCCATGTTACCCAGACAGGTCTCAAACTCCTGGGCTCAAGTGATCCACCCCCACCTTGGCCTCCCAAAGTTCTAGGATTACTGGCATAAGCCACCATGCCCGGCCCCTTCTACCTTTCTTACAGGTCACATTTTATTCTGCCTTGAATGATGGCTAATCATATGTCTGACTCTATTTCTTTCCTCAGCTCTTCCAAAGTGGAGAATGGCATCCTGCTAGAGATTGGCGCCCAATGAATGCTAGTATTAATGAATCTGTTAACAAAGGAAAGCTTAGGACACTTTGTGTTTCCCCAAAAGAATGTTTTAACTTCAGACACAGAGGCCACGCAGTGGGGATGTGGACTGGAATGGTATTGCCTGTGAACTATGACCTGGCACAAAGTAGCTTATCAGTAATGTTTGCCAATACTGTTTTTAAAGTTCCAGCAGCCAGTCTTCAGAATTGTCCTCTTTCCTGTGGCCATGGCCATGATGACATTTTGTTCATGAATTCATGCATGATTTATTTATTGAGCATCTACCTCTGGGAACATGAGATTTGTTTGTTTTCTCCAAGAGTGAGTGACCCATGGGGAGCCATGGGTTCCTGTGTCCAAGACCAGACATTCTCAGGGAGCATCTGCTTCCCCCATCAGGAAGGAACGAGCTTTCATACCTAGTTTAAGTTAACGAACCCAGTGAGCTATGAACAGCCTCCTTGCCGGCTGTTGTTCCTCCCTCCAGCCTGTCCTGCCCACTGCAGCTAGACAGAGCTTCCTAAAAGCTTGCTTTCATCCTGTCACTTCTTACTCGAGGGCCTACAAGAGACTTCCACATCTGGATTATATCTTTCAAAGCCAGTGTAATTTGGCCTCTTTCTCTGAGCCAAATGGACTTCCACTGCTAGTCTTCACCAACCCCAGTTCTGCATAGTCACGTTCACTCCCTGGTCCTCGAGCAAATTCAGCTTGTTTTCTGGTTTGAGAGTTCTCAGGCTTGCTCAGGTGGCGGAGCAGTTGGCACCCTGGTGTTCCTTGGGGACACCATGGCCTACTCTTATATTGAATTCCAAAGTATAAACTAGGCACCATTTTACTTGCTAAAGATTACTTCATTTGTGGTCATTATTAACTCATGACCCAGAACTGAGAAATACATAGCCCGTCAAGCAGGATTGGCCATTTTCTTACTGATCTGTTCATATTAACGTGTTCCTTGCTCATTTGTTTTGCTGATCCAGTAGGCTATCAGGAGTAGATATTAATGGTTTAAGAAAATGTAATGGAAGAAAAATACCTCCTTAAATTTGGGATCATTCTATTTATTAACTTAGTTTTCTTCCCTTGGAAATCAGGCAAGCACTGCCATTTTTCATGAAAATGCCTCTGGCCAATGTGAACTCCATGACACCAGGGACTTCAGCTGTCTTAATTAGTGTTATAGCCCAGCATCCAGCCTAGGGCCTGGCACATGGCAGGTACGTACAGTTTTACTGAAAGGATAAGAGTGACTGAATGAATGAATTGGAGAATCATTGCTTTGGGGATTTTAGGTTTGTTGGTCCTGTTTCCCCAGAGTCCAGGCCTCCTACTTCTGGAATGAATCCTGGAATGTTTGCTGAGTGATGGATGGACGGGTGACTGGATGTCACTCATGGCACTTAGCACTTTGGTGGTGGTGGTGAGGGCCAGGCGCGAGTGGCTTAGGATCTACTTGGTAGCTGAAACTCAGAGGCTAAGGTGGACGAATGAAAGCCGGACCTGAACTTACCGAGGCTGTTCAGAGGTTGATCACTGTCAGGATCCTGTAATTGAAGGAAAAACAGTCAGTGAGTTGAGGCAGGGAGCCTCTCAGGCTGGGGCTAGCAGCCTACGGGAGGTTCTTGGGTCTTGTCTACATTCCCTTCTCCCTGAGTCTACGTTGGGGGTCTCTGTGTTATCCAAATACCTGGTTCAACAGGAAACATTCAGTCATGCACCTGTTTGATCTGTTTCAATTAGTTTACTTATTAGTTTACTTAACTAGTAGCAACTGGTTAGCAATTGTAGAAGCAACTGGCTGCTGGTTTTTGTGTAAATTGCTGAATTCCTCAAGATGATTCTGCTCTACTATCTGTTTTTGTCAATAATTTGTCTATGTTTACAGATACTATATTTCTGTAAAAACTCTGAATAGACATCTTACAAAAAGGAATACTCAACTGGCCAATAAGTACCAAACAATGCTTAATATCATTACTTATCAGGCAAATGCAAATTCAAACCACAATAAAATTTCTCTACATAAATACTAAATGGCTAAAATTTAAAAGACTAATAATACTGTGTTGATGATGATGTGGAGCAACAAGACCTCTCAGACCTTGTTGGTGGGAGTGTAAAGTGGTACAAATACTTTGGAAAATGGTTTGGCTGAATCCACTAATGCTAAACGTACAAGTATTTTATGATTCTCTGACCCAGCAATTGTGCTCCAGGATAGAGCCAAGAGAAATGAGTACAAATGTCCAGCAAAAAACCTGTGTGTGAAAGTTTATAGTCGCTTCATTAGTAATAGCTAAACATTGGAAAAACCCAAACGTCAGTCACTGGTAGAGTGGATAAACTGGTATTTTCATATAATAGAATATAATTCAGCAATAGACAAGAATAAACATTCTCAGTGCAATGACATGGATGAATTCCATGGACATAATGATGAAGGGAAGAAAATAGTCACAAAAAGTACGATTTCACTTATATAAAGTTTAAAAGGCAAGGTTAATCTATAGTGATAGAAGTCAGAATAGTGGTTACCATTGGGGGGGGCAGTTAGTTATTGGAAGGAACACAGTGGAGTCTTCTGGAACATAGGAAAACTTCTGGATCTTGTTTTCAACATTGGTTACATAGGTGTTTATATGTGCAAAAATTCACTGGGTGGTAGACTTTAGACTTGAGTACTTTACTACATATGTGCTATCAACATTATGATATTTCTGAGAGAGTGGTCTTAGGCTGCCGTCGACGCATGTGCACAAATACACGCAAAGGCATTTCTATTTACACCACTTCATGTGTGCACTCAGCACGCACACAGCCACAGAGTCACATGGAGGAGCCACTGACACAAAGGCTCACATACAAAAAAATGCAGGCCCTTTCTGCCAGGCAAAGGTTAAAAGGAGCATGCTGTCTGGGTTTATGCCCTCTGAACCCTGTGGTCTAGGTCTCCACCCAGGGACTCGCCTGCCCTATTGTGCTGAGGTCATGACCCACCTTGGTGGTGGTTGAAGGAGTCACAGGACCTTGTACATTTCTGGCTGGAAATTTTTTCTGTTCCTCTTGGGAGTGAGAGGGCCTCTTTTAATCCCTGAGTGGGTGACCCAGATTAGATATGGAGGGAGGGTCCCTGGGTGTTGCTTGCTCCACGGCTAAGCACGGTGGACACAGCAATAGGAAGGAGCTCTTTCGTTCCCTCCCAAACGAGCCTGTAGTCTGATGGAGGGACATGCCTGGCCTTGCCCTTGGGTAACACTAGGCCATGGGTGGCCTTGTGATGTAGCACACAGCCTGGTTCTGCAGTCTGCAGGGGTCGAGTCAGAATACAAGACCGGCCTCCTATTAACTGTGTGCTTTCAGGAAAGATCCTTCACCTCTCTGAGCTCCAGGCTTACCCTCTGTAGAGTGGGGACAATAAAACCTGCTTCAAAAGACTACTGTGAGGTTTACATGAGTTGTCTGGTGGGAAATGCTGGGCTCTCACATGGGAACTCTCTTTCCTCTGCCCTCCCATTGAAACTGCCTTGGCAAAATGATGACTGAGACAGTGAAAGAGATCTAACTTAGCGACTCCATCTTGCTTCTAACCTCCAAACTGTCCTTGTTCATTCCTAGGGGTAGGCAGAACTAACTTTGGGAGAAACTTAGTTTATAGTTTAAACAAAGTTGGTAACAGCTCTTTCCCAGAGCAGACTGCCTTCTTGTCTGGGGACTAGACTAACGTTAGCCCCAAGATTAGAAATTATGGTTTAGGAGTCATGCAGCTGGAGGTTACAAGATTCTGACCCTCCCCAAACTGCTTCTAAGATCAGGGCTTGAGATATTTTGCAGACCCTGCACCTGACGGATCAGCTGGCACCACCCAGATCAATAAACTGCCTCATCTGATCTGGCGGCCCCCGCCCAGGAACTGACTGAGCGCAAGAAGACAGCTCCAACTCTATATGATTTCATCCCTGACCAATCAGCATTCCTGGCTCACTGGCTTCCCCCCACCCACCAAGTTATCCTTAAAAACTCTGCTCCCTGAATGCTTGGGGAGATTGATTTGAGTACTAATAAAACTCCAGTCTCCCACACAGCTGGCTCTGCGTGAATTACTCTTTCTCTATTTCAATTCCCCTGTCTTGATGAATTGGTTTTGTCTAGGCAGCGGGCAAGGTGAACCCCTTGGGCGGTTACACCATCCTCTGCACTTCTGTAGCATTTGGTACAGGTGTTTATCACAGGGCTTCTCTCATAGGGTGGTCAGCGTTTCCTTTCCTTTTTTCTTTCTTTTTGGTTGCTTTTTTAAATTTAACATTTTATTTTTAATTAGCCACTCTTTCTCATTGCCTTTGTACCCTTGCTGTTTAGCACCAGGCTAGTACCTAGTAAAAACTTAATAAATGACTGTGAACTGGACTGAACTTTGAGCTCTGCATTGTAGTTCATTCCCGGCCGTCTCTCCTCCACCATCACCAGGGCTGGATAGAGCAGACTCTTTCCAGGCTGAAGATGAGACCCAATCGGACGACTCTGCATTGTTGCAGCTAGAGTCAAGTTAGGATAACGTCAACAGTAATTCACACCCAACTGGCATGTAACAGTTTACAAAGTCCTTTCATCTAACTCTTGTCTAGTCAAGTCGATATCAATTGTCTGCCAACCAGGATGGGCAGCATTAAAGAATTAATTATTAAACTAAACAAATGCTTGTAAAGCATCTACATTGTACCAGGCACTACTCCAGGAGGATTCAAAGACAGATCAAGAAATCATCCCAGCAAGATGGGGAAAATAGTGCCCAAAGAAGACAGCCGAGGGTCTGTCCCCAAGAAGCTTGTTTCTTGGTGGAGAGGAGGGCTAGGGGAAGGGGGAGGACAGGCCATAAACAGATAAACCAGAAAAGATCAGAGAGGGGTAGGTGCTATGCAGGGAGTAATCCAGGGTGAGAGGAGACAGCGCCTGGATGCAGACTGAGAATGGGAGCTCTAGGGAGGGGCTCAGGATGGTTACGGAGGATCTTGCTGGTCTCCCTAGAGGAGGTGACAAGAAGGAGCCAAGTGGGAAGGAACAAGCTTGGGGGGTTGGAGGAACTGAATAGAGATGGGCATGGCTGGAGCAAGGCAAGGGCATAAGGAGAGAGGAGGTTGGTGGTAAAAAGACGCCAAATGTGTTTGGAAGATACAAACAATAGGCCTCGCCGATGGATTGGGTGTGCTTGGGTTTTAGTTACGTGGGTGAGAGGGTGCTTGCTGAGCTGTGGGAGGCTATAAGAGTGGTTGGTGGAGCAGGGAAGTGGGCCCTTTCCTGTCAATTCATTCTTTTCCACTGAGTCTACCTGTGCATGCATGCCTGCATTCATTGAGGTAGGTAGGGCAAGTTTCTTTTGTTTATTGTTAATTTAACAAATATTGACTATACAACTTTGATGGACCCGGAATAGTGCTAGAAGCTGAGGCACAAAGGAGGCTTATATTCTGCACTTTCTGGGGCCTTGGATTCCTCATCACTGAACTGAACAGTGGCTAATTTTGTGTGTGTGTGTGTGTGTGTGTGTGTTTGTGTGTGTGTGTGTGACAGAGTGAGAGAGAAAGAAAGAGAGAGAGACAGAGTCTCATTCTGTCGCCCAGGCTGAAGTGCAATGTTGTGATTTCAGCTCACTGCAGCCTCCACCTCCTGCGCTCAAGGGCTCCTCCCACCTCAGTCTCCTGAGTAGCTGGGACTACAGGCATGCACCATCACGCCCAGCTATTTTTTTTTTTTTTTCGTAGAGATGAGGTATCACTGTATTGCCCAGGCTGGTCTCGAACTCCTGGACTCAAATGATCTGCCCACCGCAGCCTCCCAAAGTTCTGGGATTACAGGTGTGAGCCACAATGCCTGGCTCTTAATATGTTTTCAATTGCTATTCACTGAGTAGTAGTTGTGGAAAAAAATTCTATCCCTGTTTGAAACCAAAAGAGAGAAAGAAAAAATAAACTAAAGCAAAACCGTAAGCTAGAATGACAGGGACTGTGACTATCTTGTTAACTGTGATATCCCTGATGTCTCCTACAATGCACAGTACATAATGAGTATTGAAAAAATATTTGTTGAATGAAAGAATTAATGAAAATATCTCAGTTTGAGGACTCAGCCTCAGCTCAGTCTTTACGAACCTGACTGGTATATTCACACAGTGACATATTAGGCTGCAGTCAAAACAAATGAACTGTAGTGACACAAAATAATATGGATGGGGCCAGGTACGGTGGCTTACACCTGTAATCCCAGCACTTTGGGAGGCTGAGGCGGGTGGATCTGACGTCAGGAGTTCGAGACCAGCCTGGCCAACATGGTGAAACCCTGTCTCTACTAAAAATACAAAGATTAGCCAGGTGTGGTGGCACGCGCCTGTAATCCCAGCTACTCAGAAGGCTGAGGCAGGAGAATCCCTTGAACCCGGGAGGGGAGGTTGCAGTGAGTGAGATGGTGCCACAGCACTCCAGCCTGGGGGACAGAGCAACACTCCATCTCAAAATAATAATAAGGATGATATTAGAATGTAATATTAAGGGAAAAACTTAGTCCCAAAAGATTACATATAGCACAGAATCTTTTCTATAGAGAAGCAAGGGAATGATGAATATGGGGTTTGGGAAGAACTTACTTGGGCAGGGAGCTTGTAGTACAGTCCCTGCCTATCAAATATGTATAGCCAATATTTGTCGAATTAATAAACGAAAGACACTTGCTCTACCCACCTCAGGAGAGGGATGGATATGTGTGTGCAGGAGTGGGAACCTCATGGTTAGATGTAGGTTACTATTAAGTCCAGCTTTTGTTGGGGATGATGGGTTTATGGAGGCTTATTACATTGTTAAATCCAACTAACTAGCAAGTTACAAATGGGCCCTGCATGGACCAATAGTGAAAAAAGTCATGAAGCAAGGATTCTAGTTCCCCCAATGCTATGCACCCAAGGCTCAAGGAAAACATAAAAAAGCCATCACCTGGCTATGCTGAGTGGCTTGAGGAGGTCAAACTCATGTCCTCACCATGCTCTGCCCTTACTGTTGTGCTGCCTGAGTTTCCCCATGAGTAGCTCATTCTTTGGCTTTTCTTGAAGCTCTTTGGCAAATATCTGTGACACAGACAGGTCAGAGCTGATGGACAGATACACCTTTGGAAGAGGAGCTGCAGAAGGTCACGAGTACTGGGGCTCATGGGCAGGGAGGTAGGTGCATTTTAGGCCTGTGAGTGTCAACTGGGGGCCATCAATGTCGATGACATCCCTGAGCAGGATAGAAATAGGGACTTATGGCCAGCTGCATCTCCTCTGAGCCCAGAAGCAACAATCCTGAGCTAAGGAAAGGAGAGAATGGGTCTGAGAGATGTGGGTACCAGGTAAAATTCAGAGATCCAGCCAGACCCCATCACCATGGTGGGTCCCCGCCATGATCAGAAGATGCAAAGCTGAAACAAGGCAACTTCCTTATTTTCAGATGAGAAAACAGAGGTCGGATAGAATTGTCTTAACCTGGAGTTAATAGAGGGAAGGAGGAAGTTGAGAGGTCACCAAACAACACATGTGCTTCCTTCTGCTTTGCTGGAGATGTATTTATTTACCCCCAGCTTGAACTCAGCTTCTGCCTACAACTGTTACAGCCCCGGCCCAGCCCAGACCAAGCAAAGGCATTGGCCTTTCCCTTTCTGTTTGGGCCACTGGCTGGGCCAGGCCTGTCTTCTCTGTTGATTCAGTCTGCCGCAGAGCCCTGACTCATGGGTCCAGCCCAGCCAGTGTCTGACCTGGGGCTCATCCGGGAATGAAGCTCCTGCTGTGTGCAGTACAGTGGAAGGGCAAGAATGCCCAGGCCCCCAGGGCCCAGGTAGCGGGTGAGGTGGGGAGGTGGAAGTGGGTGGGTGTTCAATCACTGGAAAACCTGCCATTGCCTGATCAACTCAGAGAATCTTCTTTTCCTGCTTCTCGGTTTGTCACCGGCAGAGGAAGACATTAATCCAAGACCCAAATATGGAGGCAGAACCATTAGTTATTGCAGTTGAGTATTATTATATAATTTACGATGTCTTTCTTTCATAAATGCTGTCCTATATAATCCATGGAACAACCCTGAGAAATTGTCCCCATTTTACAGAAAAGGCAGCTGCTATGGCTTCGGAGCAAGTAAGGAACAGATCTAGCCCTTTGGGCCGGGTTTCTGGACTTGGTGGACTGTTGATTTCATTTCCCCATGGTTTCAGGAACTCATTTCGGTAACAGTCATTAGCTGGTGCTGGGTCCTTTTGAATCACTCCTCCCTTGCAATGCAGCCTTGTTGGATATAACCAGCATGCAGTCATCATGCAGAGATTGCCCCCAGCATCTCTCCAGCTCTTCCTCGGTGTGAAGGTAGAGTGACTTTGCTCAGTTCTGGGCTCTGCCATATCATCCATGAATGCGGTCAAGAGACCTCAAAGAGCATGTTGGGAAAGGGGCCTATTGCAGGGCTTGGTTCCCAGGAGGGGCTTTATTGATATTAGCATTTGTTCTTCCCTTTCTTCCATAAGTTCCCACCTTTCTCACCTGCCTCTTCTTCCTTTATTCCTATTCCCCACCCCTACCACTGTTTTAGATCATGGGGAACCTCCTGGTTGGGCTTAGCTCAGCTCCAAAAAGCAAACAGACATCTTAAGGTCAACTTCCTTTCCAGCTCAGAGAGAATGAACCCAGATACAAGGCAGCTCTTGTTTTTAAATGGAGTGAAGCTTAAGTGGCTGCAGAGAAGCCACAAAGTGTGCTGCAGAGAAGCCACCAGCCTGGAGAGTATGAGTTCTCATCTTGCCTTGTCTTCTGACTTGCTGTGTGGCTTTGGGCACACTCCTCAATGTCTCTGAACCTCAAGATCCCTTTGGGTAATTGGGAACTGCCCTTCAGAGATGGGATGAAAGAGTTAATAACCTCATAATGAAACAGGCAAGTCCACCAGGCTAATAAGGAGAGGAAGAAGAGGCGGCAGCTCAAGGAGGCCAAAGGAACAGAAAGCTCGGCCAGCTCCTGTCTGCCTCCCTTGCCAAGCATCCTGTCCCTGGGGCCTGATTTCTCTCTTCCTCTCTGCAATGCTGACTTGGCATTGACTTGCTCTGGAAAGAAGTCAGTAAGGGCAGAGCTGGAATGACTGGAGTGTGGACAAAGAGAGAAAAGCAGGGGCACACAAAAGAGGGTGACAGCTTCAGTCTTCCCTGGAGTCCAAGGCCCTGGCTTCCCATGGTCTCATAGGAAAACCTAGAGCCAGAGATGGTGCTGTTGCTAGGTGATGGGATAAACAGGTCCTTTGAGGCTTGGGCAGGTGGCAGTTAGGTTGCTGAGGCCAGTAATAAGCAGTGGGGAAAACCCAAGGGAGGGGGTGGGGAAAGTTCTTCGGGTAAGCCAAGAGACCCAGAGGTGCTTGCCGTCAGCTTGCAGAGTGGGGCCCGGCCACAGTGCTCCTCTGAGGGAGCCTCACTCTGCTCTCTGACCCCAGAACCTGCATCCCTCCCCAAAACCAACGGCAAGCAGCTGTGTCCTCTCCACTTGCAGCTGGAATAGGCAGTTTGATGCCTTTGCTGCGCTGGCAACAGGGCTCTCTCTCTTGGATGTCTCAGCCATGACAGGTAAGGAGAGGGTCACTGAGGGCTGGAAGATCATGGGGCAGGAGAGGAGGGAGTGAGTTTCCTGAGATGAGCCTGGTGGTGATGCAGCAGCCCAGAGTGCATGGGAGGTCCTCAGAGATGACTGATCATGCCGACTTCCAAGTATCCTGGGATCGCACCTGTTACTCTGTCTCTAGGCAGGTCGGCCACCAGCCCAGGCCATATGCCGCTGGGCATCTAAGCTCTCACGCAGAAATTCAGGGAGCATCCTCACAAACACTGCCTTGCGTTGAGTCATTATTAGAGCAGCAC
The DNA here is from genome assembly GCF_000001405.40 of Homo sapiens. Classification (NCBI taxonomy): domain Eukaryota; kingdom Metazoa; phylum Chordata; class Mammalia; order Primates; family Hominidae; genus Homo; species Homo sapiens. The sequence continues at coordinate 118,086,459 of NC_000011.10, read as the reverse complement.
TTTTTCCTTTGGGTCTAACCTCAGCCTTGGCTGCTACATTAGAAACCATTTTGCCTTGTTCTAAACCACATAGGTGCTGACCTATTGGCAATTTGAGCCGAGCACCTCATCCCCCATCTCAGCACATAATGGCTCCAGGGCAGGGCCTGGGGCAGAAGGGAGGAGTCAGGCAGCCTGCCATTATCCCCTGCCAGCCTGCTGTTCAGCTCCCATCATTTAAGAATCAGCTTTTGTGTTCGGGCATAGCTCTTAGGTTCAGATAGGGCTGGGGAGGCAGGGAAGATGTAACTATTCCTATTTCACAAATGGAGAAACTGAGGCACAGCGCTTATGCTTTTTCCCCAGAGACAATGTGAAGGGCAGGAGTGAGGTATTTGTACATGCCCCTTGGGCTAAATTAAACTGAAGACAGACCTGGTTCCCACTGGAGGGCCCTGCTTCCAGGTGATGCTGCTGTTTACTGCAGTGCTTAGGAATCCCTCTGCGATCCTTCTCTTTGTCCTAGGGGAAGCAGCCCATTCTCTCCCACCTTTCTGAACTCTCAACAGCTCTACTTTGCTCAGCTTTCCCTCTGTTCCAGAGTGGTGGGTCCATCTGAGCCCACCTTCCCCTCCTGGAAGGGTCTGATAGGAAGGAAGGTGCCACCATCTTTGCACACCTGAGGACAATGCCTGGACAATGGCTGGAGGGGACTCGAGAGGGCCAGAAGGGGTCCCGCCACACAGTTCAGCCTTTCAGCCTGGCAGGGACCCTCATGGGTTTGCCATTGGGAAGGGCTGATGGATTTTAAAGCTTAGAGGGGTTCTCTCAACCTTGCAATTTACCTGAACTGAGGACCTGCCATCCATGGAGCAGTCTGACGTTAATTTAAAAAGGTTCAAAGACAGAGTTTATACCATCTTTCAAGAATCGTACTCACTTTTGCTTGTCCTGAGTTGTCCTTTAAACTTTAAGAGGGAGGGAAATGGCAGGGAGGGAAAAGGAACTGATTGGGACTGACTCCAGCCAGGAGTTTGAGACCAGCCTGGCCAACATAGTGAAACCCCATCTCTACTAAAAATACAAAAAATTAGCTGGGCGTGGTGGCAGGTGCCTGTAATCCCAGCTACTCGGGAGGCTGAGGCAGGAGAATCGCTTGAACCTGGGAGGCGGAGGTTGCAGTGAGCCAAGATCCTGCCACTGTACTCCAGCCAGGGCAACAGTGTTAGACTCTGTCTCAAAAAAAAAAAAAAAGAAGAAGAAGATCTGACTCCTCCATCTGTAGAACAACTTTTGAGCAAGTCACTAAACAGCTCCTGGACCCAGTTTCCTTCTTTGGAATGTGGGTACAATAAAAGCGACTTCACAAGATGATGGGGAGAAAGATTCTGTAAGGTGCGCCACCTGCTCAGCACCGTGCACATTTTCAGCACCTTTGCAAGCCCCCAGGAGCCCCATCTGGTCTTTGCATGATTTTACAGACTTGCTCATAGTCCCCTAGGTTGGTCTTTGCAGTTTGAGGGGTCTCAGCTGCCTTGATCAGAAGGGGGTTGTCCCTTGATCCTGCTCCTCCTGAACTCTGAGGCAGGGACACTGGCCTGAATCCAGCTCTGCCTCTTCCCAGCCATGAAGTCTTGAGCAAGTTAATAAATTTTTCTGAGTCTCAGTTTTCTCATCTGTAAAATGGGGAGAATATGACTTAATTCACAGGGTTGTTGGTGAGAATTATTGATGACACATGTGATGTGCCTGGCTTGGTGCTTGAAACATAGAGGAGTTTAGTAAGTGAAAATTAGTGCTCTCTGCCCCAATTACCCTACAGGCATGGAGAGCAGAACTCCACACATGTTCAAGGAGGGTCTGTGCTGTGGTTCTGTACAGGGGCAGGGTTGAGGATTCTCGTTTGTTCTGGAGGCCCCAGTGATAACCAGCCTTGCTGGGCTGGTGTGGCTGCTGCAGCCAATCTCCTGGCACAGGTTTCAGTGACTCCTAGATCTGTTTCCTGTGAACTCTGAGCTCAGGATCCTATAAATAGTGCTTTAATAGTGCTTCAGTGTCTTCTCTGCCTCTCTGACTTTGCAGTTGCATAACCTGAAGTTCCTTTACTGCTTTCCTGCCCACTCACATAACTCGTCGAGTGCTTCATGAAGTTTTTCCTTGCTGAAATTACATTTGCTAGGAGAGGTTGTGTTTTACAGTGCACAGAGCACAGGCCGTGGAATCCTGCAGCCTAGGTCTGAATCCTGTTTGCTCATTGGCCTGAGGCTTTAGCAAGTTATTGAACCACCAAGAAACTCAGTTTCATGTGTGTGTGAAAAAGAGGGAGAGAGAGAAAGAGAGATGCAGTAAGTCTCCCTCCTAAGGAGCCCCAGATATGCATAGCATATAGTACATTGCCTGGTGCACGGTAAGAGTACGATAATTGTTTTTTTGTTTTGTTTTTGAGATGGAGTCTCGCTCTGTTGCCCAGGCTGGAGTGCAGTGGCGCTGTCTCGGCTCACTGCAACCACCACCTCCCAGGTAAAAGCGATTCTCCTGGCTCAGCCTCCAGAGTAGCTGGGATTACAGGCGTCTGCCACCACCGCCCAGCTAATTTTTTGTACTTTCACCATGTTGGCCAGGCTGGTCTTGAACTCCTGACCTCATGTGATCTGCCCTTTTCGGCCTCCCAAAGCGGGATTACAGGTGTGAGCCACTGCACCCAGCCAAGAGTACAGTAATTGTTAACTGTAATAATAATAACAACAACAATAATAGTTTACTCATTTAGTAAGGCAACTTTCTGGGCCCTGGAGACCTAGCAGTGAACCAGAGGTAAAGCTCTTTTGCCCATGGAGTATATTCTATTATTTTTATTAGTTATTAATAACAATATTAAAATAGAACTTGGGAAGTTCATGACATAGTAGATACTCATAGTCAAAAATTATTTATTGTTAATGGGAAGGAGCTTCATAGAGGGCCTGTCATGTATGTAATAGGAACTGAGCAAAGAGCGACTTTTATGATTTCATGGGCCCCGGGGCTTGGCTTCAGCAGGGGACTCTGTGGACTAAGCGCATCTGGGGACAGTGACCAGGGCAGTTGGGACCGGAGGTGATGTCGTGTGACCTGTGTGAACTCTCTCGGAAGAGAGGGTGGAACACGCAGTTCAGAGAAGCAAGGACCAGTGGAAGCATGAAAGCTTCAAGTGTGTGTGGCCGTCTGAGAAAGGCAAAAGACAGTTCTAGGAGGAACGGGGGAAGTTACAGAAAGTCTTTTCTCCTGGCAAAGGAAAGATTGTTTTCAGCAACCGTAGCTTCTAGAAACAGATGTGTGAGCAAAAGCTGGATTGTGAAGGTTTCTGTGGCAGACGAGGGCCAGGGTCAGATAAGGGCTCTGAGCACCCCTGGGGGATTCGACCGAGCCCCGCAGCGGCGCAGCAGAGGAGAGGGAGGCAGGGCAGAAGTGGCGGGGGTGGGGGACAGTCCTTTCAAACACTGCAGCTCTGTTTTTCTCTCTGTGTCCCATACGAGGATTCTGCATTTGATTTCAGTGGAGCTAAAGGCTCTGAGGTCAAAGTACGCTTGGGGAACCCACTCGCCGAGAAGACCTCTAAGGTTTTTCCTTAGGGTCTGTGATTCTGAAGAGCTCACTCTCAGCCTGAAATTTCTCTTGTCTCCTCCCACAGATAGGATTAGTCCTAGGCCTGATCCACTTATAATATTCTCTCTTTAAATCAATTTTCTATCGTTAATGGTCTCCTGGTAATTTGGGTTTTTTTTTCCCTGAGCAGCATTGGGTATGAAACTTTAGTTTAGTCTTCTTGAAAGTCTAAGTTAATTATAGCTACTGGTTTTCCCTTTGCCCTTGGCTGAATGACCCTTTTCAAGTCATGAACCTCTTTGAGCCTCAATTTCTTTCTTTCTTTCTTTTTTTTTGAGACCGAGTCTCACTCTATTGCCCAGGCTGGAGTGCAGTGGTGTGATCTCGGCTTACTGCAACCTCTGCCTCCTGGGTTCAAGCGATTCTCATGCCTCAGCTTCCCGAGTCGCTGGGATTACAGGCGTGAGCTACTGCGCTCGGCTAATGTTTATATCTTTAGTAGAGATGGGGTTTCACCATGTTGGCCAGGCTGGTCTTGAACTTCTGACCTCAGGTGATCCGCCCACCTAGGCCTCCCAAAGTGCTGGGATTACAGGCATGAGCCACCACACCCGGCTGAGCCTCAATTTCTTCATCTGTAGAATGAGGATTACAATGTCTCAGAGAGTTGTATTAGACTGAAGGGAGATTTTGGATGTGAAAGTGCTTCTCAAAGCACAACATGGGGCCCTTGTTGCATTTGGATAGAGATGTGATACTGCCGCTGTAGCTATTATTCTCTTTAAGACCACCAGTGACTCCTACGTGTCCGGACAGGTTCTCCCAGCAGCCTGGCAAGACCCTCCTCTCTGGAGACTGGAGATGTGATCGTGAGTGATGTCAGGGTGGAGATGGGATGAAGGTGAGGGGGCTGACCTTGGCTCTATGTTTAGCCCCTTCTTGTGGACATCAGTGAGTGAGTGAGTGTCAGGCTTTGTCTGGAGTGTGGGAAAGCAGTCTCCCCTGCTCCTGTTCCATCTATGGAGTGCACAAAACTGAAGGCCTAGATTTTACATATTCTCTGAATCTTCCATGGTATCTTGCCAGTACCTAGCACATAGTAGATGCTCAGGGAACACATGCTGAATGAATGAATGAATGAATGCATACAGATTTAGAGGAAGAAACTGAGACAGCAGGATATGCTGAAAGCATTGGTTGGCTCAACCGCACCAGCGGGCGACGCCCAGCCAGACTGATGTGCAGGACATTTTGTGACAGGAGACGCGACTGCCACCCCTGGACAGGTGCGCACGCCTGGACAGGGGCCATCATGTCTCTCACCCTCTTCCTCAAGTGTTCCTTTCATCTGCTACCCTTCGAGAGTTTCTGGTTGCACGT